>NC_000002.12:108701739-109004769 GCF_000001405.40 Homo sapiens
ATAAATAAACGTCATACAGATTGGAAAGAAAGATCTAAAACTGTCCCTCTTCGCAGATAACATTACTGTCTGTGTGTAAAATCTCAAAGAATTTACAATTAATCCCCTAGAACAGGTAAGTTTAGCAATGTCACAGGATACAAGGTTGTATTTCTCTATACCAGCAATGTACAATTTAAAGCTGAAATCTAAAAAAAAAATAGCATCTACATTAGCTTTATAAAAACAGAAGTTATAACTTAACAAAACATGTACAGGATGTATACGCTCAAAACCACAAAATACTGATGCAACTGAAGAAGATCTAAATAAATGGAGAGACATACCATTCCCGTGAACTGGAAGACACAGTAAAGATGACAATTCTCCCCATATTGATCTATAGATCAAACACATTTCCAACCAAGTTCTTAGCAGATTTTTTCATAGATATAGATAATTAAATTAGAGAATGTAGGTGGAAAATCAAAGGAACTAGAATGTGATAACAATTTTGACAAAGAAGTATAAACTTGAAGGAATCACACTACCATCTTTAAACCTTATTATAAAGCTATAGTAGGCCAGGCGCAGTGGCTCACACCTGTAATCCCAGAACTTTGGGAGGCCAAGGTGGGTGGATCATTTGAGGTCAGAAGTTTGAGACCAGCCTGGCCAACATGGTGAAACCCTGTCTCTACCAAAAAATACAAAAATTAGATGGGCATGGTGGTGCCCACCTGTAGTCCCAGCTACTCAGTGGGAGAATTGCTTGAACCTGGGAGGCAGAGGCTGCAGTGAGCCTAGATTGCACCACTGCACTTTAGCCTGGGCAACAGAATAAGACCCTGTCTCCAAAAAAAAAGCTATTGTAATCAAGAAAGCGAGGTATGTGAAAAGAGATAGATACATAAATCAATGAAAAAAAATAGATAGTCCAGATATAAATCCACACTAATATGGGCATTTGATATTTACAAAGGTGCTACAGCAATCTTTGTAAATTGATTTTACAAATCAATTTACAAACATATGAGAAAATATGTAAACATATGAGTGTAAAACATATGAGAAAATCTTACTGACCTGGGGTCAGGCAAAGAGTTCTTAGACATGACACCAAAAGGATGAGTTATAATAGAAAATAATGGCTAAGTTGAGCTTTATTAAAATTAAAGGCTGGGTGCGGTGGCTCATGCCTATAGTACTAGCACTTTGGGAGGCCAAGGAGGGCGGATCATGAGGTCAGGAGATCGAGATCATCCTAGCTAATACGGTGAAACCCCGTCTCTACTAAAAATACAAAAAAATTAGTCAGGCATGGTGGCACGCGCCTGTAGTCCCAGCTACTCGGGAGGCTGAAGCAAGAGAATCGCTTGAACCCGGGAGGTGGAGGTTGCAGTGAGTCGCGATTGCGCCACTGCACTCCAGGCTGGTGACAGAGCAAGACCCTGTCTCAAAAAAAAAAAAAAAAAAAAAAAAACACAAAAAAACAAACAGGCAGCCAGCCCACAGGCTATAGTTTGTTGACCCTTGTCCTAGAAAAATTAAAACTATGTCCATTGAAAAACCTCTATACAAATGTTTACAGAAGCTCTATTCATAATCACCAAAAACTGGTAACAACCCAAATGTCCTACAAATGGTAAATGTATGAGTGGTATATCCATACTGTGGAATATTATTCAGCAACGAAAACAAAAACTATTTCTACAAGCAGCAACTTTGGATGAATTTCCAGGGCATTATGCTGAGTGAAAGAAGCCTGTATCAAAAGGTTACATAACATATAATTCCATTTATATGGTATATAGTGTGTAATCAGTGGTAAGGGGGTGAGTGGAAGATATAACTATAAAGTAATAACATGAATGAGTTTTTAGAATGTTGGAATTGCTATGTATCCTTACCGTGGTAGTGGTTACATGAATCTGGACATAGGTGTCTTAAAATTTGTAGAACTGGCTGGGCAGGTGGTTCACACATGTAATCCCAGAATTTTGGGAGGCCGAAGTGGGTGGATCACCTGAGGTCAGGAGTTTGAGACCAGCCTGGCCAACATGGCGAAACTCTGTCTCTATTAAAAATACAAAAGTTAGCTGGGCATGGTGGTGCATGCCTGCTGACCCAGTTACTCAGGAGGCTGAGGCAGGAGAATCGCTTGAACCCAGGAGGTGGAGGTTGCAGTGAGCTGAGATTGAACCACTGCACTCCAGCCTGGGCGACACAGCGAGACTCCATCTCAAAAAAAAAAAAAAAAAAATTGTAGAACTATACACTCCCTGGCTGGGTGTGGTGGCTCACACCTGTAATCCCAGGACTTTGGGAAGCCAAGGCAGGTGGATCACAAGGTCAAGAGATCGAGACCATCCTGGCCAACATGGTGAAACCCGGTCTTTACTAAAAATACAAAAATTAGCTGGGCGTGGTGGTGCGTGCCTGTAATCTCAGCTACTCAGGAGGCTGAGGCAGGAGAATCGCTTGAACCCGGGAGGTGGAGGTTGCAGTGAGCTGGGATTATGCCACTGCACTCCAGCCTGGCAACAGAGTGAGACTCCGTCTCAAAAAAAAAGAAGAAAAAAAAATAAAAAGAACTATACACCCCCCAAATGGGCAACTTTTCTATATGATTATATACTGAAAATAACTGTATCAATTATATATTTTTTAAAAAGTAATCACCACTTTGTGCACCTGTTTCCTTACCACCTAGTTCCTCCTTTTCCATGGGCAGGTGGGCTTTGGTCTGTACCACTTTTTTCAAAAGTGAGCTTTTAGAGGAGAAGGCAGAGCAGATGTCTAAATAGAACCCTCCAGCAAGCATCATCCCAACCCTCTGCCCTGCAGGAACACCAAATGGAACAACTATCTACATAAAAAGGCACCTTTATAAGACACAAAGATCAGATGAGTGATCACAGTACCTGGTTTTTAACATTATATCAAGGAAAGAGGCACTGAAGAGGGAAGGAAAGACAGTCTTGAATTGTTGATGCCACCTGTCCCCCATATCCCCAGTAGTAGCAGCAGCCTCATGACAAGAGAGAATCTGTGTGATTTGGGGAGGGAGAGTGCAGTGATTGTGAGACTTTGCCTTGGAACTCAGTGCCTCTCTGTAACATCGGAAAGCAACACAGGGCAGAATTCATCAGGTACCTTTGGAGGAAGCATTTGGACCAGCCATAGCCAGAAGGGAATTATCCATCCTAGTTGTCAGAACCTGAACTCCAGCAAGCCTTGCCACCATGGGCCAAAGTGCCCTGGTGTCCTAGGGCACTAAACTTAAAAGGCAGTCCAGGCCACAAGGACTACAATTTCTTATCAATTTTGGTGCTATGCTTTTTTGGGCTCAGAGCCAGTGAATTCTGGGTGCACATAACCTAATGAGACAACAGATGGGGTGGCTGAGAGCCCAGCACCCCAGGTAGTACAGCTGGGGTAGCATGGCTGTGGGAGAGACTCTTTTCTTTTCTTTCTTTTTTTTTTTGAGACAGGGTCTTGGTCTGTCACCCAAACTGGAATGCAGTGATACAGTCATGGCTCCGTGCAGCCTCGACCTCCCAGGCTCAAGTGATCCTCTCACCTCAGCCTCCCAAGTATCTGGGACTACAGACATGTCCCACAATGCCTGGCTAATTTATTTTTCTCTGTAGAGACAGGGGTCTCACTATGCTGCCCAGGCTGCTCTCAAACTCCCGGGCTAAAGCAATCCTCCAGCCTTGGTGGCCCAAAGTGCTGGGATTACAAGTATGGGCCACCATGGCTGGCCAAGACTTTTTTCTTCTGTGGGGAGAGTAAAGAGGACTCTATCTTGCAACTTGGATACCAGCTCAGCCACAGTAAAATAGGACACCAGGCAGAGTTCTGAGGCCCCCATTTAGGCCCTAGCTCCCAGATGACATTTCTGGACACACCCTGGGCTGGAAGGGAACCCACTGCCTTGAAGGGAAGAACCCAGTCCTGGCAGAATTCATCAACTGCTGACTAAAGAGCACTTGGGCCTTGAGTAAACATCAGTGGTTGCCAGGCTGTACCCACTGTGGGCCTTGGGTGAGACGCAGTGCCATGCTGGCCTCAGGTGTGACCCAGTGCATTCCCAGCTGTGGTGGCCATGGGGAGAGTCTCCTTCTGCTTGATGAAAGGAGAGGGAAGAGTAAAGGGGACTTTGTCTTGCAGCTTGGGTACCAGCTTGGCCACACTGAGACAGAGCACCAGGTGGGCTCCTGGGGTCCCTGATTCTAGGCCTTGGCTCCTGTCTGGCATTTTTGGACTTGCTCTAGGCGAGAGGGAGCCCTTTGTCCTCAAAGAAGAGACCCAGCCTGGCAGCAATCACCAGAAGCTGGCTGAAGAGCTCTTGGGGCTTGAGTGAACACTGGCAGTAGCCAAGTAGTACTCACTGTGGGCCTGGGGTTGTGGTGGACACAGGGAAAGGTTCCTTCTGCTTGAGGAAAGGAAAGAGAGGAGTGGAAGGACTTTGTCTTGTGGCATGGGTGCCAGGTCAGCAGCAGTAGACTAGAGCACCAGATAGATTCCTAAGTTTTCCAACCCCAGGCCCTGACTCCCAGATGGGATGATATCTCTGGACATACTTGGAAATAGGGGGAATGAACTTCCCTGAGAGGAAGACTGTAAGCCTGGCTGGATTCATGACCTGCTGACAGTAGAGCCTGTGCGCTGTGAGGGAACAACAACGGTAACCAGGCAGCGGTTGCCATAGGCCTTGGGTGAGACCCAGTGTTGTGCTAGCTTTGGGTCTGACCCAGTGCAGTCCCAGTGGTGGTGGCCACAGGGGTTCATATGTCACCCCTCCCCAAGGTCTAGTCAGCTCAGCATGGACAGAGAGAGAGACTCTATTTGGGGGAAGGCAAGGAAAGAGAACAAGAGTCTCTGCCAGGTAATCTAGGGAATTCTCCCAGATCTTACCCAAGACTACTGGGGTAGTACCTCTTCAAGTCTGCAGGAGTCACAGCATTATTGGGCTTGGGGTGCACCCTAATGCAGATACAGCTGCAGTCATCAAAATCTTAGATCACAACACTCAATTCCCTTTGAATACTTGGAAAGCCTTCCCAAGAAGGACAGGAACAAATAAGCCAGACTGCAAAAACTATAATAAATTATCTAACCAGGCCGGGCATGGTGGCTCATGCCTGTAATCCCAGGATTTTGTGAGGCCAAGGTGGGTGGATTGCTTGAGCTCAGGAGTTCAAGACCAGCCTGGGAAACAAGTGAAACCCCATCTCTACCAAAAATGCAAAAATTAGCTGGGTGTGGTGGCACATGCCTGTGGTCCTAGCTACTTGGGAGGTTCAGGTGGGAGGATTGCTAGAGCCCAGCAAGTCAAGGGTGCATTGAGCTGCAATCTCATCACTGCACACCAGCCTGGGTGACAGAGTGAGACCCTGTCTCAAAAAAAAATAATTAAAAAATAATTAAAAAATGAATATCTAAACTTTCAATGCTCAAACACTGACGATCATCCACAAACATTAAGATCATCCAGGAAAATGTGACCTTACCAAACTAACTAAATAAGGCACCAGTGGCCAATCCCAGACTGACAGAGATATGTGATCTTTCAGACACAGAATTCAAAATGGCTGTTCTTGGGAGGCTCAGTGAAATTCTAGATAACACAGAAAAGGAATTCAGAATCCTATCAGATGAATTTAACAAAGAGACTGAAATTATTAAAGAGAATCAAACAGAAATTCTGGAGCTGAAAAATTTAATTGACATCCTGAAGAATGCATCAGAGTTTCTCAACAGAATTGATCAAGTAGAAGAAAGAATTAGTGAGTTTGAAGACAAGCTATTTGAAAATATACAATCAGAAGAGACAAAAGAAAAAAGAAAAAAAAGGGTGAAGCATGCCTACAAGATTTAGAAAATAGTCTCAAAAGGGCAAACCTAAAAGTTACAGGCCTTAAAGAGGAGATAAAAAGAGAGATCATGGTAGAAAGTGTACTCAAAGGGGTAATAACAGAGAATTTTCTTTTTTTTTTTTTTTTTTGAGATGGAGTTTCACTCTTGTTGCCTAGGCTGGAGTGCAATAGCACAATCTCTGCTCACCGCAACCTCTGCCTCCTGGGTTCAAGTGATTCTCCTGCCTCAGCCTCCCAAGTAGCTGGGATTACAGGCATGCACCACCATGCTGGGCTAATTTTATATTTTAGGTAGAGATGGGGTTTCTCCATGTTGGTCAGGCTGGTCTCAAACTCTCGACCTCAGGTGATCTATCTGCCTCAGCCTCCTAAAGTGCTGGGATTACAGGTGTGAGCTACCATGCCCAGCCAATAACAGAGAACTTTCTTCACTTAGAGAAATATATCAATATTCAAGTACAAGAAGGTTATAGAACACCAAGTAGATTTAACCCAAATAAGACTGCCTCAATACATTTAATAATTAAACTCCTAAAGGTCAAGGATAAAGAAGAAATACTAAAAGTGGCAAGAAAAAAGAAACAAATAACATACAAAGGAGCTCCAATACGTCTGGCAGCAGACTTCTCAGTGGAAACCGTGCAGGCCAGGAGAGAGTGACATGACATATTTAAAGAGCTGAAAAGCAACAACAGCAACGACTACCACAACAAACCCGCTTTTATCCTAGAATAGTATATCCAGTGAAAAAATCCTTCAAACATGAAGGAGAAATAAAGACTGTCTCAAACAAACAGAAGCTGAGGAACTTCATCAACAATAGACCTGTCCTACAAGAAATGCTAAAGGGAGTTCTTCAATCTGAAATAAAAGGACATTAATGAGCAATAAGAAATCATCTGAAGGTTAAAAAAAACACCTCATTGGTAATAGTAAGTACACACATAAACATAGAATATGATTACGCTGTAATTGTGGTGTGTAAACTATTCATACCTCGAGTAGAAAGACTAAAAGATGAGGGCAGGGCACTGGCTCACACCCGTAATCCCAGCACTGTGGGAGGCCGAGGCGGGTGGATCACGAGGTCAGGAGTTCGAGACCAGCCTGGCCAACATGGTGAAACCCTGTCTCTACTAAAAATACAAAAATTAGCTGGGCGTGGAGGCACGCACCTGTAATCCCAGTTACTCAGGAGGCTGAGGCAGGATAATCACTTGAACCCAGGAGGCGGAGGTTGCAGTGAGCCAAGATCACGCCATTGCACTCCAGCCTGGGCGGCAGGGCAAGACTCCATCTCAAAAAAAAAAAAAAAAGACTAAAAGATGAACCTATCAAAAAATAACAACGGTTTTTCAAGATATAGACAATATAATAAGATATAAAAAGAAAAAACAAAATGTTAAAAAGTGGGGAGATGAAGGTAAAGTGTAGAATTTTTATTAGTTTTCTCTTTGCTGATTTGTTTTTACAGTGTTATGTTTTCATCAGTTTAAAATAATAAATTATAAGATGATATTTGCAAGCCTTGTGGTAACTTCAAATAAAAAAACCTAAAACAGATACAGAAAAAATAAAAAGCAAGAAATTAAAACATACCACCAGAGAAAATCACCTTCACAAGAAGGAAGGAAGGAAGGAAGGAAGGAACGAACAAACGAAGGAAGGAAGGAGGAAGGGAGGGAGGGAGGGATGGAGGGAGGGAGGCAGGGAGGGGAGGGGAGGGGAGGGAGGAAGGAAAGAAGGTAGGTAGGTAGGAAGGACTACAAAACCACCAGGAAACAAGTATCAAAATTGAAGTAGTTAAGTGTTCACTTTTCAATAATAATATTGAATATAAATGGACTAAACTCTCCAATCAAAAGACATAGTGGCAGAATAGATTAAAAAAAAAAAAGACCCAACAACCCGTTGCCTACAAGAAACACATTTCACCTATAAAGATACACATAGATTGAAAATAAAGGGATTGGGAAAGGATATTTTATGCAAATGGAAGCCAAAAGAGAGCCAAAGTAACTATACTACATCATACCAAATAGATTTCAAGACAAAAACTATAAAAAATACAAAGAAGATCATTATATAATGAAAAAGGGTCCATTCATCAAGAGACTATAACAATTACAAATATGTATGCATCCAATACTAGAGCACCCAGATATATAAAGCAAGGAGGGAGGGGAGGAGAGGAGAGGGGAGGGGAGGGGAGGGGAGGAAAGGGAAGGGAATGGAAGGGAAGCTACAGGCCAATCTCTTGATAAATGTTGATGCAAAAATCCTCAACAACATACTAGCAAGCAAATTCACCAATATGTTAAAAAAGATCATTTATCATGACCAAGTGGGATTTATCCCAGGGATACAAGAATGGCTCAGTGTATGCAAAGCAATCAATGTAATACATCATATCAACAAAATAAAGGACAGAAATGATATGACTACTTCAATAGATGCTGAAAAAACATTTGATAATATTCAACATCTTGGCCAGGCACAGTGAGTATCTTATGCCTGTAATCCCAGCACGCTGGGGGGCCAAGGTGAGAGAATCAGTTGAGGCCAACAGTTTGAAACCAGTCTGGCCAATATAGCAAGACTCCACCTCCACTAAAAATAAAAAATTAATCAAGTGTGGTGGCATGCCCCTGTAGTCCCAGCTACTCAGGAGGCTGAGATGGGAAAATCAATGTATTTTGTGATTAAAAAAAAAACTCTCAAAAAACTGCGTATAGACAGAACATACTTCAACATAATAAAAACCATATATAACAGACCCACAGCTAGTATCATACTCAATGGAGAAAAACTGAAAGCCTTTCCTCTAAGACCTGGAACAAGAGAAGGATACCCACTTTCACCGCTGTTATTCAACAAGTACTGGAAGTCCTAGCTAGAGAAATTAGAGAAGAGAAAGAAATCAGAGAAGAGAAAGAAACAAAGGGCATTCAAATCGGAAAGAAGTCAAATTATTCTTGTTCGCAGATGATATGATCTTATATTTTAAAAATCTAATGACCTGCTCCCCCAAAAAAACTATTAGAACTGAAAAACAAATTCAGTAAAATTGGAGGATAAAAAACAAACATATAAAAATCAGTAGCATTTCTATATGCCAACAGCAAAAAATCTGAAAAATCAAGAAAATAATCCTATTTACAATAGCTGCAAATAAAATAAAATACCTAGGAATTAACTTAACCAAAAAGGTGAAAGACCTCTATAATGAAAACAATAAAATACTGATGAAAGAAATTGAAGAGGACACCAATAAATAGAGGAATATTCCATGTTCATGGATTGGAAGAATCAATATTTTTTAAATGTCCATGCTACCCAAAGCAATCTACAGATTCAATGCAATCCCTATTAAATACCAATGACATTCTTCAAAGAAATAGAAAAAATAATCCTAAAATTTATATGAAGCCACAAAAGACCCAGAATAGCCAAAGCTATCATGAGCAAAAAGAACAAAACTGGAGGAATCACATTACCTGACTTCAAATTATACTACAGAGCTATAGTAATTGAACAGCATGGTACTGGCATAAAAACAGATGCATAGACCACTAGAACAGAACAGAAAACCCAGAAACAAATCCACACAGTAGAGTGGACCCGTTATAACAATGGTGTCAAGAATATACATTGGGGAAAGGACGGTCTCTTCAATAAATGGTGCTGGGAAAGCTGAATATCCATACGCAAAAGAAAGAAACTAGACTTCTCTCTAACCATATACAAAAATCAAATCAAAATGGATTAAACACTTAAAATTAAGACCTCAAACTATGAAATTACTACAAGAAAATATTGGGAGAACTCTTCAGGACATTCGTCTGGGCAAAGATTTCCTGAGTAATACCTCAAAAGCACAGGCAAGCAAAGCAAAAATGGACAAATGGGATCACATTAAGTTAAAAAGCTCCTGCACCCCAAGGGAAAAAAATCAACAAAGTGAAGGGACAGCCCACAGAAGGGGAGAAATTATCTGCAAACTATCTATCTGACAAGGGATTAATAACCAAAACATAGGGCAGGTGCAGTAGCTCATGCCTGTAATCCCAGCACTTTGGGAGGCTGAGGTGGGTGGATCACCTGAGGTCAGGAGTTTGAGACCAGCCTGGCCACCATGGTGAAACTCCGTCTCTACTAAAAATACAAAAATTAGCTGGGCATGGTGGTGCGTGCCTGCTGTCACCCAAGCTGCAGTGCAGTGGCGTGATCTAAGCTCACTGCAACCTCTTCCTCCCGGGTTCATGCGATTTTCCTGCCTCACCCTCCTGAGTAGCTGAGATTACAGGTGAACGCCACCATGCCCGACTAATTTTTGTATTTTCAGTAGAGACAGGGTTTCACCATGTTGGTCAGACTGGTCTTGAACTCCTGACCTCAGGTGATCCGCCTGCCTCAGCCTCCCAAAATGCTGGGATTACAGGCATGAGCCACCGGGCCTGGCCTATTCATGAATGTTTTAAATGCCGCCTAGAATGGTGAATCTTTTCCAGATTTACTTTGATCAGATCCATCAGAGGAATCCCTATCTATGGCAGCTGTAACATTACTAAATGCATTTAAAAAAAAAATTTTAAGGTGGACAGGAAGGAGGATTTATTGGTGAGTATTAAGAGGGGGCACCACAGTGGAAGCCCTCATGAGTGCAGGGCCTGCCACTTGCCCAGAGGACCACGACTAGGGATGTACTTGACCCCACAGCCATCTGGGATGAGCTGCTTCTCAGCCACCATGTCTTCAAATTCATCCGCATTGAACTTGATGATGCCCCCACTTCTTTGAGATGTGGATCTTCTGTCCGCCAGGGAACTGGAACTTGGCCCTATGCAGGGCTTCAATCGCCTGCTCCTTGTTCTGCAGCTTGGTGCGGATGGACATGATAACTTGGCGAATGTGAACCCTGGAAACAGTGCCCGGGGGCTTTCCAAAGGCACTTCGCATACGCGGAGCCTGTCAGCCCCAGCACAGGACAACATCTTGTTGATGAAGATGACATGGAAGGGGTGGAGCTGCACTCGGATATGAAAGCCGTCTTTGCCACAACTTTTTACCATGTACTTATTGGCACAAATTCAAGCAGCCTCCAGGGCTTCAGAGGAGAGCCGCCCATATTCACCTGTCACCATGTGGCCACAGAGTGGAAACTCATCCACTTTTGCCTTCTTCTGCCCCAGGTCAAAGATGAGAATGATGGTATCAGGGACACCTCGGCAGAACTGAGGCTTTGGGTACGGCTTGTTCTTACAATACCGGTAACAACGGACGGGGCGGCGGCCCATGGCGATACCAGGATCTTCAGCGGCGCGCTTAAGAGAAAGAGCAATGCATTTCTTAAAACTTAAACCGGAGGTCAGGAGTTTGAGACCAGCCTGCCCAACACGGTGAAACCCCATCTCCACTAAAAAAAATACAAAACTTAGCTGGGCGTGGTGGCGAGCGCCTGTAATCCCAGCTACTCGGGAGGCTGAGGCAGGAGAATCGCTTGAACCTGGGAGGTGGAGGTTGCAGTGAGCCAAAATTGCGCCACTGCACTCCAGCTGGTCGACAAGAGCGAAACTCCATCTCAAAAAAAAAAAAAAAAAAAAAACTTAAAAGTCAAGATTGCGGCCGGGCGCGGTGGCTCACGCCTGTAATCCCAGCACTTTGGGAGGCCGAGGCGGGTGGATCATGAGGTCAGGAGATCGAGACCATCCTGGCTAACAAGGTGAAACCCCGTCTCTACTAAAAATACAAAAAATTAGCCGGGCGCGGTGGCGGGCGCCTGTAGTCCCAGCTACTGGGGAGGCTGAGGCAGGAGAATGGCGTGAACCCGGGAAGCGGAGCTTGCAGTGAGCAGAGATTGCGCCACTGCAGTCCGCAGTCCGGCCTGGGCGACAGAGCGAGACTCCGTCTCAAAAAAAAAAAAAAAAGAAAAAAAAAAAAAAGTCAAGATTGCTCCATGATCCATGGGCTGCAGAATGGACATTGTGTTAGCTGGCAGGAAAACATTAATCTACTTGTACATCTCCATCAGAGCTCTTGAGTGACTAGGTGCATTGTCAATGAGCAGCAGAATTTGAAAGGAATCATTTTTCTGGACAAATGGCCTAGCTTTTGGCTTATCTTGGTTTTTGATATGCCTTCCTCACTAAGCTTAATCATTTCTAGCTTTGATTTAAAGTGAGAGACATGCAACTCTTCCTTTCATGTGAACACTTAGAAGCCCTTGTAGGATTATTAAGGTGCCTAATTTCAGTATTGTTGTCTCTAGGTGAACAGGGAACTCCGAGAAGAGGGAGAGAGACTGGGAATGGTGGGTCAGTGAAGCAGTCAGATAGAACAGACACATTCATCAATTAAGTTTGCTGTCTTGTATGAGCATGGCTTGCGGTACCCCAAAACAATTACAATAAGTAACATCAAAGATCACTGATCACAGATCAATATAACAGATATTATAATAATGAAAAAATTTGAAATATTGTGAGAATTACCAAAATGTGATACAGAGACATGAAGTGAGTACATGCTGTTGGAAAACTGGTGCTGAGGCTGGCGTGGTGGCTCATGCCTGTTATCCCAGCACTTTGGGAGGCTGAGGCGGGCAGATCATTTAAGGTCAGGAGTTCGAGACCAGCCTGGCCAACATGGTGAAACCCCATTTCTACTAAAAATAAAAAAAAATTTAGCTGGGCGTGGTGGCACACACCTGTAATCCCAGCTACTAGGGAGGCTAAGGCAGGAGAATCATTTGAACCTGGGAGACGGAGTGTTCCCCAACCAAACTGAGGGTCGGGCTGCTATTTCTCATGGCCCAATAACAAGATGCAGATGAACTCGGGAGGAAGAGAGTTTTTATTTCTGCAACCAGTTACAGCAAGAAGGCCTGGAAATTATCGCCAGACCAACTCAAAATTACAAAGTTTTCCAGAGCTTATCTACCTTCTAAGTTATATGTCTACGTGTAAGTGTGCATTCATCTAAAGACGTAAGTGATTAACTTCTTTTAATATATAACTAAGGTCTGAGTCCTGAAGACCTCCCTCTGGAGCCTCAGTAAATTTACTTAATCTAATTGGTCTAGATGTTGGGGTGATTTTTTTTTTTTTGAGACGGAGTCTCACTCTGTCCCCCAGGCTGGGGTTCAATGGCGCAATCTCAGCTCACTGCAAGCTCCCCCTCGGTGCCGGGGTGATTACCCTTATCTTGCCTCCCGCTAAGTCACAGAGGTTTGGGGAGTTCTTTCAGACCCCCAATAAACTTGTCTGTGGAGACCTGGGGAGTTTCTTCAGACCCGCAATAAAACTGGTTTAATCCTAAATGGGTCCTGTTGAGAACTCCTTCGTTATGGGCTGGGTGCGGTGGCTCATGCCTGTAATCCAAACACTTTGGGAAGCTAAGGTGGGTGGATCACGAGGTCAAGAGATCGAGACCAGCCTGGCCAACATGGTGAAAGCCCATCTCTACTAAAAATACAAAAATTAGCCGGGCGTGGTCATGCATGCCTGTAATCCCAGCTACTCAGGAGGCTGAGGCAGGAGAATCACTTGAACCTGGGAGGCAGAGGTTGCAGCGAGCCAAGATCCTGCTGCTACACTCTAGCCTGGGTGACAGAGGAAGACTCCATCTCAAAAAAAAAAAAAAATTCCTTCATTATTGTGTCATGCTTTAAGGCCCAGGACAGGCCTAGGCAAAAGTTTTGATGGCCTTTTGTTACATCCCAGCCTTTGTATAAGGGCACTGGCTTTTAGTATTTAACTTCATTCAGTAATTACTGAAACAGTTGTTATGAAAGTCTGCATTAGTGAGACCTGGCCTGCCACAGGAGGTTGCAGTGAGCTGAGATCTTGCCACTGTACTCCAGCCTGGGTGGCAGTGTGAGACTCTGTCTCAAAAAAGAAAAATGATGCAGAAAGATTTGTTTGACACAGGGTGGGCATAAACTTTCAATTTGTAAAAAACATAGTATCTGTGAAGTACAATAAAATGTAGTGCGATAAAATGAGGTATGCTTGGACAGCAAAACATCATGTTGTACCTAGTAAATGTATACAATTTTTATTTGTGAATTATACCTCAATAAAGCTGGACAAATGAACTGTATTTGCAACATGGTAGGGAATATATGACATTGGACACTAATGCAAATGGAATTTTCAGTGCCTTGGTGAAAATGTTATACCACTGAACAAAAAAAAAATGTAGTGTAAAATGAAGTAAAATGTGAAAATCCCTAATAAATGCAGAAATATGAACTGCTTATCCAAAAGAGAAAAGTCTTTTGAGTTCCTCAAGAAGATTCTCTCTTTGGATGCTGGGCGCGGTGGATGCCGGGCACCTGTATCCGAGCACTTTGGGAGGCCGAGGCAGATGGATCACTGGAGGCCAGGAGTTCAAGACCAGCCTGTCCAACACGGTGAAACCCCGTCTCTACTAAAAATACAACAATAACCCGGGTGTGATGGCATGTACCTGTAATCCCAGCTACTCAGGAGGCTGAGGCACAAGAATTGCTTGAACCTGGGAGGCAGAGGTTGCAGTGAGCCGAGATTGTGCCACTGCAGTCCAACCTGGACCACAGAGTGAAACTCCGTCTCAAAAAAAAAAAAAAAAGAAAGAAGGAAAAAGAAGGTTCTCTCTTTGGGCACTCCTTTTCGATATATTCAACATAAATGGATTAATGATACCATTTTTACTAGGTGAGTATGTTTGGGCAAGTTGCTTCAGTGCTCATTCTCTTGGTTTCCTTTTTTTTTTTTTTTTTTTGGAGACAGGGTCTTTCTCTGTCACCTAAGCTGGAGTGCAGTGGAGTGAACATAGCTCACTGCAGCCTCCAACACCTAGCCTCAAGAGATCCTCCTGCTTCAGTCTCCCAAATAGCTGGGACTACTGGCAGGCACCACCATGCCTGGCTAGTTTTTAATTTCTTTTTTTTTGTAAGCACAGGGTGTTGCTATGTTGCCCAGGCAGGTCTTGAACTACTGGGCTCAAGTGATCCTCCCACCTCAGCCTCCCAAAGTTTTGGATTACAGGCATGAGCCATGGTGCCTGGCTGTCTTTTGCTTTCCTTATCTGTAAAAACTGAGGATAATAACAGTACCCTTACAAAGTTGGTGGAAGAATGATATTAATACAAATGAAGTGCTAACAGAAAGAGCTTTGGAACACAGCAAGTACTTGTTAGCTATGGCTATTGTTATCAACACACTTTTCAAGGCAAACTTGTGGTTTCACCTATCACCTGAGATATATGACTTTTAAGTCCATCAGATCTTCTCTTTTGGTTTTTATTTTTAAATTAATTAAATATTATTATTATTATTATTTTGAGACAGAGTCTGCTCTGTTGCCCAGGCTAGAGTGCACTGGCACGATCTCAGCTCACTGCAACCTCCACCTCCCAGGTTCAAGCAATTCAGGTGCCTCAGCCATCCAAAGAAGCTGGGATTACAGGCATGCACCACCATACCCAGTTAATTTTTGCATTTTTAGTAGAGATAGGGTTTCAACACGTTGGCCAGGCTGGCCTTGAACTCCTGGCCTCAAGCAATCAGCCCATCTGGGCCTCCCAGTGTGCTGGGATTACAGGCGTGAGCCATCGTGCCTGGCCCTCTTTTCGTTTTAGAGATAGGAATCTCATTCTCTTCCACAGGCTGGAGTGCAAAGGCATGAACATAACTCATTGCAGTCTCCAATCCTGGGCTAAAGGGATGTTTCCCCCTCTGCCTTTGGAGTAGCTGGGCCTCAGAACTGTGCCGCAACTACTGACTTCCATCAAGATCTCTGTCCTACCATTTCATCTTCCTACTAGGCTATCCCCACATGGATATATAAATGGTACCTCAAGTGAAAGAAATCAACTACCTAAAATAGGATTTTCCACTCCAAACTAGATTTTCTTTACATGTCATTTCTGTTAATGTGGGTCACACACACTGGTAAGCTCAGAATCATCTTTTTCTTTTCTTTTATTCACATCCAATATTGTTGAAATAAAACAAAATGCTGTTTTTCCTTTTTTAGAAAGGCAATACTTGTTCATTATATCAAAATTTAGAAAATATGGAAAAACAAAAAGGATAAAAAATTATCCACAACCAAAATAGCCCAAATTTCCAGTTAAAAATGTCAACGCATTTGATATTTGTCCACATAATTCAGACTGTAATGTTTACACAAATGTGAGCTTTTAAAATCTAAAAGGTTCTCACTATTAAAAATGTTTTGTTAAATTTTGTTTTAAAAGTAAGATTTTAATATCCAAATTCCCAAAATAGACATTTTTGAAGATTTGGAAAATACAGACGGCTCAAAATCTTTACATTATTACTGTTAAATTTTGGTATGTTCTGTTATTCTGCTAGTGAAATATATATAGATTTGGGGGGGCTATTCCTTTTCCTTTTTTTTTTTTTTTTTGAGACAAGGGTCTCACTCTGGTGCCCAGGATGGAATGCAGTGGCGCTATCACAGTTCATTGTAACCTGGAACTCCTGGACTCGAGGGATCCTCCCGCCTCGACCTCCCAAAGTGCTGGGGCTACCAGCTTAAGCCACTGTGCCAGGCGAATGGCTATTCCTATATACACAGTTGACCCTTGAATAACATGGGTTTGAACTGCCTGGGCCCGCTTATAAGCCGACAGAAAATACAGTATTGGAGGGGCCTGCATATAGAGAGGTCTGACTTTTCCTCTAAGTGTTCCACCCGCAGGACTGACTGCGGGATTTGAGAATGCGCGGACTTCTTCTTCTTCTTTTTTTTTTTAGGAAGTCTTACTCTCGCCCAGGCTTGAGTGCAGTGGCGCGATCTCAGCTCACTGTAACCCTCGCCTCTCAGTTTCAAGCGATTCTCGTGCCTCAGCCTCCCGAGTAGCTGGGATTATAGGGGCCCACCTCCACGCCCAGGTAATTTTTTGTATTTTTAGTAGAGATGGGCTTTCGCCATGTTGGCCAGGCTGGTTTCGAACTCCTGACCTCAGGTGATCCGCCCGCCTCGGCCTCCCAAAGTGCTGGGATTACAGGCGTGAACCACAGCGCCCGGCGGAATGCGTGGATTTTGGCATAAGACGGTGGTTCTGGAACCAATCCCCCGCCGAGATGACTGTTTAAAAAATTGTAATTGTCCAAAACTTAATATTTGTGGTCTTTTTCATTATGCAGTTCTAAATCTCCCTTTTTTTTTTTTTTTAAATTCAGACGGAGTCTCCCTCTGTCGCCCAGACGGCGCAATCTCGGCTCACTGCAACCTCCGCCTCCCGGGTTCAAGCGATTCTCCTGCCTTAGCCTCCGGAGTAGCTGGGACTACAGGCGTCCGACACCACGGCCGGCTAATTTTTTGTATTTTTGGTAGAGATGGGGTTTCCCTGTGCTAGCCAGGATGGTCTCGATTTCCTGACCTCATGATCCGCCCGCCGTGGCCTCTCAAAGTGCTGGGATTACAGGCGTGAGCCACCACGCCTGGCCCTCATTTAATAAGATATGAATTTAAAAATGTATGCTTTAGTATTCACACATGTCCGATGCAACGTATTTAACCAGTCATCTCCAGAAACTTTGTTCCAATTTACACGTTCACCAAATTGGCCTGAGTGCTTTTTTTCTTCCAATGCATTGCGCACTTATAATTTAGAACAAGTGACCAAAACGCTTAAGAGCCCATCACGCAAATTGTTATCTGCTGGAAATCTACGCCCTAGGCTGTGGACACTGGCGGCCGAAATCTGATCCCGGCTTGCCAAGACACCCTCAGAGCACGCGGCGCTGCCAAGAGCCTGGCCGAGTGCAGCTCGAGCGCCGACGTCGCCAACGTGGCGCACACTGCTGACGCAGTACGCAAGTTCGTCACAGTGGTCCTCCGCCGGCTGCGCCGCAAGTTCGTCACAGTGGTCCTCCGCCGGCTACGGCGCTGCGTCACTGGTTTGCAGGCGCTTTCCTCTTGGAAGTGGCGACTGCTGCGGGCCTGAGCGCTGGTCTCACGCGCCTCGGGAGCCAGGTTGGCGGCGCGATGAGGCGCAGCAAGGCTGACGTGGAGCGGTACATCGCCTCGGTGCAGGGCTCCACCCCGTCGCCTCGACAGGTGAGTGGGTCTCGAAGAGACCGACGGCCTCGACCTGGCCGGGCGGCGGCCTCGCGCTGCTCAGGCGTCATGGCTCCCGACGGGCGCTGCTCCCTGGCGCGCTCTGTTGAGGCGCCGGCCGGCTGGCGCAGTCCTGTGGGCGGCGTGGCGCTTGCAAGCGCATGAAGAGTCCTGGGGGGACAGCGGTGGGCGGGAGACCTTTGGCGCCGGCGCTTCCTCTTTCTCCCGGCTTGTTCCCGACGCTTGTTCCCGACGGTGCTCGCTCCTGGGGCCGCCCTGGCCCGGGCTTTCTGGCCGATCGCGCACCCCGTAGTACCCGCGCGGCCTAGTTCTCGGGGGCTTGGGCACCCGGGTGCTGTATCGGCGGGTTTCTTCCCATCTCCTGGACATATACTTTATATGCTGCGGCGGAGGTCGTACCTCCTTGGCCTGGAGGAACCCAGTGGGGACTGACGCAGCTCCGGGTGAGCTTTGGCGGCTGCGTCGAGTGACAAGGTAGGCATCTCAGCGCGGACATTTGCAATGGCCCGACGGCGCAAATGACACTGAAAGTCCCCTTGTTTTGAGTATGAGGTGTTTGTCGCTGTCCCTTTGTAAGGGTCCAGCTCCACTCCGCTCCTCATACTCACCTCCCTCGCCCCCCTCCCCGCCCGGAACACTTTGGTAGCTGCCTTTGCTTAAAAAAAAAAAATTCTAAAGTTCTTACAAATCGTTAGTATGGCTTGCAATTTTTAACCTTTTCCACAAATGTTTTAAGGGTATTTTTCCTCTTTACATGTAAATAATGTGATCTATTTTGGATTCAATAAGACTTTAGTAATTGGATCTAAAGAGTGACGGAAGAAGCTATTAAAGGTGGATGTGCGCAGAATCTTGAGTCAGTTTGCTTTGGCTTGAATAATCACAGCACTGTCGTTTATAAGCTGGGTATTTGGGGCCAGTTACACTTTTCATCCATAGATGGAGTTGTAACATTAATAGAATTTGATAGGATGATCCATTTTAAACATTTAGGGTATTGCTTGACACATAGCACTAAATGTTAGCTACAAGTCACTTTTTATTGTTGATGTTAAAAGGATATTGGCGGGGCGCAGTGGCTCACGCCTGTAATCCCACCACTTTGGGAGGCCGAGGAGGGCGGATTGCCTGAGGTCAGGAGTTCGTGACCAGCCTGGCTAACATGTTGATACCTCGTCTCTACTAAAAATACAAAAAAAGTTAGCCGGGCGTGGTGGCGCATGCCTGTAGTCCCAGCTACCCGGGAGGCTGAGGCAGGAGAGTCGCTTGAACCCGGGAGGCGGAGGTTCCAGTGAGCCGAGATCGCGCTACTGCACTCCAGCCTGGGCGACAGAGGGAGACTCCAAAAAAACAAAAACAAAAACAAAAAAAACCCGGAAACTCACGGATGACCATGATTATAATAGTAGCATAATTGTGTCTCTTATCGTAACTAAGCATAGGTTATCTTATTTTGCGCTTCCAGCAGCCCTGTGGATATTGAGACCTGTAGAGATTTAAGATACTTGTTCAGGGTCAAATAGATAGTGCAGCAGAATTTTGGCAGTGGGTCTGATTTAGTTTCTCTTGGGAACAGTGGAGTAAGTTACAGTCTATTCCTCCAGAGGAGGAGGATAGATATCTACTTGTACATTGTAATTTCAAACTGCTAGCATAGTATAAATATGAATGTGATGATAGAGTCTAAAACAGACCTTAATTGAGGGTTCCTGTAACTCCTGAAATTAAAGACTTTAATTTTTGTGTTATTTTATTTTTTTTGAGGTGGGGTCTCACTCTGTCACCCAGCTGGATGCAGTGGCGCTATCTCGACTCACTGCACCTTCCGCCTCCCCAGCTCAAGCGATGCTCCCACCTCAGTCTCCCGAGTAGTTGGGACCACAGGTGTACCCACCACACCCGCTGTTTTGTTTTGTTTTGTATTTTTGGTAGAGACTGGGTTTCACCATGTTGCCCAGGCTGTTCTTGAACTCCTGGGCTCAAGTGATTTCCCCGCCTCCACTTCCCAAAGTGTTGGGATTATAGGCGTGAGCCACTGCACCGGCCATTATTTTATTTTTGAGACAAGGTCTCTTTCTGTCTCCCAGGCTGGAGTGCTGTGGCGGGATCGTGGCTCACTGCAGCGTTGACGTCCTGGGCTCAATCCATCCTCCCACCTTAGCCTCCTGGGTAGCTGAGACTACAGGCATGTGCCACCATGCCCGGCTTTTTTCTTTAATGTAGAGACGGGGTCTTATCATGTTACCCAGGCTGGTCTCCAACTCCTGGGCTCAAGTGATCCTCCCGCCTTGGCCCCAAGTGCTGAGATTACAGGTGTGAGCCACTCTGCTCAGCCTGATTTTTTTTTTTTTAAACAAGCTTAAAAAAAAAAAAAAGCAAGCTTAGAGCCTTTCTGAGATTCTTAGTGGGGACCTTGGCTTCCAAAAGATTAAAAACCACTGGTCTAGACAGAAGTTAGAATGTTCTTTCAACTACATAACTTCTCCATTAAATAAAGTGGAGTGGTGGCAGAATTTTGAGGATTGGTTATTATGACACCTCTCTTACACTTAGAGTCTTTTTTTTCCCCCAAATTTAAAGTCATTTACATTAGAACCTGGGGATTTCAGCGGAATATGGATTAACTAGTGAGTAACTTTGGAACATGTGAAGCTATTCTGTAAAGTTAGGTTTGAGTGAAATGACAAAACAGGGTGCTTTGGATAGAAGGTAAAGAATGGAGGGAGAAGAGGCAGTGGCTGTGAAGAATATGAAGAGGTTAGTATTCTCCCCCAGTTTGGCAGAGGCTGGCCATCTGTGAACTGCCCATGCTTTCTAGAATGTCGGAGTTTTGGAGTGTGATGATGCGTCTGTATATCATATCTTTCTAGTCTTTCATTGTGCTTTCATTTGTTAGTCTTCTCTTGTTTTGCCATTTTTCTACTCCCTCACATGTGCTTTTGCCCTTAAAAATATTCTTCGTCTGTAATCTGAGCACTTTGGGAGGCCGAGAGACCAGCCTGACCAATATGGTGAAAATCCGTCTCTATTAAAAATACAAAAATGAGCCGGGCGTGGTGGCAGCGCCTGTAGTCCCACCTACTCGGTAGGCTGAGACAGGAGAATTGCTTGAACCCTGGAGGCAGAGGTTGTGGTGAGCAGAGATTGCACCACTGCACTCCAGCCTGTGTGACAGAGCGAGACTCTGTCTCCAAAAAAGAAAAAAAGAAAAAAAAATATAATTCTTTCTCTAGTTTTTCTTTTTCCAGATGGCTTCTGTTTAGTTTTTCTATGTTCTGTCAAGTTGATTTCTTATTCTGCAGCTGATTCCTACTTCTCAAAGTCTACTTGACAGCTCTTATTTTTATTTATTTGTTTTTTAGAATAGGGTCTTGCTGTGTTGCCCAGGCTGCCATCAAATTTTTGGGCGTAAATGATCCACCTACCTCTGTTTCCTGAGTACTTAGGACTACAGGCAGGCACCTTTGACAGCTGTTAGTTGTTTTTTCTGCCCTTTACAGCTATACTTCATACTTCTGAGTAACACACATATATACTTTTGTTATTTTTAATTTCCTTTCTCCCATTTTAGACATTTTCTTTTCTTTTTTTTTTTTTTGAGACGGAGACTCGCTCTATCGTCCAGGCTGGAGTGCAGTGGCGCGATCTCGGCTCACTGCAAACTCTGCCTCCCGGGTTCACACCATTCTCCTGCCCCAGCCTGTAGCTGGGACTACAGGCACCCGCCACCACACCCGGCTAATTTTTTAGTATTTTTAGTAGAGACGGGGTTTCACCGTGTTAGCCAGGATAGTCTCGATCTCCTGACCTCATGATCCGCCCGCCTCAGCCTCCCAAAGTGCCGGGGTTACAGGCGTGAGCCACCGCGCCGGGCCCCATTTTAGACATTCTGTACTGGTTATTATGCTCCTCCAAAACTGTCCTCAGACACTTTGGTTTGCCCCTCATTCTTTCAGTACTGTTATTGCAGTTTTTGTTTAAATGAATATTTAACATTTATATAAATATAAGGTAAATATTTTTGCATTTGAATTGCCCTTGTTGTGCGGTTTTGTTTTTCCTGGACTGAATAATTGCTTTATTTTTTGGTTTGCTTGTATGTTGTGTTACTACTTGCTTACTTAAACTCAGCAATTTACACCCTCAAATGTGGTCAAACTGGTCACATAATCCCATCAATTGCAGCTTAAAACATTGATTGATTGATTGATTGATTGATTGTCTGTCTACCTGGAATACCCTTACTAACTGACTTCTCCAACCAGGATTGGTTTTTCTTCCTCTTTGCTACACAGCTGTGCTCTTGGGACTTCCCTTTATCATCAGTTTGAGAATTCCTTTCATCTTTTTTCTGAGTTAGACCCTTTGTTTCTTGTATCTCATGTCCTCTTCATTTACTTTCTTTGTTTTGGTGTAGCATAGTCTCACTTGCTTTGAGGAAAAGTAGATGAGAGGTTTTTTTGTTTGTTTGTTTTTGTTTTGGGACAGAGTCTTGCTCTGTTGCCCAGGCTGGAGTGCAGTGGCATGGTCTCAGCTCACTGCAACTTCCGCCTCCCGGGTTCAAGCGATTCTCCTGCCTCAGCCTCCTGAGTAGTGGGATTACAGGTGTGTGCCACCATGCCCGGCTAATTTTTTCTATTTTTAGTAGAGATGGGATTTCACCATGTTGGTCAGGCTGGTCTTGAAACTAATGGTATGTCTTTAAAATGTCTTTACTTAATTTAGTTGATCATTTGGTTATCGAATTCTGAGTTTGAAATAATTTTTTTTTCGCAATTTTGAAAGCATTGCTCCATTTTCTAGAAGTTCTGTTGTTAGGAGTCCGATGAGATTCTTGTTCTTGGTAACTTAAAGGTTTTCTGGAAGTGTCCTTTCAATTGGGAAACTCATTTCTTTCAGTTCTGTAGCATTTCTTGTATTATTTCTTTGACCATTTCTTACCCTTTTTTTAATGACGTTTACCTGAAAGCTGGAGTTTCTCTAATTTTTCTCTTATTCTCCTCTTTTGTTTGTTCTGCCTTTTGAGAGATTTCCTTACCCTTATGTTCCAGGGGAAGAAGATTGGGGAACTCATGGTTCAGTATCTAGACTTTTCCTCATTGTCCTGTATAATCGCGGCCTTCACCCTTGTTGGGACTCCACAGATTTGGAGCTGATCAGATGGGTTTGTTGAGAACAGCTGATCAGATGGGTTTTTGGAGGATTTTAGGGGGAGGGAGATTCATTTGACTGTGCAAGATGGGCGACAGAGTGAGACTCCATCTGAATTAAAAAAAAAATTTAGAACTGCATAGTGAAAAAGTAGGCCACAAATATTAAGTTTTGGACAATTACAATTACATCTCTATCTTACTGTGCAAGATAGAGATGATGTGGCATCTCTTAGGGTCTTACTGTTCCTGTTTTCAGCCCTGCATCAGTTCTTGATATTTGGCAGCTTAAGTGAATTCAGGTATTTGCTTATAGTGACATCTGCTGTCATGTAAAGAAGTACTGCTTGCATCAGATATTGTCCTGTTTACATAACATGGGCTGTGCTCCTTCCTAGCTGTGTATCTTTAAACAAGGCATTTACCTGCTTGAGCTTCAGTTCCCTTGTAAAGTGAGCAGGTTAGAGGCAAAAGATCATATAGAAGAATAATTTGTAAAGTTGTTTAATTATCTTAAGATTGTCTACTTTAATAACATAGTTGGAAGCAAAGAAGGTAATGGAATTATTTTTCTATTATGTTTTGGCATTGTACCTTGAATCTATTTCTTCATTTTGAAAAGGGGGAACTGGCTGGGCTCAATGGCTGACGCCTGTAATCCCAGCACTTTGGGAGGTGGAGGAAGTCAGATCACAAGGTCAAGAGATCGAGACCATCTTGGCCAACATGGTGAAACCCCATCTCTACTAAAAATACAAAAATTAGCTGGGCATGGTGGCGTGCGCCTGTAGTCCCAGCTTGTACCCGGGAGGCAGAGGTTGCAGTGAGCTGAGATCGAGCCACTGCACTGCAGCCTGGCGACAGAGCAAGACTCCATCTCAAAAAAAAAAAGGAAGGGGGGAACAAGCCTTGTTCCTTTACGTGCTGTCCTGACTGCTGTGTATTATTTTTGTTAAGATTGCTGTAGTTCTTTTTTTTTTTGAGACGGAGGCTTGCTCTGTCGCCAGTGCTGGGATTGCAGGTGTTAGCCTGGCATTGAGCAACGTTTTGTAATTTAAGCATACAAGTCTCTCACCTCCTTGTTTACATTTATTCCCAGGCATTTTTTTCTTTTAGATGCGATTGTAAATGGAATTGCTTTCTTAATTTCCTTTTCTGATTGTTCGTTGCTGGTACAGTAGTCCCTTCTTATCCACAGTATTGCCTTACGTGGTTTTACTTAGCTGTGTCACCCGTGGTCCAAAAATATTGAATGGAAGATTATATAAATAAACATTTCATGAGTTTTAAATTGCAAACGGTTCTGAATAACATGGTAAAAATCTCACGGCCTCCTGCTCCGTCCTACCTAGGACACAAGTCATCCCTTTGTCCGACATATTCATGCTGTATGTGCTCGCCACCCGCTAGTTACATACTAGTCATCTCAGTTATCAGATCAGTTGTTGGAGTATTGCAGTGCTTGTGTTCAAGTAACCTTTATTTTATTTAAAATGGCACCAAAGAGCAAGAGTAGCGATGCTGGCAGTTCACATATGCAGAGAGAAGCCATATAGTGCTTCCTTTAAGTGAAGAGGTGAGTTTTTTTGTTTTTTTTTTTTTTTGGCTTAAACAACAGAAATTTATTTTCTCATGGTTCTGGAGGCTAGAAGCGGCAGATCAGGGTGCTGCTGCTTTGGTTCCTGATGAGGGCTTTCTTCCTGGCTTATAGGTTGGCTGGCATCTTGTCCTCACATGGCAGAGGGAGAGTACTGTAGTCTCACCTTGCTTTTTATTATTATTATTTTTTTAATTTATTTTTTTATTGATAATTCTTGGGTGTTTCTCACAGAGGGGGATTTGGCAGGGTCATGGGACAATAGTGGAGGGAAGGTCAGCAGATAAACAAGTGAACAAAGGTCTCTGGTTTTCCTAGGCAGAGGACCCTGCAGCCTTCCGCAGTGTTTGTGTCCCTGATTACTTGAGATTAGGGAGTGGTGATGACTCTTAACGAGCATGCTGCCTTCAAGCATCTGTTTAACAAAGCACATCTTGCACCGCCCTTAATCCATTTAACCCTGGGTGGACACAGCACATGTTTCAGAGAGCACAGGGTTGGGGGTAAGGTCACAGATCAACAAGATCCCAAGGCAGAAGAATTTTTCTTAGTGCAGAACAAAATGAAAAGTCTCCCATGTCTACTTCTTTCTACACAGACACGGCAACCATCCGATTTCTCAATCTTTTCCCCACCTTTCCCGCCTTTCTATTCCACAAAACCGCCATTGTCATCATGGCCCGTTCTCAATGAGCTGTTGAGTACACCTCCCAGACGGGGTGGTGGCCGGGCAGAGGGGCTCCTCACTTCCCAGTAGGGGCGGCCGGGCAGAGGCGCCCCTCAGAAGAGGTGAGTTTTTGACTTAGGAAAGAAAAAAGATCATATACTGGAGTTGCTAAGATCTATGGTAAGAACAAATCTTTTGTCCATGAAATTGTGAAGAAGGAAAAAGAAATTTGTGCTAGTTTTGTTGTGACACCCCAAACTGCAAAAGTTACAGCCATAGTGTGTGATAAGTGCTTAGTTGAGATGGACAAGACATTAAATTTGTGGGTGGAGGACACAAACAGGAAACATGTTTCGATTGACGGCAACCTGGTTTGATACTATTCATCGTTTTGGACATTCACTGGGGTCTTGGAATTTCAAAAATAAGATGTTTGAGTAGCTGTATACTCTTTATCACATGGATGGAACATACTCTGGTTGTATCAGCATTTTTTTTTTTTTTTTTTTTGAGATGGAATCATTCTGTTGCCCACGCTGGAGTGCAGTGGTGCGATCTTGGCCCACTGCAGCCTCTGCCTCCCGGATTCAAGCGATTCTTTGCCTCAGCCTCCCAAGCAGTGGGGATTACAGGGGTGTGCCACCATGCCCAGCTAATTTTTGTATTTTTAGTAGAAAGGAGGTTTCTGCATGTTGGCCAGGCTGGTCTCGAACTCTTGGCTTCAGGTGATCCGCCCGCCTCGGTCTCCGAAAGTGCTGGGATTACAGGTGTGAGCCACCGCACCCAGCCTGGTGTGCATCAGCATTTTGGACTTTGGAGTTTATGTAACCAAGGAGCCAGGCTGTGGACCTCGTTTATTACTTGAAGAATTCAATATTTATTTCTGCCTTTTTGACTCCTTGACTGTAAAATACTGATCTGATCTGTAGAGAGAACAGTACATGGACCAGGGAATCCTCAGTGCCTTAATAGATCCTAAGTACTTACTTATTCTTTCCCATAGAGGCTTACACATGGTAGGAAAAGAGATTTCTGGAATACCTTTCCTCCCCAAAGAAAGCTGGTTTCTTTTGTTTGTTAAGTGAGAGAGTGGTACCACAGGGTTTCCAAGATTTCCAAGGCTGATGAAAATTCTTCTGTTGTCTGCTTGTCTTACTTTCTTGAATTTATTTTTTGTATGTTATGTATTTATTATTTAGAGAGAGGATCTCCCTGTGTCACCCACGCTGGAGTGCAGTGTCACAGTCATAACTCACGGCAGTGTCAACCTCCTGGGCTCAAGTGATTCTCCTTCCTTGGCCTCCTGAGTAGCTAGGAACACAGGCATGCTCCACTATGCCTGGCTATTTTTTTCTCCCTGGAGACAGGATCTTGTTGTGTTGCACAGGCTGGTTTCAAACTCTTGGCCTCAAAGCTAGCCTCCCACCTTGGTCTCTGAAAGTGCTAGAATTAAAGGTGTGACCAACTGCACCCAGCTTATTTATGATGATGATGATGATGATGATGATGATGATGATGATGATGATGTTTGGGAGATGGAGTCTCGCTCTGTCGCCCAGGCTGGAGTGCAATGGCACGATCTCAGCTCACTGCAACCTCTGGCTCACTGCAACCTCCACCTCCTGGGTTCAACTGATTCTCGTGCCTTAGCCTCCCGAGTAGCTGGGGTTACAGGCACCCACCATCATGCCTGGCTAATTTTTGTATTTTTGTCAAGACGGGGTTTCACCATGTTAGCCAGGCTGGTCTCAAACTCCTGACCTCAGGTGATCCGCCCACTTCGGCCTCCCAAAGTGCTGGGATTACAGGCATGAGCCGCTGCACCCAGCTCTATTTTTTGTTTTGTGATAGGAAATTATAAAACATGGAATTATGCATTTGTCAGCCTTTAAAAAAACTTTTAAGTGAATGAAAGTGGCGTATTTGAACATCAACTTAGGACAGATTTTTACTACTTTTGAAAAAATGTTGGAAAATATTTCTGTATGAAAAGTAAAACAACTTTTAATTTTTTTTAGAAGTCAATGAAAGGATTCTATTTTGCAAAGCTGTATTATGAAGCTAAAGAATATGATCTTGCTAAAAAGTAAGTACAAACTGTAACATGTATTTTTTTTTTAAAATCAATGCCTTTTCTC
The DNA here is from genome assembly GCF_000001405.40 of Homo sapiens. Lineage (NCBI taxonomy): Eukaryota > Metazoa > Chordata > Mammalia > Primates > Hominidae > Homo > Homo sapiens. The sequence continues at coordinate 108,729,252 of NC_000002.12, forward strand.
ATTTTCTTCTTTGAAATAGGTAAAAATATGTTCTTAGTAGTTCTTCCTAAGTGTATTCTGGAATAAGGGATTTATCACTCAGACTGATGCTAAGGACCAGCCTAGATTCCATTGAGATTGAAACCGTAATTAGTGTTTTCTGCATGCTGCTGCTTTATACCAAGGGCAAGAAATTGTTTGGCTTCAAATACTTTTTCTAAAAATTGTCTTCTGTTGGAGTAAAAGAGGACCATGCCTATATCTTAATTTGTTTTTGGTTAGATATCTGATACCTTAATCAGATGGAAAATAGCAATGAATAAAAAATTAAACCGTAATTGTAAGGCAGGAGAATAGCTTGTATAAAAGATGTTTAATTGACACAATATGTGATGCTCTAAGGCTCTATCCTAGGGATAAGAAGCTTGGTGATTCTGATTTCCTGACTTGGAGTGGATTAAAGCAGGAAATTAAGAGGGAGTCAGGCTTTTTTTTTTTTTTTTTAGGCAGTATCTGTCTCTCTTGCTCAGGCTGGAGTGCAGCAGCTGGCTCCATCTTTGCTCACTGTAACCTCTGCCTTCTGGGCTCAAGAGATCTTCCCACCTCAGCGCCCCAAGTAGCTGGGGATACAGATGCGCACCACCACACCTGGCTAAGGTTTGCATTTTTTGGTAGAGACAGGTGTCACTATGTTGCCCAGGCTAGTCTTGAACTTCTGAGCACAGCAGTCTGCCTGCCTCGGCCTCCCGTAGTGTTGGGACTACAGGTGTGTGTTACTGCTCCCAGCTGGGAGGCAGGCTTTTAAAGGCATCCAAAGGAAGATGGAAATGCTGGTAAGAAAGGAAAATGGTGGTACATAAATTATGTAACTAGCAGCACTGTGACTGTTAACTCTTGTACCTTTTTACTGTGAGACTTTAATCCCTTAGTTTAGGTCTGGCCTAATTTCTCTGATCGTAATACTGTCAAGGAACCTAGAGGATATTTACTTATTTTAGTTGTTACTTGATTTGAGAAATGGAAATTTCCTGTATTTGGTACTGTAATGAGTAATTTTTCTTCTGTTCGATTTTAGCTGGATATAGTACTGTTAGAAATTACTTTCTTGCTTAAAGGGTAAATGTATTTCCCTTTGTTGTTTGGGAAATTGTTGCTGTTTAGTATTTTGCATTATGATAACTTTAAAAATGTTTACTATAATCACTTCTAATTTATTCGCAAAACTGTTAGTGCTTTATTAAAATGTGATCAGGAAGAAAAAGCAATTTATATGTTCATTTCTTATGTGTGGATAACACTGGAGAAAAATTTGGTAAATGTGACATTTAATGGTAAAATGAGTATGTGGTCAACTCTATGTACGTGTTTTTAAGTATTATCTATTTCTATGAGTACTTCTGAGTTATCTGTATGAATAGCGGTAGTTTTGAGTAACAATATAAACGAGTTTAGTGGTTGCTTTGGTTTAAGATGTATTCTTCGGTTAGCATTTAAAAGTACAGTTCTAAGTTTAATTTACTTTTGTATTACTTTTAAAAAACAGATACATATGTACTTACATTAATGTGCAAGAGAGGGATCCCAAAGCTCACAGATTTCTGGGTCTTCTTTATGAATTGGAAGAAAACACAGACAAAGCCGTTGAATGTTACAGGGTAAGTTACAGGATTCAAATATAGCCTTTGCATAGCCAAACACATGATGCCCAGAGAAATTTATATAAGTAAGTCAAATATATTTTATGAATATCATAAAACAGGCATTGGTATCATAGTACAGTTACGTGACACAGCTTGGAACAGATTTAGAATTGTTTAACACCTATAAATTGTAAGTCTAACACGGTCAGAAATGGTGTTCTTTTGTGTTTTTTGTATTCAAATGACACAAATATAATTTTTATTTGATTCATTTCCAGAGAATTCCAAGACACTTTTATTTTAACACCTTTGAAGTAACATGTTTTCTCTAGAAGTAGAATTTTTTAAGGGTTGGAGTGATAATTTTTTAACCTTTATATATAAGTATATATACTCCTACATACATACATACAATTTATTTACTAATCTTTAATTTCTTTTCTGATATTAGCGTTCAGTGGAATTAAACCCAACACAAAAAGATCTTGTGTTGAAGATTGCAGAATTGCTTTGTAAAAATGATGTTACTGATGGAAGAGCAAAATACTGGCTTGAAAGAGCAGCCAAACTTTTCCCAGGAAGTCCTGCAATTTATAAACTAAAGGTAAACAAACAAAACATAAAGGGAGAAAACTTAAGACATAACCATTTCTAATATTTGGAATTTAAATTACTTTTCAATAGCAAACCTTAAGCCCAGGTGTTAGTGTTTCCTTTAAAAATTTTCTTTTAAAAAGTGTGTTAAAACCTTTCTGAGCATCTACTGTCTTATTAGGCATTGTTATACTTTATAAGTGACATCTCATTTACCTTTCTGGAATAATTAATATTTTAGGGATTTTACAGTTTAGTAGCTGTAAACTAAGTAGAGCTAAGATTTACATTAAGTTCCGTCTGGTATACAATTTTTGCTTCATTAAGTGAAAATTACCTACAGGATGACAATTTAGGGATATTTTAAAGAAGTGTTTTCTAATAACTATTGTCTGAAAGTAGAAGGGATTGCATTTTGAGATAGTAAGGTTTTCAAGCAAAAGACAAAAGGTGGTTTCTCTAGTATATAAGACGTAATTACTAAAAATGGTAGGAAGTTCTTGCTAGTGTGTTGACTGGTCCTGATATTCTTTATAGAGTAAAATATAGTTTACTAAGTAACTGTTCTGGAGAAAATCTACACAAATATGTTTGGCAAACATTTAAAATGTATATTGTAATGTTTTATATATTAATGTATACTTTATCGTGTGTGTACAATATTAAATTATAAATGTATATTTGCCTTTAGCCTCCTTCTATCCCCATTATATATGTTTCTGATAGGAATTTAAAAAATTTTAATTTTGAAATAATTATAGATTTTTTTGCACAGGAAGTTGCAAAGATTGTACAGAAAGATTCTGTATGCTACTTCATTTTTCCCCAATGCTTATACAGGTTGAGCATTTAAAATCCGAAATCCTAAATGCTCCAGAATCTGAAATTTTTTGAGCACTGACATGATGCTCAAAGGAAATGCTCATTGGAGAATTTTGGATTTCAGATTTTCAGATTTGGGATGCTCTACCTGCTAAGTATCCTGCAAATATTCCAAAGTCTGAAAAAATTCAAAATCTGAAATACTTCTGGTCTCAAGCATTTTGCATAAGGGATACTCAACCTGTTTAACCCGACCAAAGCACACTATCAAAATCAGGAATTTTGACATTGGTACAATGTGTATGTATAGTTTTCTTTCATTTTATCACGTGTAGATTCATACCACCACTGCAGTCAAGATACAGAACTACTCTATTACCACAGAGATCTTCCTCATGCTGCCCCTTTTGTAGTGATGCTATTTACTTCTCTTCACTATGCCTGACCTCTGGCAACCATTAATCTGTTCTCCATCTTTATACTTTGGTGATTTCAAAATGTTATGTAAATGTCATCATGAAGTATGTGACGTTTTTTTCTTTTTTCATTTTTTTTGAGACGGAGTCTCGCTCTATTGCCCAGGTTAGAGTTCACTGGCGCAATCTTGGCTCACTGCCACCTCCGCCTCCCAGGTTCAAGCGATTCTCCTGCCTCAGCCTTCCGGGTAGCTGGGACTACAGGCACGTGTTACCATGTCCCGCTTATTTTTGTATTTTTAGTAGAAACGGGGTTTCACCATGTTGGCCTGGCTGGTCTCGAACTCCTGACCTCATGTGATCTGCCTGCCCCAGCCTCCCAAAGTGCTAGGATTACAGGCGTGAGCCACTGCACCCAGCCAAGCACATGACGTTTTGAGGTTGGCTTCTTCAGTCACCATAATACCATTTGTGATCCATATTAAGTTTTGTATATCCATAGTTGGTTCCTTTACTTCTGAGTAGTATTTCATGGTCCACAATTTAACCATTCCCTTTTTTTTTTTTTTTTTTTTTTTTTTGAGACAGAGTCTTGCTTAGTCACCCATGCTGGAGTGCAGTGGTGCTACCTCGGCTCACTGCAACTTCTGCCTCCCGGGTTCTCAGGTGATCCACCCACTTCGGCCTCCCAAAGTGCTGGGATTACAGGTGTGAGCCACTGTGCCCAGCCTTAACCATTCACTTTTGAGGGACATTTTGGTTATTTCTAGGTTTTGGCTATTGTTCAGCTGCTATGAACAATCAAGTACAGATTTTTGAAGCTGAAAAAGCATTGAAGATGCTTCCAAAGATAAATATTACTGATAAGTTTTTCTCCCCAGTAATAAGCAGCTGGATTTTAAATATTAATCTAAAACGTGAGGTCTAATTGTGCAGATTTCTTTACTCTCTTAGGTGTTATGCCTCAAACATAACTCCCATATTGGGCGTGGCAATCCAGTTAATCTGGTGTCAGTAGTGTTAAAGAACATATGTAATGATAGGAGATTCTTTTCTTGCAGTGTAACAAGTTAGATACTTTGAAGCATTCTTTAAAGATTTTCTTTAATAACTTGAAGGCACTGTTACACCTTTCCTGTATCAGATTTTTTTTTTTTGGAATTGAAATCCATGAGATTTATAACTGTCATGCAAAGTAATTCCATTTCTCCTAAAATTTAAGGCTTGCTAAGGTAAACAGTTTCTGACATTTGTTTAATGAATGAGAGTATTACTGTTGAGAAGGCTTTTTCTCTCAAGTATGAGATAGAACTTTTTAAAAAGCACTCATAGTGGTTTTTAAAAATATTTTTAACATAGAGTCAAAGACTAGGGCTTTTGCAATAGGGAGAGGCCAGGGTTTCATCCATCTCATCCAGAAGAGGAGAAATTGATAAAGGAGAGAGGGGAATGAAATACAGAGTAGTAATGGGCGGCTTGGTCTTGAGAGTTGGGGAAAGACGAGTTTAAGTAGGTAAGGTAAAATGGAATTTATATGTGATAGCATCAGGTTTCTCAGTGAAGGATGAATCTAGGTTATAAGTTGAAAGTGAGGGTCAAAGGAAGGTATGGGGAAGTTGAGGAAATAGGAGGTGTGAAGTGTCAGAGTGGAGAAAGTGAGTATTAGTACTAAAATGGTATTTTGTTTTAGGCAGCACCAGTTTGATGGTTGAGATAATGCAAATGAAATCAGTTAGCTTGGGGTTATGATTTCCCAAATCTAAGCACACAGAAACCAGTTTGGGGGTTCTTCTGAGGAAAAGAGGGAATTAGTTGAAGGGATCTGTAAGCAAACAGTAATTATGGATATAAGGGATTATAGCATTTTTTGCCTGACAGAAGAAAGTGTGTATATTTATATGTGTTTACAGGTGTTTAAAACTTGATGATGTTATTGTCTTGAAGGGAACTTGTCATGTGGTGGAGAAGTATATTTCTGAAAGTAAGGGTATGTAGGCCCTCAGTGAGGTAGAAGAATAACAAGGGTGGTATGGTGGTTTCGGTGGTATGACCAAAATACAGATTTTGAAGACCTGTGTCAGTGGCAAGTGGATGGTTGAGGTTCGAGTGGAGGATAACATCACTGGAGATGAGGTGATTAAGGAACTGAGTAGTCAGCCTGGGCAACACAGCAAGACCCCATCTCTACAGAACGTTAAAAAAAAATTAGCCGGGCACGGTGGTGCATGCCTGTGGTCCTAGCTTCTTGAGAGGCTGATGGAAGAGCATCGCAAATGAGAAGTGAGTGGCCACAAACCCTACTTCCTCTCCTTGTATGTAAGTTCAGAGAGAAAAAGCCATCATGGTAGTGGGGGTTATCCTGAGATGATACTGTCTTCATTTAAGGTCAGGAGGTGATGACAGTGCTTTGAGATGGTGATGAAGGTAACAGAACAGTGGGAGGAGAGGGGATGCGGGATTGAGTCAGATTTAAGGAGATACAGAGCAGTTTGAACATAAGGACCTTGTTGCTGAGGATTGACTGGGGAGGTCTAGGCTTCTGGTGGTGACTCAGATGGACAGGAATGTGTGGCATTAGTCCTGGTAGTCTCTGAAGAGAGTATGAGCTACTGCAGTAATCACAGATGCTTTTCTTCACATACAGTTCTTGAGGCTTAGTTTCTGGGTTGTAAGCAACTCTCAGAAGGGATGAATAAGGTATATAGGATGGTGTTTTTGGTGGCATCATCATAAAACTAGACATAGTGGAATGGTGCTCTTTGGGAGCATGACTTGTTTAAAATTGCACAAGTGTTACTCTAATAATTTTTCTTTTTCCCCTCTAAATAGGAACAGCTTCTAGATTGTGAAGGTGAAGATGGATGGAATAAACTTTTTGACTTGATTCAGTCAGAACTTTATGTAAGACCTGATGACGTCCATGTGAACATCCGGCTAGTGGAGGTGTATCGCTCAACTAAAAGATTGAAGGATGCTGTGGCCCACTGCCATGAGGCAGAGAGGAACATAGCTTTGCGTTCAAGTTTAGAATGGAATTCGTGTGTTGTACAGACCCTTAAGGTAGATAAAAGCTATTGGGTCTTTACATTTCTATGTAGGCAATTAGCATACATCTTTTTGTACTAAAGCAGCAGTGCCCCGCAGGACTTAAAATTTCTTTTATTTATGTAGAACAGTTATAAAATGAAATTTTTACCAGGATCAGTTAAATTTATAATGGGAAGATTGGGGAGATAACTATGATAAATGTATATATTTTTGGTGTTTTATAAGGTCGATATAAAAATCAATATAGTTTCACAAATGTGGTTGGAGTGAGAAAAGGAATTTGTAGGCTTAAAATGATTAATTTCTTAACATTTGATTAAGTTTTGTAACTTACTGTTCATTCCACAAAATAGGAATATCTGGAGTCTTTACAGTGTTTGGAGTCTGATAAAAGTGACTGGCGAGCAACCAATACAGACTTACTGCTGGCCTATGCTAATCTTATGCTTCTTACGCTTTCCACTAGAGATGTGCAGGAAAGTAGAGAATTACTGCAAAGGTACGTTGACTTTGAGAAGAATGCTTTAGTATAAATTGCAGTTTTTCTTTTTGCAGTAAGTTCATTGCTCTAAACTTCTTCACTGAATCATTATTTGTATAATGTACCTAGGAGTTATAGTTAATACAGTGAACAACTAGGAGGCAATCTTATTTTTCTTCTTTTACGGGGAAGTTCTAATTGGTTTTATATGACTTTCCTTTTTAGAGAACTCTTATAGTTCAAGCTTGATTAAAATTAGCCTTATGGTTAAATACTCAGTTTTGTCATAGTCAAGCCTAAAATGAATGTTCTAACTGCTATTTCATATTTTATTTTTTAAAATAGTATAATCTTGAGTGAAAATTAAAGTTCATCTGTCATCAGATGGCTAGGTTCACATGTATTAGTATAAGCACTTAGCATCACTGGTATTTCAGAAAATACTGTTTTAGCTGAGAAACAAAATAACTCAACTATGTGATTTACCTTTTTTCCTAAATTTTGATTTTGAAAACCAGTGTCTCCATTTTGAAAATAAATTCCATTGAACAAAAACATCACTTGGATTTGTATAAAGATGTTAGTTTAGAGCAGGGGTTGATTAGAACTTGTGGGCCAAATATGGCCCCTGCCTAATTTTGTTAATATTTATTGGAATGCAGCATGCCTCTGTTTATGTATTGTCTGTGGCTGCTTACATACTACAAGGTTGGAGTTGAGTGGTTGCAGCAGAGATTGTATGCCTGTAAAGCCAGATTAGTATTCTCCTCCTTTTTGTAGAAAAAGTTTACTGATTGCTAGTTTAGGCTGTCCATGTGGAAGTTAATTTATTTCCCCATCTGGTATAAGGAAAGAAGTTCATTTCACTGAGTGCAGGGAGTAGGTAATTTTCTTGAAAAAGTACATAAAAGTACCTAAATTGGTAGGGTAAGAGCAGTATCTAAAAGAACTAACATAACTTTAAGATTATTTTAGAAAACATGTAGGATGTTTTATTTTGTATTCTTTGTATACTCAAATTTTTGGTCACAAGTTCCTTTTACATTTTTGTTAAGGACATCGAAGATCTTTGTATGTGGGTTCCTTTTTTTCTTTCTTTCTTTCTTTTTTTTTTTTTTGTTTTTTTGAGATGGAGTCTTGCTGTGTCACCAGGCTGGAGTGCAATGGAACGACCTTGGCTCACTGTAACCTCCGCCTCCCTGGTTCAGGCGATTCTCCTGCCTCAGCCTCCCGAGTAGCTGGGACTACAGGCGCACACCACCATACCCAGCTAATTTTTGTATTTTTAGTAGAGACGGGGTTCAGGATGGTCTCAAGCTCTTTTTTTTTTTTTTTTTTGAGACTGAGTCTTGCTCTCGCCAGGCTGGCATGCAGTGGTGCAGTCTCGGCTCACTGCAACCTCTGCCTCCTGGGTTCAAGTGATTCTCCTGTCTCTGCCTCCGGAATAGGTGGGACTACAGGTGCCCGCCACCACACCTGGCTAATTTTTTTTTTTTTTTTGAGACAGAGTCTCGCTCTGTCACCCAGGCTGGAGTACTGTGGGGCAATCTCGGCTCACTGCAAGCTCTGCCTGCCAGGTTCATGCCATTCTTCTGCCTCAGCCTCCTGAGTAGCTGGGACTACAGGCGCCCACCACCACGCTCCGCTAATTTTTTTGTATTTTTAGTAGAGACGGGGTTTCACCGTGTTAGCCAGGATGGTCTCGATCTCCTGACCTCGTGATCTGCCCTCCTCGGCCTCCCAAAGTGTTGGGATTACAGGCGTGAGCCACCGCGCCCAGCCCACACCTGGCTAATTTTTGTATTTTTAGTAGAAACAGGGTTTCATCATGTTGGCCAGGTTGGTCTCAATCTTTTTTTTTTGAGACGGAGTCTCGCTCTGTCGCCCAGGCTGGAGTGCGGTGGCGCCATCTCGGCTCACTGCAAGCTCTGTTTCCAGGGTTCACGCCATTCTCCTGCCTCAGCCTCCCAAGTAGCTGGGCCTACAGGTGCCCGCCACCACACCCAGCTAATTTTTTGTATTTTTAGTAGAGATGGGGTTTCACCGCGTTAGCCAGGATGGTCTTGATCTCCTGACCTTGTGATCCGCCCGCCTCGGCCTCCCAAAGTGCTGGGATTACAGGTGTGAGCCACCGCGCCCAGCTGGTCCTGATCTCTTGACCTCTTGATCCGTCTACCTTGGCCTCCCAAAGTACTGGAAGGTCTCAATCTCTTGACCTTCCAGTACCTTGTGATCCGCTTGCCTTGGCCTTCCAAAGTGCTGGGATTGCAGGTCTGAGCCACTGCACCCGGCTGTATGTGGGTTATTTCTATCAGTGTTTATTACATTAGAAATTAAAACAAAAAATGTAATCCATTAAAAATGTAAGAAGCTCTATTGTGTGTTAATAATAATAGCTTTTTTTTTTTTTTTTTGAGACGGAGTTTTGCTCTTGTTGCCCAGGCTAGAGTGCAACAGTGTGATCTTGGATCACTGCAACCTCTGCTTCCCAGGTTCAAGCAATTCTCCTGCCTCAGCCTCCCAAGTACCTGGAATTACAGGTGCCTACCACCACGCCTGGCTAATTTTTTGTATTTTTAGTAGAGAAGGGGTTTCACCATGTTGGCAAGGCTGGTCTTGAACTCCTGACCTCAGGTGATCCACCCGCCTTGGCCTCCCAAAGAGCTGGAATTACTTGTGTGAGCCACCGCACAGGGCCAATAATAGCATTTTTTATGAAAAATAATTATTTTTCAACAGCAAAAAAGTAGTCAGAAAGTGTCATTGCTTTTGCATTTTTGTGAATCTTTTTAATGTCTCGCTTAATAGAACATAGCTAGATTCTCATTTACTTCCTCTTTCAGTCTGTAAAACTATTACATGTCATGAAGCCTCTAGAAAACTCAGCTCAGCGGGGCGCGGTGGCTCAGCCCTGTAATCCCAGCACTTTGGGAGGCCGAGGCGGGTGGATCACGAAGTCAGGAGATCGAGACCATCCCAGCTAACAATGGTGAAACCTTGTCTCTACTAAAAATACAAAAAATTAGCCGGGTATGTTGGCACGCACTTACAGTCCCAGCTGCTCGGGAGGCTGAGGCAGAAGAATCGCTTGAACCTGGGAGTCAGAGGTTGCAGTAAGCCAAGATTGTGCCACTGCACTCCAGCCTTGTGACAGAGTGAGATTCTGTCTCCAAAAACAAAAACAAAAAAACTCAGCTCTACATACATGAGAAAATGAGTATGTAAAATATAAATTTTTTTTTGGTATTATCGTAAAAGTAATTTTAACTTCATGGATCCCCTGAAGGGGTTTTTGAGCACCCTCAGAGATCTTTAGACCTCACTTGCTCTGGTTGCTTTATTGTAAGCCACTTTAAAATCATGCTTCACGTTTAAGTGTTTGCTTTTTGCTTTTACTTTTCTTCCAAAGTGAGGATTTGGAGAAACAATAGGATTTAGAAGAACTAATTTAGAATATAGATTACAAATAATAGGCCAGGCGTAGTGGCTCATGCCTGTAATCCCAGCACATTGGTAAACTGAGGTGGGTGGATTGTGAGGTCAGGAGTTGAAGACCAGCCTGGCCAACGTAGTGAAACCCTGTCTCTACTAGAAATATAAAAAAAGTTTAGCGGGGCATGGTGGCAGGTGCCTGTAATCCCAGCTACTCAGAAGGCTGAGTCAGGAGAATCACTTGAACCTGGGAGGTGGAGGTTGCAGTGAGCTTAGATCGTGCCATTGCACTCCAGCCCAGGCGATAGTGAGAGACTCCGTCTCAAAAAAAAAAAAGGCAGACTATTTTAAACGCTGTAATGATCTATATAGTAAAAAGAGCAATTACTGTATTGATACGCAAATACCTGTCAGTTATTTACTTATAATTTGGAAATGGTATGTCTAATTTGAGAAATTACAACTGTTAATTAAATAATGAAATTATATGATCAGGAAGAAACTACAAAATAGTCTCCCAACTTTATCCTGGTTTATTTTGAAATGTGCACCTATAATCACTGATCTTATATTTATCCTGTGATTGGAGGGCTGGAAATAACTGGGAATATCATTTGAGAGGTTAAGCATGAAGTATAGGAAGTATGCAGGATAAAAAAAAGCATTAGATGATTCATAATTTATAACATGGGGAATAAGAATTATTAGTTGAATGTGGAAGATGAAGCTTGAAATAAAATTTTTATTTTGTTTTGAATTAAATAAACCATGATTATTCACAGTGCAGTAAGTGTGTATTATCTGTTTGATATTTTCATATTACAGTTTTGATAGTGCTCTTCAGTCTGTGAAATCTTTGGGTGGAAATGATGAACTGTCAGCTACTTTCTTAGAAATGAAAGGACATTTCTACATGCATGCTGGTTCTCTGCTTTTGAAGATGGGTCAGCATAGTAGTAATGTTCAATGGCGAGCTCTTTCTGAGCTGGCTGCATTGTGCTATCTCATAGCATTTCAGGTAAGTCTTCCACTTGTAGGAGCAATTGACATTTCACTGAGTCTTGATGTGTTTGAAATGAAGGTGTGCTCTGGTATGTAATGACAATATGTGAACAAACCTGTGGAATTAAAGTTGAAATAGTCAATTTGATACAGTGGAAAATAACTAAGCATACACAATACTGGTGAGGCTGGTGAAACAGGGATGTTGAATGCACTCTTGTTGAAAGCCTGCATTGCCATGATTTGTTTGTAGACAAATTTGAAGAGTTTGATCTTTTTACTCTGCCATTTTTGGGAACATGATAAAGATGTAATCTCGTATTATGGGTAAAGCTTGATTCAGAAAGATGTGTTACTTGGACAAAATCTTAATAAGTAGATGTAGGGCAATGGCTTTATAGCCTATGATAGAAGAATATGATTGCAATTTAACATGTTAATTGAAACACATGTATATAACATTTATGACTGTATTGTGTATATGTAACAGTATATCTATTAATCTTTGAAAACATAAAACCTTTTCTTAATTTTTATTTTTTTATTTTTTTTGAGACCAAGTCTCTCTGTCACCAGGCTGGAGTGCAGTGGCGTGATCTCGGCTCACTGCAGCCTCCACCTCCTGGGTTCAAGTGATTCTCCTGCCTCAGTCTCCCGAGTAGCTGGGACTACAGGCCCGTGCTACCACACCCAGCTAATTTTTTGTATTTTTAATAGAGATGGCGTTTCACCATGTTGGCCAGGATGGTCGCCATCTCTTGACCTCGTGATCTGCCTGCCTTGGTCTCCCAAAGTGCTGGGATTACAGGCGCAAGCCACTGCGCCTGGCCTTTTTTTTTTTTTTTTTTTTTTTTTTTTGAGATGGAATCTTGCTCTGTCGCCCAGTCTGGAGTGCAGTGGCACGATCTCGGCTCCCTGCAAGCTCCACCTCCCGAGTTCACGCCATTTTCCTGCCTCAGCCTCCCGAGTAGCTGGGACTACAGGCACCTGCCAGCATGCCCAGCTAATTTTTTTTTTGTACTTTTAGTATAAGAGACGGGGTTTCACTGTGTTAGCCAGGATGGTCTCAATCTCCTGACCTAGTCATCCACCTGCCTCGGCCTCCCAAAGTGCTGGGATTACAGGCGTGAGCCACCACACCCAGCCTTTTTTTTTTTTTTTTTTTTTAATGAGCTTGCATAACTTTTGAAAGGAAAAGAAATAAGTAGTCTTCCAAAAAAGCATTAAACCACGCTTAGAAAAATGATTGTTAATTTTAGAGAAGGATTTTTTGCTTGGGGAGGGAAAAAAAGGATTCATTACTTTTAGAGAAGGCGCCTCCTTCTAATATAAATCTTTTTTTCTTTTTGAGACGGGGTTTTGCTCTTGTTGCCCAGGCTGGAGTGCAGTGGCGCGATCTGGCTCACTGCAACCTCTGCCTTCCCGGGTTCAAGCGATTGTCCTGCTTCAGCCTCCCGAGTAGCTGGGATTACAGGCATGCGCCACCACGCCCGTCTAATTTTGTATTTTTAGTAGAGACGGGGTTTCTCCATGTTGGTCAGGCTGATCTCGAACTCCTGACCTCAGGTGATCTTCGCGCCTCAGCCTCTCCAAGTGCTGGGATTACAGGCAGTGAGCCACCATGCCCTGCCTAATATAAATCTTTTTATTTTTATTTGAGACGGAGTCTCGCTCTGTCACCAGGCTGGAGTGCAGTGGCGCAATCTCAGCTCACTGCAACCTGTGCCTCCTGGGTTCAAGTGATTCTCCTGCTTCAGCCTGTCACGTATCTGGGATTACAGGCACACACCACCATGCCTGGCTAATTTTTTGTATTTTTTAATAGAGACGGGGTTTCACCATGTTAGCCAGGATGGTCTCGATCTTCTGACCTCGCGATCCACCCGACTTGGCCTCTCAAAGTGCTGGGATTACAGGCATAAGCCACCGAGCCCGGCCTGTAAATCTTTTAAAAACACCGTTGATAGACAGTTCACATGTTAAGTGCTAATATTTGCTCAGTAGAAACTTCTGTGTTCATAAGGAATTGGATTAGTGAAAATTAATGGATTTAGTGAGGTTCACTAGGTAATACCAACATTAAAAGGTTCTTATAGAAATTCTCAAGTAACTGATAGTTCTTATTTTTATTTATTTTTTTTGAGACGGAGTCTCACTCTGTTGCCCAGGCTGGAGCACAGTGGCACGACCTCGGCTCACTGCAAGCTCCACCTCCTGGGTTCACGCCATTCTCCTGCCTCAGCCTCCCGAGTAGCTGGGACTACAGGCACCCACCACCACGCCCAGCTAATTTTTTTGTATTTTCAGTAGAGATGGGGTTTCACCATGTTAGCCAGGATGGTCTCGATCTCCTGACCTCATGATCCGCCCACCTTGGCCTCCCAAAGTGCTGGCATTATAGGCGTGAGCCACCGCGCCCTGCCAATAGTTCTTATTTTTAATGGAAACTTTAAAATTTATCTGTCTGTGTGTCTATTAGAGTCTTGCTGTGTCACCCGGGCTGGAGTGCAGTTGCATAATCATAGCTCACTGTAACGTTGAACTGGGCTCAAGCTTCCCAGAGTGCTGGGATTGTAGGTGTGAGCTACTATGCACAGCCTAAAATTTTTTGATATGTAGTTTTGGGAGGCAGAGTCTCTTGTTGCTCTGGCTGGAGTGCAGTGGCATGATCATAGCTCACTGCATCCTCGAACTCCTGGGCTCAAGTGATCCTCTCCTGCTTCAGCCTCAGCTCAGTAGCTGGGACTACAGGTGCCTGCCACCATGCCTGGCTACATTGTTAAATTTTTTGTAAAGACAAGGTCTTGCTATGTTTCCCAGGCTGGTTAGTCTTGAACTCCTGGCTTCAAGTGATCCTTCTGCCTTGCCCTCCCAAAGTGCTGGGATTACAGGTATGAGCCACCACACCTGACTGTGAACTTTTAATAATAAAAAGTTAGTTTCCCTCTTAATCCATTCACTCAGGTCTCCTTTCCTAGATGACAACTACTGTTAGGAGTTTCTTGGGTGTTCAGAAATATTTTTTGCATATGCAAATGTGCAATACATTCTTTCTCTGCTTTTAAAAAATATTGTGCCTCAATGTGGGTGTGCTTTACCTATTGCCAGATGCCTTGCTTTTCTAAATGTTTCTTCATTGTTCCACTTCAGCACAGAGATACCTACTTCAGTCTTTATTAACTACCACATATTTCTGTAGAATGAATATATAATAGAAACATCTTAGATGCTTGTATTTTATTTTATCAGTTTATTTTAAAGCTTAATGATCAAATGATTATAAGCATAAAATGTAGGTTATGTGCTGGCATTTGGGTATTTAAGAATTGGCTAACTTTTATGGCAAGATTTTCAGACTCTTAATCAGAGGAATACTGTGGTTCTAGTAAGTGCATCTGCATTGCAGCTAGGTAGTTAACAAAGTATCTTGAAACCTTTTAGTTAAGATGAGGAAATAGCCAGGCACGGTGGCTCACGCCTATGATCTTAGCACTTTGGGAGGCTGAGGCGGGCGGATCACTTGAGGTCAGGAGTTTGAGACCATCCTGACCAACATGGTCAAACCCCATCTCTACTAAAAATACAAAAATTAGCCACGCATGGTGGCGGGTGCCTGTAATCCCAGCTACTTGAGAGGCCGAGACAGGAGAATTGCTTGAAACCAGGAGGCGGAGGTTGCAGTGAGCTGAAATCGTGCCACTGCAGCACTGCAGCCTGGCGACAGAGCGAGACTCCATCTCAAAAAAAAAAAAAGGAAATAGTGAATTGAGATGATTTGATTGAGTGGATTCACAACTAATTAACTGGTCACAGATTCAACTGTTGAATAATTTTGTAAAAGAGGCCGGGTTTATGAATTGAGGTCAGTTTCAAAACAAAAAGAATGATGTCAACATTTTGTTTCTTATTTTGTGTGCTCTTTTCAACATATAGATGACAAAGGGCTTTGACATGATGTTTAGAAAACTTGTGAGTAAAAGGATAGGCAATATGAATATTTCTAAAATTCAAAATCAGAAGCTTTTAGGTTCATAAATCATATATTTTGAAAAATGAACATGTTTGGAAAGAATTATATATACATGGTTTAAAATTCTGGCGGCTCTTAAGAATATGCTATGAAGACTCCTTTCTGTTCCCTAGTTATTTACTTTCTCCACCTCCAAAGAAACTAATGTTATTGCTTTCTTGTGTGTTCTTCAGGAAATGTTTTATGCATCTCCAAGTAAACACATATATATCTCCTGTCTTTAAAAGAAGGAGGAAAACATTTGAACATTGCATTTACTTTATTTCCATTAACTGTATCTTGGAGATGTTTCCATGTCAGTATATATAAAGGGCATTCTCATTAGTTTGGATGCTTGCATATTATTCCATTGTATGGATGTACTGTAGTTTTGGAGTTTTTAAAACCAGGGTCCTAAAACCAGGACATTAGCTGGCTTTTACTTTTTTTTTTTTTTAATGCTACTTCAAGTAATTTAGCAATGATTAACTTGTGCCATGAATTCCTGAAAGAATTGCAGTATCAAAGTATATCTGTGCATTTATAATTTTTAGAGCTGTTGCCAAATATCTAACCCTAAAGAGGTTGTATCAAATTACATTTCCACCACCAATTAAGAAAGTGGTGATAGAATTAAAAGCCGATGCTCTAGTCACCCATATAGTTACTTTTGGCATGTTTCTAGTAAGTGGGCATTGCCTATGACTGGACGTTTTCAGTGATGGACATTCATTACTTTTCAAGATAGCCCAGTGCATCTTTAGGTGGTTTGGCTCTTGGTACTTCCTTATATAGAATAAAAATATTCTTCAAGCCTTCTACCTGTTGGTCTTGTTTCTTCTTTTGATGATTTCTTTTATAAAATAATTTTAATATTTGAAGGCAGCTGTCACGTCTTCCCTTTGCCATTCTATTCATCATGCTTTTTTTTTTTCATAGGTTATTGCATGAGGATCTCTTTAATTTCCTGGTTGTCCCATTTATTCCAGTGCTATCCCATATTATCCATACTCTGAAAATGTGTTATCTACAATGTGGCATTTCCAAGTGTCATTTCACCTGTACTTTTTAAAGTAGGGTGTCATATCTACTCAAATAGGACAACATCTGCTGTTGTCCTATTTATGCAGGGTCGAAAAGTAATGTAATTAAATTTTCCATTTCTCTGAATGTAACATGAATGTGCTTTTAGTAGAAACTAATTTCTCAGAGTTGCTCTGTGTATGCTTTTTTTTTTTTTTCTTTTTTTGGAGATAGGGTCTCACTCTGTCGCCCAAGCTGGAGCACAGTGGCATGATCATGGCTCACTGCAGCCTTGACCTCCTGGATTTAAGTGATCCTCCTGCCTCAGCCTCCTGAGTAGCTGGGACCACAGGTGTGGGCCACCATGCCTGGCTAATTAAAAAAAACATTTTTTAGAGATAGGGTCTCACCGTGTTGTTCAGGCTGTTCTTGAACTCTGGGCTCAAGCGATCCCCCCACCTTGGCCTTCCAAAGTGCTGGGATTACAGGTGTGAGCCACCATGTCTGGCCCTTTTTTTTTTTTTTTTTTTTTTGCGATGGAGCCTCGCTCTTTCACCCAGGCTGGAGTGCAATGGCGCAGTCTCAGCCCACTACAACCTCTGCCTCCCAGGTTCAAACTATCCTTGTGCCTCAGCCTTCCATGTAGCTGGAATTAATAGGTGTGTGCCACCACGCCTGGCTCTTTGTTTTTTTTTTATTATTTTTAGTAGAGACTGGGTTTCACCATGTTGGCCAGGCTGGTCTCGAACTCCTGACCTCAAGTGATCAGCCCACCTTGGCCTCCCAGAGTGTTGGGATTACAGGTGTGAGCCACCACGCCTGTACCTGGCCTATCTTTCATAGGTTATATAAATTCCTTGGTTCCCAGTTTTTGCAGTCTTTTCCAATTCAGTTTAATTAATGGTTAACTGTTTATTCATTATCAAAAAAAGTACAGTGTAATAGATAAGACCATGTTACTATTAGAAGTATGGGTATCATCAAATTAAGATTTTTGATTCTAAAATTATTAGGTTCCAAGACCAAAGATTAAATTAATAAAAGGTGAAGCTGGACAAAATCTGCTGGAAATGATGGCCTGTGACCGACTGAGCCAATCAGGTAATAGTAATATTAAACTAATTTAATTTAAAAAGAAAAAGGAATTTCTGTTAAGGCATATCTTATGATAAAATCTTCATCTGTCCAGGAGATAATTTGTCAAAATTATTTCTTTTTGCCGTATCAGTTAAGAGCAATAGGTATGGAAGAGATGTGAAAAATAGCACATTCTTTAAAAAAATGAATATTTGATATTGTTTGTTCCTAGGTGGAGAGGATTTCTTAACTCTTTCTTTATCTGGCTGCTAGAGCCTCTATCCTGAATATTTAGTCACTTCCTGAACTAAGTATAATTATTGGTTTGCCAACCATTTAACACCAGCTGATTCTAAAAACACTGCTGTGGGGATATAAAGATGAAGAAGATACGGATCTGTCTTAAAGAGCTGAGAGCGTAGGGAGGAAGATAGAAGATATATACTTACCTTATATTAGGCTCTTGGAATTTGTGGATTTTTTCCCCCATTTTTGGCTTGGGATAAATCCTAAAGGTCTGTTGCGTATTACCTGTGATTTTGCTAAGATACAAACTTTAAGGTAGTTAGGTGGCCATTGAATCAAGCAGTGAACTGAAGAAACATAATGCTTTCTATAAGGAGCAGTTTTGATATAAAATTGGATGAATTTTGTAAAGAGCAAGATGTAATATTAAATCAAAGTTATTATAAGCTTTGGTGTATAGTTAGGCTGTTGGCCAGAGCTCACATTGCTCTTTTATTCCATAGCTCACTTTTTTTTGTGGGAGTTAGGCTTTCAGTCCTTAAAGTGACTTTCTACTTTTTTCCTTTTCTCTTTTCCTTCTACCCTTGCAGGGCTCTCATAAGTGCCTTTGCGTGGTGTCACAGTTAGATAAAAATTGCCTGTATTTTTTTTAATGTCTTTGATCTGGGCATCCCGAGGGTGCCTCTGTAAGTGTGCTGAGACACAACTGTGTAGTGGTAACCAAACCTAATTGCCCAGCAGAATTAACTCGAAGGAGGGTTTTTAAAAAAAGTTCAATTGAAATATAATTCATATACCATACGCTTCACCCATTTAAAGTGTACGGTTCAGTGGCTTTTAGTATGTTCATAGAGTATTACCACTGTCACCACAGTCAGTTTTAGAAGATTTTCATCACTCCATGAGGAATTCCTTACCTATTAGCAGTTACTTCCCATTTTACCCAAACCTCTCAGCCTTGGCAACTGCTAATCTGTCTCTGTAGGTTTGCCTCTTCTGAACATTTCACATAAATGGAATCATATAGTATGTGGTCTTTTGTGACTGGCTTCTTTCATTTAGCAAGGTTTTCAAGGTTCATCTGTGTTATAGCATGTATCAGTACTTTATCCGAGACTATGATTTTTTGATTGCTTACTGTAAACCTATGGAATAAAAAACTCTGGGAACGAGGCCTGGAAATAATTCTTTTTTTTTTTTTTCCTGAGACAGAGTCTTACTCTGTCGCCCGGGCTGGAGTGCAGTGGCGTGATCTCGGCTCACTGCAAGCTCCACCTCCTGGGTTCATGCCATTCTCCTCCCTCAGCCTCCCCAGTAGCTGGGACTACAGGCGCCAGCCACCAGGGCCGGCTAATTTTTTTTTTTTTTTTTTTTGTATTTTTAGTAGAGATGGAGTTTCACTGTGTTAGCCAGGATGGTCTTGATCTCCTGACCTCATTATCCACCCAGCTTGGCCTCCCAAAGTGCTGGGATTACAGGCATGAGCCACCGTGCCCAGCCGGAAATAATTCTTAAAAGCTGTTTAAAGGAGGATTCTGATCAGCCAGGTTCAGAAATCAGTGTATCAGATCAGAGAATAAGAGTTTGTCCCTGTTCTCCTATGGCCACTTAAATCCAGACCTTTTCATCTGAAATGCAAATATGTTTGGCATTTTTCATACACATTCCTGTCTTTTTTCCCCCTTCTGCTGTCTTATGTAGATACTGAGAATATTAAACCTGTACTCTTCTCATTTGCTACATAAGCACCGGTTTTGTTGTCCAGCTGTATTTTTTGGGTTGGAGGGTTAGGTATGCAGTAATCATGTTATTTCCCCTTTGGGTATACAAATGAGACAACGTGAGCAAATACAATCTGTAATTTTAAAGTGATGGAAATAACTTAAATTTTTTTTTCAGGGCACATGTTGCTAAACTTAAGTCGTGGCAAGCAAGATTTTTTAAAAGAGATTGTTGAAACTTTTGCCAACAAAAGCGGGCAGTCTGCATTATATGATGCTCTGTTTTCTAGTCAGTCACCTAAGGATACATCTTTTCTTGGTAGCGATGATATTGGAAACATTGATGTACGAGAACCAGAGCTTGAAGATTTGACTAGATACGATGTTGGTAAGTTATATGTTTCAGAGGAAATGGTCTCCGTCTTAATTCTTATAAATTGCCCATAATCTTATTACCCAGAAATAACGACTTAATATTTTCCTGTATTCCTTTTGTGTGTGGGTTGGGCTGGGGGGAGTTTGAATGTGGTGCTGTGGGGGTGGCATGTATTTTTTGTTGTTGTTGTTGTTTTTAAGACCAAGTTTTGCTCTTGTCGCCCATGCTGGAGTGCAGTGGTGCGATCTCGGCTCACTGTAACCTCTGCCTCCCAGGTTCAAGTGATTCTGCTGCCTCAGTCTCCCAAGTAGCGGGATTACAAATGCCCGCCATCACGCCCGGCTAATTTTTTGTATTTTTAGTAGAGACGGGGTTTCATCATGTTGGTCAGGCTGGTCTCAAACTCCTGACCTCAGGTGATCCACCTGCCTTGGCCTCCCAAAGTGCTGGGATTACAGGTGTGAGCCACTGCGACCAGCCTTGTTGTATTTTGAGACAGGGTCTCGCTGTGTCACCTGGGCTGGAGTGTAGTGGCATGATCGTAGGTCACTGATACCTTGAACTTCTGGGCTCAAGGGATTCTCTTGCCTCAGCCTCCTGAGTAGCTGGTACCATAGGCACATGCCACTCGGCCCAGATAATTTTTTTTTTTAATTGGTAGAGACAGGGTCTCCCTTTGTTGCCCAGGCTAGTCTTGAACTCCTAGGCTCAAGTGATCCTCCTACCTAAGCCCCCAAAGTGTTGGGATTAGGCCTGGCACAGTGGCTCATATCTGTAATCCCAGCACTTTGGGAGGCCGAGGCAGGCAGATCACCTGAGATCAGGAGTTCGAGACCATCCTGGCCAACATGGTGAAACCCCGTCTCTACTAAAAATACAAAAATTATCCGGGGGTGGTGGCATGTGCCTGTAGTCCTACTCAGGAGGCTGAGGCAGGGGAATCGCTTCAACCCGGGAGGCGGAGGTTGCAGTGAGCCAAGATCACACTGCTGCACGACAGCCTGGGCGACAGAGCGAGACTTCGTCTCAAAAACAAAAAGTGTTGGAATTATAGGCATGAGCCACTGCATCTGGCCATATTTTTCATCTAAATGGTTGTTTATGTATGATTTATCTTGCTTCCTTCATGAATTCTCTCCCACAGTCTCTGTATTAAAACTATAAATATCACTTTTATTGGCAATATAATCTTTTTTATGAAGTAGTCATAATTTGCTTGCTACTTTCTGTTATTGGGCATCCAAGTTTTCTCAACTTTTCCACTGTTAATAATCATACTCTGATAAAAACTTCAACAAAAAGTGTCTTCATTGCAAGTTATTTCCATAGAGATACCTAAAAACAGAATTAGAGACAAAGGCCATGAACATCTTTAAGTCTTGCAAATTGCCAAAATGACAGAAAGATTATACCTCTTTATGCTTCCAGAAGCACATAACCTTTTCTTTTCTTTTCTTTTCTTTTCTTTTCTTTTCTTTTCTTTTCTTTGAGACAGAGTCTCGCTCTGTCACCCAGGCTGGAGTGCAGTGGCGCAATCTCGGCTCACTGCAACTTCCGCCTGCCAGGTTCAAGCAATTGTCTTGCCTCAGCCTCCCAAGTAGCTGGGACTATAGGCACGTGACACCATGCTCGGCTAATTTTTTGTGTTTTTAGTAGAGACGGAGTTTCACCATGCTGGCCAGGCTGGTCTCGAACTCCTGACTGCGCAGAACCTTTTCAATATTGACTTTCTTGTAGAAAAACAGATTTCTTTACTGTACCGATGGATTAATATAGTGGTGTTCCATTGCTTTAATGACTTAAAGGAAAACCCATCGTTTTGGGGTTTCTTATTAGGTTAGGTGTTCTTTATTTGGCTTTTGTCAGTTGATTTTGGTTTATTGAGTTCTAGTCAGTGTCATTTTTTAAGATGGACTTAAACATTCTTCATCACTACTATTTTTATTAAAATTTCTAGAAATAATCAAGTGAGAATGCATTTAATAAGAACATGAGATTTTGCCTAACATAGAATTCCCTTCAGCTTTGATATAGAAAAGCAGTTATATAATTAAGATATATATAATGTGAATTGTTTATGTTGGCAAAACTAATGGCACAAGGAAAAATTTCAAACCCTTAAGCCAATTTTTTAATTTTATTTCAGGTGCTATTCGAGCACATAATGGTAGTCTTCAGCACCTTACTTGGCTTGGCTTACAGTGGAATTCATTGCCTGCTTTACCTGGAATCCGAAAATGGCTAAAACAGCTTTTCCATCATTTGCCCCATGAAACCTCAAGGCTTGAAACAAATGCACCTGAATCAATATGTATTTTAGATCTTGAAGTAAGCAAAGATTTTAACAAATTAAATATTCTGAATTTTGTTTAATTTTTTTTCTAACTTAACTTTTCCTTAAATAAAACAGGTATTTCTCCTTGGAGTAGTATATACCAGCCACTTACAATTAAAGGAGAAATGTAATTCTCACCACAGCTCCTATCAGCCGTTATGCCTGCCCCTTCCTGTGTGTAAACAGCTTTGTACAGAAAGACAAAAATCTTGGTGGGATGCGGTTTGTACTCTGATTCACAGAAAAGCAGTGTAAGTAGTAAAACAAAAATATTGCTTTCACTTAGTGCGTAGGTTTTACCGGGGATTTAATCCTCATGTGAAGATTTAATTTGTCATGTGACCCATTAACATATATGTATGTAAGCCCTGAACTGTGTATTTAGAAAGCAATTTTAGTAAATTGAACTATTTTTTAGACCTGGAAACGTAGCAAAATTGAGACTTCTAGTTCAGCATGAAATAAACA
Source organism: Homo sapiens (assembly GCF_000001405.40). Taxonomy (NCBI): domain Eukaryota; kingdom Metazoa; phylum Chordata; class Mammalia; order Primates; family Hominidae; genus Homo; species Homo sapiens. The sequence continues at coordinate 108,751,921 of NC_000002.12, forward strand.
CTCTAAGAGCCCAGGAAAAACATGGCCTTCAACCTGCTCTGCTTGTACATTGGGCAGAATGCCTTCAGAAAACGGTGAGTTTTAAAGTATAAGCATTTTTAAAGAACATTACCTTAATTTTTTAAAATCATGAACTTTTTATTGAAAGTTTTTTTGTTCTGAAAACAGCAGCTTGGTCACATTATGACAGATGTGTTTTTTATTGCTGCAAAATAGTTAATGTAGTTAAATATAAGCACTTAGAGGAGCAATGCCTGGCACACAGTGAATGTTACATATTAGCTGAGCTGTTACTGTTATTCCTTAATAATTAAGTTCTGATAATTATTCAGCCTGAAAATTAAAAAAAAAAATTAGCACAAGGCTTTGTAGGTAAGACCATTATAGATCTTTCTATATACTTAAGGTGTGTTTTGTGTCACCATGAGGTGTAGATGGTCAGCCTTTTGAACAAACTGACACTACAGAAGAGGCAGGTTTCAGCTATCTAAAAATGGCAACTGTTAAAAAGTAGTTTGGATTGCTACGTTAGGATGGTATCATTAGAAGCGTTTAAAAGTTGAGTGTAGAGGCCGGGTGCGGTGGCTCACACCTGTAATCCCAGCACGTTAGGAGGCCGAGGCGGGCAGATCACAAGGTCAGGAGATCGAGATCATTCCTGGCTAACACGGTGAAACCCCGTCTCTACTAAAAATACAAAAAAAAAAAAAAAAAAAGAAAAAATTAGCCGGGCGTGGTGGCAGGCATCTGTAGTCCCAGCTACTTGGGAGGCTGAGGCAAGAGAATGGTGTGAACCCAGGAGGCGGAGCTTGCAGTGAGCCGAGATCACGCCACTGCACTCCAGCCTGGGCTACAGAGCAAGACTCTGTCTCAAAAAAAAAAAAAAGTTGAGTGTAGAATGATCACTGGTGTTAAGGTGGTTTAGTTATTACAGTATTTGGAAGTTGAACAAATGACTATTGAGATACCATTTGGTTTTGACTTGAAATTTTAGCCAGTTCTTTCAACTTGTAAATGAACTTTAGATCTAATCATGCGTGTTCCTTAAAGTTGTGTGCTTTTAACTTTCTTTTTTAGGGCAGCGGTCTTAATTCTTTTTATGATCAACGAGAATACATAGGGAGAAGTGTTCATTATTGGAAGAAAGTTTTGCCATTGTTGAAGATAATAAAAAAGAAGAACAGTATTCCTGAACCTATTGATCCTCTGTTTAAACATTTTCATAGTGTAGACATTCAGGTAACAGAGTTCCTTTATGAATTTATTGGAGATGGGAATTTCCAGTTTATAAACAAAGACATAGAGCTATACACTGCTTAAATTAATTGCCTTGTTATTTAATGGTAATCTTGTTTTCTAAATTCACTAGCTCTCACACATAAGATATGACAGAGAAGAATAATGAGATGTTTGTCTCTTAAGATCATATAAAATCTTTGGAAAATCATTTGGGTTTTATATTCTGAGTATAAACAATTTGACTAAAAACTATTCTGTGTGTTTAGGCATCAGAAATTGTTGAATATGAAGAAGACGCACACATAACTTTTGCTATATTGGATGCAGTAAATGGAAATATAGAAGATGCTGTGACTGCTTTTGAATCTATAAAAAGTGTTGTTTCTTATTGGAATCTTGCACTGGTAAGTAGATGCAGTACTTGAGCTAAAAGTTTTATTTATTTATTTATTATTTTTTTAAAAGACGGGGTTTCTCTGTTGGTCGGGCTAGAGTGCAGTGGCACAATCTTGGCTCACTGCAACCTCTGCTTCCCAGGCTCAAGCGATTCTTGTGCCTCAGCTCCCGAGTAGCTGGGATTACAGGCATGAGCCACCATGCGTGGCCAAGCTAAAAGTTTTTTGTTTTAAAAACCTAATGATTTCATAAAAGCACTATTTGTATAGATTTTTCACAGGAAGGCAGAAGACATTGAAAATGATGCCCTTTCTCCTGAAGAACAAGAAGAATGCAAAAATTATCTGAGAAAGACCAGGGACTACCTAATAAAGATTATAGATGACAGTGATTCAAATCTTTCAGTGGTCAAGAAAGTAAGTAGCAGGTTGTTGTATGTACGTTCTTACTGATAACCCACTGGTCAATGTTTTTGCGTTGGTCTTATATTTTGGTAATTTCAAAAATACTCAGTAATATGTTGTTATTAATGCACAGAAGGGATATGTGTGTCTAAATGCTTATATTTGCTTGCTTTGTCTTAGGTTTGGTGTGTCTTTTTAAACTTGGGAATCTAGGTATATGCTCTTAAAAAGTACTTCTTGGGGAATTAGAAAAGATTTCTAAGATAAGACATTGATTTTGTTATCTTAGCAGTGTAATCAAAACAAATATTATAACCTCAGGACTAATTCTTAATGAACTTTGCTGAAATTGAAAGTTGTTGCTGACAACTTAAGAGCATTTCTTCTCATCCTCATCAGCCATTGTGAACGCCCTTGTTTTCTTGCTGTCAGCTGTTTGAGATTGTCATGATGATGTTAAATTATGTTCAGTCTTCTGAGTGTTTTGTTGATTAATTTGTGTTACTACTCTTTTATTAGGATTTATGTTGTCTGGTGTATTGTAGCATCTGTATTTCTGTCACCATTGAAAATCAGTTAGAAAACATCAGTAACTTATTTTGTTCACTTGGAAAAGCTTTCCAAGTTAACATTCCTCTACAATTATCATGGTTAACAGAAGTAATAGAAAGAGCATGGACTTTAGAATCAGAAGATGTTAGATTGTACAACACTTTTCTGTGTTCATGAAGAAAAAAATATAATAAAGGCAAAAAATAATAATAATACAAAACAACAGAAAAAGAAAAAAGATAATTAAAAAACACTTTCACGTGTATTATTTAAAGTGTAAAGTGCCTATTAAAGTGGCAAAAATGTAAATAAGATAAAATATATCATTTTAGAGTTTTTACTTTTGGAATTTTTTGCAAATGAAAGCCCTTAATTAATGTCTTTTATTTTTAGTTGCCTGTGCCCCTGGAGTCTGTAAAAGAGATGCTTAATTCAGTCATGCAGGAACTCGAAGACTATAGTGAAGGAGGTCCTCTCTATAAAAATGGTTCTTTGCGAAATGCAGATTCAGAAATAAAACATTCTACACCGTCTCCTACCAGATATTCACTATCACCAAGTAAAAGTTACAAGGTAAACAGGAAAGAATGGAATCATTTCATTGTGAAATTGTTTCTGTTCTAAGTGTTTTAAATGCTGTTTTGTTATTTTTATTTTTTTTTAGTATTCTCCCAAAACACCACCTCGATGGGCAGAAGATCAGAATTCTTTACTGAAAATGATTTGCCAACAAGTAGAGGCCATTAAGGTAAGTCACTTAATTTCTCTAGCTGTACTTTTTATTCCAAGATTCCTTCCCTGGCCACTCTCTCACTTTTTTTCTGAAGCTGGTCAGAATGTCCCCTTGCCATCCAAATAGTATGGCAAGGGGACATTTTGGTCTTTTTTTTTTTTTTTAAGACAGGGTCTTGTTCTGTTGTGCAGGCTGGAGTACAGTGGTATGATCACAGCTTACTGTGGCTTCGACCTCCTAGCTCAAGAGAGGCTCTTGGCTCAGCCTGCCACGAAGCCAGGACTACAGACAGTCACACGCCACCAGGCCCAGCTAATTGTTGTATTTTTTATAGAGATGGGATTTTGCCATGTTGCCCAGGGTGGCCTTGAACTCCTGGCTCAAAGAATCCTCCTGCTTCAGCCTCCCAAAGTGCTGGGATTGCAGGTGTGAGCCACTGTGCCCAGCCTACATACCTCGGTCTTGACCCTTTACCATATTTTGTTTTGTTTTGTTTTGAGATGGAGTCTCACTCTGTTGCCCAGTCTGGAGTGCAGTGGTGCGATCTTGGCTCACTGCAACCTCCACCTCCCAGGTTCAAGCGACTCTCCTGCCTCAGCCTCCTGAGTAGCTGGGATTACAGGCACCCGCCACCAGGCCCAGCTAATTTTTGTATGTTTAGTAGACACAGAGTTTCACCATGTTGGCCAAGCTGTTTTTGAACTTCTGACCTCAGGTGATCTGCCCGCCTTGGCCTCCCAAAGTGCTGGGATTACAGGTGTAAACCCCCGAGCCCAGCCCTTTACCGTATTTTTGAAAGTACTTTATGTGTCTCTCTCTTCATCTTCCACAAAATTTGAGACCTTCAAAGGTAGAAACTGTTTTATTTAAAATATAAGAGTTCGTGGCACAGAGAAGGTTCCTGAGTGATTGAACTGCTACCATGTACTAATCATACTCTGGTCTATGAGTTCATTCCCAGATTAGCTGTGGATTACATGTGTTTCAAATGTATAGCTAGGAATTGAAAAGTGGTCTGAGCTTCAAAAAGTCTTACTATATTTTAATACTTCCATATGAATTTGACTTCATTATGTAAGGAAATAGTTATGTATATATATCTTATTTTAACAATAGGGTTCAAAGGAGCTTGACTTTTTTGGAATTGGAAATAAAAGTAGGTTCTTTCATGTTTATCAGGCAAGAACTAAATTACTCATACTGCTAAGGTTACATCAAGGATATGCTGATGTGTGGCGATTATTACAGTGTGATCAGCAGTATTTGCAACTTAAGAGAATACTGTGTGGTGGGGAAGACATTTTTGAATTTGCACAAAAATTTTGAATGTTAATTCTGTGTAGTCATGGCCTATGACAATTACATACAATTTTGACTTAACATACAGGTTTCAGGCTCCCAACATTGTATTCTGTGGAAGTATCGTGGAGCACTAATCCATGAGCTTGAAAAGCTTGGTACTAGTACTGACTCTGCCATTAATTAATGATCTTGGGCCAGTCACTTCCATTGTGACTGTTTGGCTTCTTATCTTTAAAATGAGAGAATTACTGAAGCCAGTTCTCATCACACTGAATGTTAAAAATTACAGTTACAGCAGTGATTGCAAATTCAAAGCTCTGGTGCGGATACCAACAGTGACCATAAAGTTTTCTAGGTGATTCCACTAGTTTCTTATTGGATGTGTATGTGTAGCATCTGGACTAGGCACTGTAGATGGATGAGTGGGGGAAATTTTATTTAGCTTGAAAATTGAGATAGTTTTGGACCTCATGGTTAGGTCTTTCTGGGAAATTTTTAATTGAAACACTTGTAGAAAAAGAAAGCAGACATGCTAGATCTGTCCCTGACCTCACTTGTTAGAACTGGTCGGATTCCTGGGCTGATACAGAGAAGTTTGAAACTTTTCAAAATTTACCTGTTTTCTGATACCACTACAATTTCTTTGGAAAAAGAATTTCCTGTTAAGTGTCTGTTTTGTAAGGGGACATTTTGTAGGTTCTAGGGTTGGGTATGGTGCTGTCATTTAGTTTTCTTCAGCAGAGATGAGGTAGCCACATAGCTACACTAGACGGCATTGTATCTATCTGCCATCTTGTCAAGGCAGCAGAGTTGTGTTAAGAAAACATTTTTGGAGTCAGATCTGGTTCAAATTCCAGCTGTTATTCCCTGCATCCGTTTCTCTCATTTTAAGATAGGAGCTAATATTGTTTACCTAACAGTGTAGATAGTATAAAAATTAAGAGTTTAAGTGCATTGGACGTATTATTATATACATAATAAATTCTCTGCAGCTACTACTTTTTTCCCTTTCCTGGTGGAGCATTTGAACATCACCTTGAGAATTAGTTGTATTTTGTTTCAGCATGGGGTTAAGTGAAAAGCTAATTTGGGGAGGTAACGCGGAATGTCAGGTAGTCCAGATTGCAGTGCAGAAAGAACACACTGAAAGGATGGTCAGTGTAATGTTAGAGGACTGTGAAAGTTGAGGAAAGAAGTTTAGTTTGTAGATACTTGTTTTTTTGAGCAGGGAATTGTCTTGGCTGGAGGTGAACGTCAGAAAGGTTAATGTAGGCAAGTGTAGAATGGAAATGAAGGTGTGATCATTTAGGAGGTTATTTGTTTAGGTGAGAGTTAATAAATTAGGTTTTGTATTAATAAATGAAAATGGGAGCAGATAAATTTTTAACAAATTAAGAATCATATTTTAAAATCAGCACCAGGTACCTAGAACTCACTGGCAAATAGAAACTTTCAAAAGATATAATCAGGTCCGGGCGTGGTGGGTCACACCTATAATCCCAGCACTTTGGGAGGCTGAGGTGGTGGGTCACTTGAGGTCAGGAGTTCAAGACTAGCCTGGCAAACATGGTGAAACCCCATCTCTACTATTACACAAAAAATTAGCCAGGCGTGCTGGCTGACGCCTGTAATCCGAGCTACTCAGGGCGCTGAAGTGGGAGAATTGCTTGAGCCCAGGAGGTGGAGGTTGCGGTGAGCCAAGATTGTGCCATTGCACTCCAGCCTGGACGACAGATCGAGACACCATCTCAAAAAAAAAAAAAAAAATCAGTTATTTAAATTTAAAAGAGTAAGTTTCCCCAGCACTGTTTCTGTCATGATATAATTAAATGTTTAAAATTATTTGATTTTTTTTTCTTCCAATAGAAAGAAATGCAGGAGTTGAAACTAAATAGCAGTAACTCAGCATCCCCTCATCGTTGGCCCACAGAGAATTATGGACCAGACTCAGTGCCTGATGGATATCAGGGGTCACAGACATTTCATGGGGCTCCACTAACAGGTGAGCTGGCAAGTGGATAATCGCATATTTTAGTAAAACTACTTTACTTCCCTCTTTTAAGTAGATAACGTGTGAAATCACCTTGTTTATATATGTTTGTTAATATACATGTCAACGTCTGTTTATATGTGACTTCAAAAGCTGTATTTGGTGTTACGGAGATTTTTATAATCCCAAGCAGAAAAAACGAGCCGTATGTGATCACGTGTATATAAAGGCTTAAAGAACACTTAATCCACACCTCAGATGAGCTGAGATGAGATTATTCCTTAAATTGAAAAATGTTAATGAATAGAGTTATGCACTAAGAAATGCTTAATTAAGAACCTACACCTCTGGGGAATTATTTTGATGATAATGATGAGAGGCAGGACGTTATATAGGAAATCTTACTTAATTTGAAATATTATGGTTATATAAAGAAAGAAAAGGAGTTTGGACCTGAATCATACTGGGTTTTTAAGTTCTGCTCTATCACTTACTATAATAGCTGTGTAAGATAACCTGTCTGAAACGTGGAGATAATACTTGCCTTACATAATTACTATGAGCATTTGTGTATGTGCAGGTGGGCGTGGGTGTGTATCAGACATTTATTAGAGTATACAGTAAACAGTTAATGAACTAAGGTTACTAATAGTGTTTACTGTGGGTTGGCTATGTGCAAAAGTGCTTTGTGAATGTAATTTTATTTAATTACAGTAACTTAGAATGGCCGGTACCATTATTAATCCCTTTTTTATAAATAAGGAAATTAAAGAAAGGTTAGGTAACTTACTCATTATTATACAGCTAGTTATTGATAGAGCTGAGATTCACACTCCGGTGGTGTAACTCCAAAGCACTTGCCAGTATAATACATTGCTCCCAGGCAGCGAGAAATAACAAAATTGTTCCTTTTACGTACGACAGACTTCTGAAATGGTAGTAGTAGTAGTGCCCTTTTTTTTTCTCTTTTTAGCCCAGGAAAGATTTAGAATAAAATCTAGTTTAGATGAGCACATTTGTGTGATGGTTCATATAGTTAAGGCAACCCCACTAGCCTTTTGTGATAGTATCTTCTCAACACAAGCAAAATAACAGAAAATCTTTGTGAAATCAAGCTTATTAAATGTCATAAGTCATAGATAAGTATATGAAATGTCTAACGTTCAAACCTTGTTTTCTTAAAACCTTACACATCATATAGGTCCTTGTAAGAGGATAAACAAACCGGCTAGCCTTTCCTGGGGCTTTTTTAGTGATGTGTGCAGTCAGTTATTTGGTGCCTTGTGGGTCATGATTTCCATTTCTTCTGTGTACAGGCATAAAAGATCTTCTGTTCTTATACAAGCATGTAAATCCAACATTCTCATTGTCTCATTTTATTCTTGCAATGACCCTGTGAAATGTGTAGAAGCAGCACATCCTCATTTTACAATTGAGAAACATGGAGACTCCAAATGGATTATTTACAGGTTCACAAAACAGCTTTGTGGCACTGAAAGGGCGAGAGCCAAGATCTCCTGATTTCTGTTCCTGTGTTCATAGATTCTTTTTCCTTAATAAAAGTAAACATATATCAAGATGGTCCTTGTTTTTTAAAAATAAGATGATTAAAATTAAAGATTAATGAGCTCATAGGAGATACTCAGAAGTACTGAACAGGGTGAAGAAAACTAAAAGCTAACCACCTTATTAACATTTCCTATATTTGAGAGCATTTCCTTCTAGTTCTTTCTCTATACATATAGTATTTTTTATGAGATTGTTACCATGTTACTATGTTGTGTGTAGATGAGCTAGCCTGTTTTTTAAATGTTACTTTAGTTCTGAGCATTTTTAAACTTAAATGTTTTTTGAACATTAATGAGTTCATGGTATCCCATCACATGGAAGTACTGTAAATTCTGTTCCTTTATTTATGTTGTTTCTGGTTTATGCCATTACAAATTCTAGGACACTGTCCTAGTTTTATAGGGTATTCAGAATATTCAGTTTATGCTCTTACCACTAGTATCTGATAGTGCCATTTTCGCACTTTGCTAATGCTGACTTACTGGTTTATAAAATCCTTTGCCAATTTGTAGGAACAAAAGTGATATCAATTTTTAAGTTTTTTTAATACTAGTCATGGTCAACAATTCATGCAAATGGCAGTTGGTAGTTTTGCCATCTTCAACGTGGGTACCTCCCAGTTGTTTGGTTTCTTGGTAAAACTCACACAAAACAGATGGAGAAGAGTTTGTATATCAACATGAATGTTAATGTGATTTTTTTAAAGCCCGCGAACACATTTGTGTTCCTTGTGATCTCCTTTGCATGAATTTGTCAGGTAATTTTTTTGACCTGAACATTCTCATAATAGCTTCAGTTTGCCCAATGCAACCTCATCATTTTGCGGATTTTTCAAGGCTCACTTCAAAAACATGTTCCTTGAGGCCTATTAACATTTCTTTCCTAAATTGTCTATTCATATGGTGCTTTTAAAAGTTAGATTACTTTTAGTAGATTTATTAGAGCCGCACAGTTTAGAGTCAGTAGTCAATTAAAGTCCCTACTTAAACTTCAGACTAAGATTTTTTTTTTATTTAATATTTTATTTTTTCTTTTTGCTTTCATGCAGACAGACATCTTGCAAGACTTTAAGATTCTTGGGCCATTTCTGTCAGGTTGTTCTGTGTTCTGTGCCTGCTTCCTCCCCATAGTAATTTCAAAATAGCTATCCTCACCTCTGTAAGGTTTCCAAAATCAAACTTGGGCTTCTGGCTAGCCTTTTCTAGGTCTTGATTTTTCAGTGCTTTCCAGAGGCAATTGTTTGGAACCTCTTGGCACAGTTTCTGTTTCTTTTTCCATGTACAGGCATAAAAGGTCTTTTGGTTGTTTTCTGGTAAAACTATCATAAAACAGTTCAAGCAAATGACTATTGGTAGTTTTGCCATTAACATGGGTGCCTTCTAGTCATTTTGTTTCCTGGTAAAACACACAAAACAGAGGGAGCAGACAGTTTGTACATCAGCATGAGTGTTGATGTGCTTTTTATTTTAAGCCAGGGAACACATTTTATGTTATTTATGACATCCTGTCCATGAATTTGTCAGGTGATTTTTGAGCTGAACATTCTCAGTAATAGCTTTAGTTTACAAAATACAACCTAGTCTTTCTGCAGATTTTCTAGGCCCACTTCAAATGCATTGACCATCAGATGGCATCTTGGTTCCTTACGTCCTTTCTGTGACTGAATGTCCATAATTCCACATCATACTGATCTTTCTTAGAAAAGGCAACAGTTACTTTCTTCTTTATTCCTTTTTTAATGCTTGTGAGGTAGTTGTTCTTGTTGATCACAGCAATGCTATTCTCTTATTCTTCATGTCATATTTAGCAGTTTTTTTCTAGTTTGTCATTTGATAATCTTGATTGGTGTATTTTGATGTACAGAAATTTAAAATTTATGTAGTTAAATCTTTCTTTAATTTCTATTGCCTTTGTATTTATAGCTCTTGCCTAGATAGTCTTAACTGTAGTATAGACTTTAACAGTGTTTTCTTTATTTTCTTTTTGTTTTTTTAGTTGCAACTACTGGCCCTTCAGTATATTATAGTCAGTCACCAGCATATAATTCCCAGTATCTTCTCAGACCAGCAGCTAATGTTACTCCCACAAAGGTAACAAAGGAATAATTTATACATTTATAATTATTTCCTTTTTAAATTGTTTAGGGTTCCTTCAAATAAATTCAAGAGAGCAGTTCACTATTAAAACTTTTATGTCCCTTAAAATGTAGATATTTTAAATTTATCTCCAAATACAGAAATTATCCTTCTTAGTCACCTTATTTTTGTGTTAATAAGTGTGAATATTTAGAATATTTTAAAAATGGGAGTGGTGGTGGTGGATCCTTCATCGTTCTGTTTTAACAGAAATAGAACTGTAATGCCCTTGCTGACCCACTATGTGGTAAGTACTTTCAGGCCTGATACAGCTATATATATAACAATTGATTGAAGACTCAATATTACAGTGGTAGTTGAATGTGACAGCTTTGAGGACAGAGTGTTGGGGTGCATTTAGACCCTTGCTCTTCTGCTTATTTTGACCACAGGCAAGTTTCTTAACCTCTCAATGCATCAGTTGCCTCATATGTAAAATGAGGATAATAATAATACCTTAATTCATAGGGTTTTTGAGGATATTAAAATGAGATAATAATGTAAAGTGCTTAGAACAGTGCCCAGCTGGCACATTAATAAATGCTCAATAAATGTTACCATCATCATCATCATCATCATCATCATCATTAACATCATTTGATAAATTAGGAATGAAGAAGGTATTTATTTTATGACTTTAGCTGTAGATTTTAAGATGCTATACATAATTTTCATTATATGCCAAGTATATATGCAAGTATCTTTGTAGTAATGTGGTTTTCTCTTAACCTACTTATGCCTAGTGCTCCATTATTGGAACACTAAGCTTATGGGAGTTATTTATATCCTACTGCTCAAGGTCATTGCCAAGGTCTGATTTTTCACACAGAAAATTTGCAGCCTCTGGCATAAACGGGTTAATGATGTGTACTACATCCCCTAATGAGATCTTCTTCACTTCATATTCATGTTTGAAGTTTGTGAGAATTGGTTTGCATTTAGTTATCTGTAGTTTTGTAGACAATCTACAAAATGTTTTAACTTTCTGTCTTTTAGGGCCCAGTCTATGGCATGAATAGGCTTCCACCCCAACAGCATATTTATGCCTATCCGCAACAGATGCACACACCGCCAGTGCAAAGCTCATCTGCTTGTATGTTCTCTCAGGAGATGTATGGTCCTCCTGCATTGCGTTTTGAGTCTCCTGCAACGGGAATTCTATCGCCCAGGGGTGATGATTACTTTAATTACAATGTTCAACAGACAAGCACAAATCCACCTTTGCCAGAACCAGGATATTTCACAAAACCTCCGATTGCAGCTCATGCTTCAAGATCTGCAGAATCTAAGACTATAGAATTTGGGAAAACTAATTTTGTTCAGCCCATGCCGGGTGAAGGATTAAGGCCATCTTTGCCAACACAAGCACACACAACACAGCCAACTCCTTTTAAATTTAACTCAAATTTCAAATCAAATGATGGTGACTTCACGTTTTCCTCACCACAGGTTGTGACACAGCCCCCTCCTGCAGCTTACAGTAACAGTGAAAGCCTTTTAGGTCTCCTGACTTCAGATAAACCCTTGCAAGGAGATGGCTATAGTGGAGCCAAACCAATTCCTGGTGGTCAAACCATTGGGCCTCGAAATACATTCAATTTTGGAAGCAAAAATGTGTCTGGAATTTCATTTACAGAAAACATGGGGTCGAGTCAGCAAAAGAATTCTGGTTTTCGGCGAAGTGATGATATGTTTACTTTCCATGGTCCAGGGAAATCAGTATTTGGAACACCCACTTTAGAGACAGCAAACAAGAATCATGAGACAGATGGAGGAAGTGCCCATGGGGATGATGATGATGACGGTCCTCACTTTGAGCCTGTAGTACCTCTTCCTGATAAGATTGAAGTAAAAACTGGTGAGGAAGATGAAGAAGAATTCTTTTGCAACCGCGCGAAATTGTTTCGTTTCGATGTAGAATCCAAAGAATGGAAAGAACGTGGGATTGGCAATGTAAAAATACTGAGGCATAAAACATCTGGTAAAATTCGCCTTCTAATGAGACGAGAGCAAGTATTGAAAATCTGTGCAAATCATTACATCAGTCCAGATATGAAATTGACACCAAATGCTGGATCAGACAGATCTTTTGTATGGCATGCCCTTGATTATGCAGATGAGTTGCCAAAACCAGAACAACTTGCTATTAGGTTCAAAACTCCTGAGGAAGCAGCACTTTTTAAATGCAAGTTTGAAGAAGCCCAGAGCATTTTAAAAGCCCCAGGAACAAATGTAGCCATGGCGTCAAATCAGGCTGTCAGAATTGTAAAAGAACCCACAAGTCATGATAACAAGGATATTTGCAAATCTGATGCTGGAAACCTGAATTTTGAATTTCAGGTTGCAAAGAAAGAAGGGTCTTGGTGGCATTGTAACAGCTGCTCATTAAAGAATGCTTCAACTGCTAAGAAATGTGTATCATGCCAAAATCTAAACCCAAGCAATAAAGAGCTCGTTGGCCCACCATTAGCTGAAACTGTTTTTACTCCTAAAACCAGCCCAGAGAATGTTCAAGATCGATTTGCATTGGTGACTCCAAAGAAAGAAGGTCACTGGGATTGTAGTATTTGTTTAGTAAGAAATGAACCTACTGTATCTAGGTGCATTGCGTGTCAGAATACAAAATCTGCTAACAAAAGTGGATCTTCATTTGTTCATCAAGCTTCATTTAAATTTGGCCAGGGAGATCTTCCTAAACCTATTAACAGTGATTTCAGATCTGTTTTTTCTACAAAGGAAGGACAGTGGGATTGCAGTGCATGTTTGGTACAAAATGAGGGGAGCTCTACAAAATGTGCTGCTTGTCAGAATCCGAGAAAACAGAGTCTACCTGCTACTTCTATTCCAACACCTGCCTCTTTTAAGTTTGGTACTTCAGAGACAAGTAAAACTCTAAAAAGTGGATTTGAAGACATGTTTGCTAAGAAGGAAGGACAGTGGGATTGCAGTTCATGCTTAGTGCGAAATGAAGCAAATGCTACAAGATGTGTTGCTTGTCAGAATCCGGATAAACCAAGTCCATCTACTTCTGTTCCAGCTCCTGCCTCTTTTAAGTTTGGTACTTCAGAGACAAGCAAGGCTCCAAAGAGCGGATTTGAGGGAATGTTCACTAAGAAGGAGGGACAGTGGGATTGCAGTGTGTGCTTAGTAAGAAATGAAGCCAGTGCTACCAAATGTATTGCTTGTCAGAATCCAGGTAAACAAAATCAAACTACTTCTGCAGTTTCAACACCTGCCTCTTCAGAGACAAGCAAGGCTCCAAAGAGCGGATTTGAGGGAATGTTCACTAAGAAGGAGGGACAGTGGGATTGCAGTGTGTGCTTAGTAAGAAATGAAGCCAGTGCTACCAAATGTATTGCTTGTCAGAATCCAGGTAAACAAAATCAAACTACTTCTGCAGTTTCAACACCTGCCTCTTCAGAGACAAGCAAGGCTCCAAAGAGCGGATTTGAGGGAATGTTCACTAAGAAGGAAGGACAGTGGGATTGCAGTGTGTGCTTAGTAAGAAATGAAGCCAGTGCTACCAAATGTATTGCTTGTCAGTGTCCAAGTAAACAAAATCAAACAACTGCAATTTCAACACCTGCCTCTTCGGAGATAAGCAAGGCTCCAAAGAGTGGATTTGAAGGAATGTTCATCAGGAAAGGACAGTGGGATTGTAGTGTTTGCTGTGTACAAAATGAGAGTTCTTCCTTAAAATGTGTGGCTTGTGATGCCTCTAAACCAACTCATAAACCTATTGCAGAAGCTCCTTCAGCTTTCACACTGGGCTCAGAAATGAAGTTGCATGACTCTTCTGGAAGTCAGGTGGGAACAGGATTTAAAAGTAATTTCTCAGAAAAAGCTTCTAAGTTTGGCAATACAGAGCAAGGATTCAAATTTGGGCATGTGGATCAAGAAAATTCACCTTCATTTATGTTTCAGGGTTCTTCTAATACAGAATTTAAGTCAACCAAAGAAGGATTTTCCATCCCTGTGTCTGCTGATGGATTTAAATTTGGCATTTCGGAACCAGGAAATCAAGAAAAGAAAAGTGAAAAGCCTCTTGAAAATGGTACTGGCTTCCAGGCTCAGGATATTAGTGGCCAGAAGAATGGCCGTGGTGTGATTTTTGGCCAAACAAGTAGCACTTTTACATTTGCAGATCTTGCAAAATCAACTTCAGGAGAAGGATTTCAGTTTGGCAAAAAAGACCCCAATTTCAAGGGATTTTCAGGTGCTGGAGAAAAATTATTCTCATCACAATACGGTAAAATGGCCAATAAAGCAAACACTTCCGGTGACTTTGAGAAAGATGATGATGCCTATAAGACTGAGGACAGCGATGACATCCATTTTGAACCAGTAGTTCAAATGCCCGAAAAAGTAGAACTTGTAACAGGAGAAGAAGATGAAAAAGTTCTGTATTCACAGCGGGTAAAACTATTTAGATTTGATGCTGAGGTAAGTCAGTGGAAAGAAAGGGGCTTGGGGAACTTAAAAATTCTCAAAAACGAGGTCAATGGCAAACTAAGAATGCTGATGCGAAGAGAACAAGTACTAAAAGTGTGTGCTAATCATTGGATAACGACTACGATGAACCTGAAGCCTCTCTCTGGATCAGATAGAGCATGGATGTGGTTAGCCAGTGATTTCTCTGATGGTGATGCCAAACTAGAGCAGTTGGCAGCAAAATTTAAAACACCAGAGCTGGCTGAAGAATTCAAGCAGAAATTTGAGGAATGCCAGCGGCTTCTGTTAGACATACCACTTCAAACTCCCCATAAACTTGTAGATACTGGCAGAGCTGCCAAGTTAATACAGAGAGCTGAAGAAATGAAGAGTGGACTGAAAGATTTCAAAACATTTTTGACAAATGATCAAACAAAAGTCACTGAGGAAGAAAATAAGGGTTCAGGTACAGGTGCGGCCGGTGCCTCAGACACAACAATAAAACCCAATCCTGAAAACACTGGGCCCACATTAGAATGGGATAACTATGATTTAAGGGAAGATGCTTTGGATGATAGTGTCAGTAGTAGCTCAGTACATGCTTCTCCATTGGCAAGTAGCCCTGTGAGAAAAAATCTTTTCCGTTTTGGTGAGTCAACAACAGGATTTAACTTCAGTTTTAAATCTGCTTTGAGTCCATCTAAGTCTCCTGCCAAGTTGAATCAGAGTGGGACTTCAGTTGGCACTGATGAAGAATCTGATGTTACTCAAGAAGAAGAGAGAGATGGACAGTACTTTGAACCTGTTGTTCCTTTACCTGATCTAGTTGAAGTATCCAGTGGTGAGGAAAATGAACAAGTTGTTTTTAGTCACAGGGCAAAACTCTACAGATATGATAAAGATGTTGGTCAATGGAAAGAAAGGGGCATTGGTGATATAAAGATTTTACAGAATTATGATAATAAGCAAGTTCGTATAGTGATGAGAAGGGACCAAGTATTAAAACTTTGTGCCAATCACAGAATAACTCCAGACATGACTTTGCAAAATATGAAAGGGACAGAAAGAGTATGGTTGTGGACTGCATGTGATTTTGCAGATGGAGAAAGAAAAGTAGAGCATTTAGCTGTTCGTTTTAAACTACAGGATGTTGCAGACTCGTTTAAGAAAATTTTTGATGAAGCAAAAACAGCCCAGGAAAAAGATTCTTTGATAACACCTCATGTTTCTCGGTCAAGCACTCCCAGAGAGTCACCATGTGGCAAAATTGCTGTAGCTGTATTAGAAGAAACCACAAGAGAGAGGACAGATGTTATTCAGGGTGATGATGTAGCAGATGCAACTTCAGAAGTTGAAGTGTCTAGCACATCTGAAACAACACCAAAAGCAGTGGTTTCTCCTCCAAAGTTTGTATTTGGTTCAGAGTCTGTTAAAAGCATTTTTAGTAGTGAAAAATCAAAACCATTTGCATTCGGCAACAGTTCAGCCACTGGGTCTTTGTTTGGATTTAGTTTTAATGCACCTTTGAAAAGTAACAATAGTGAAACTAGTTCAGTAGCCCAGAGTGGATCTGAAAGCAAAGTGGAACCTAAAAAATGTGAACTGTCAAAGAACTCTGATATCGAACAGTCTTCAGATAGCAAAGTCAAAAATCTCTTTGCTTCCTTTCCAACGGAAGAATCTTCAATCAACTACACATTTAAAACACCAGAAAAGGGTAAGTACTTTGTTGTTAAAGTTAAGCACAATTTTTCTTTCTTTTAATGTTTAGCTTGATGCAGACTCTTTGTAGGATACTAATGTTGGGATATAAATGATGCTTTGTGAACACCCCCAAAATATTTGAGCAATTTTTTTTCTCCCTTAATAAGTTCACGGTGAGGTTTCAAAGAGCAAGAGAACTTAGTTTAAGACATTTCAGTAACTGGAAGATACTTTTATCATGCTAGGGCAGAGCAAAAGAACTCGGTACGGTATACGGACTCATGCTTGAATCATGCACATTAACGTGAGTCTTTTTTTAAAGTGTTCATTTTCATTTGTTCAGTTTCTTTTGTCACTCAGAAAACATGATATTGAGGCTGGGCACGGTGGCTCACTCCTAGAATGCCAGCACTTTGGGAGGTTGAGGTGGGCAGATCACTTGAGCTCAAGAGTTCGAGACCAGCCTGGCCAGCATGGTGAAACCCTGTTTCTACTGAAAATACAAAAATGAGCCGGGCGTCGTGGTGCGTGCCTATAATTAGCAGCTACTTAGGAGGCTGAGGCAGGAGGATCACTTGAGCACAGGAGATGGAGGTAGCAGTGAGCTGAAATCATGCCACTGCACTCCAGCCTGACTGAGTGACTGAGACTTTGTCTCCAAAAAAAAAAAAACAACGTGATATTGAGATGTTCTCATTTTATATGTTGTATGTCAGTCTTGCTCATGTATTAAATGAGCAAAGAATGAAACTACAGGGATAAATGAATATGTAAGACAATCAGATTGGTGGTATAAATTGAGGGATTCTGGCTTTTTATGTTTTAAAAGCATATTCATTTTGTTTCCTAAAATGTTAAAAAACGAAATATTCTTTATTTTCTAGGATTTAATTTTAGCCTTTTTAAATCTAATCCCATGGCCTTTTGGACTAGCACCCCTTCCTCACAGCCTGAGAGCAAAGGTATAGAACTAGCATTCTCAGTATGAGATAACAGCAGTTTTTAGCAGCTGGGTAGCCCTTAGCAAAGTATTAATAACTGTGGCTGTATGAAATGAAGTACTTACCACTACAACATGCATGTTAAAGAATGCCAGTTTAAGCAAAGTACCTTTTGACTGGTGGCATGACACCCTTGTTGGTTTGTTTTTTAAAATGTACTGGGATGCTGATTTGTAATGTACTTCATTGCTCTGCTATTTCAGGTCTGCTCAATGAAGACCTATGTTTTATCTAATGTTTATGTTTAGCCACTAACGTCTGCCAGTATTCAAATGTAGTGGCAACGGCATGTATACAATATGGAAGAGTGTCCCTGTAGGGCTGTTCTTTTGTGCATGGTTTAGAAAAATGTTGTATTTGAAAATGGACCCCGTTTTTAACAGCCAGCATTCTACAGCTTGCATATTATATATGTTGCACCGATCAATTTTAGAAGTGTGGCTACTAGAGTGGAACAAGAAGTGGGATCTGTTGAAGGCCTTCAAGAACAGGTTAGGGAAGTGAAATCTCACCCTTAGTGACCAGTAACACATCTTAGCCATGCCAAACAAGTACAATGATAAAGTAGCAATCTCTGATTTTTTTTTTTAAGTATACCAGTTTTATTACTAGCTAAGGTAGCTCTTAATCTTTTATTTTTAAAGATACGGTCTTTGAGAAATGTGAAAAGTGTTAACTTAAAAGTGGATGTATACTTGCGTACAGTTTCTGTGAGCTCTAGGTTAGGAATCCCTGACCTAAGAATGAATGTGCCTATATACTACTGTAGAACATAGAGCCTTATTTTGTTTTGAATCTGATAATGTCATTGTCCCAAGGGACCTTAGAAATGAAGACTTTAGACATGAGTAAACTGAGGC
Source organism: Homo sapiens (assembly GCF_000001405.40). Taxonomy (NCBI): domain Eukaryota; kingdom Metazoa; phylum Chordata; class Mammalia; order Primates; family Hominidae; genus Homo; species Homo sapiens. The sequence goes on from NC_000002.12 coordinate 108,770,237, forward strand.
CAAGAGAGGCTATCTGATTTACCCAAGGTGTCTTTACTGAGTAATAGCAGAAGTGGAACAAGAATCTGTATCTTACGGTGTACTGTTATTTCTCCTAGCTAGAAAATGATACTAAGTTTTTGTTTATAATGAAGGAGAGGGACAAATTTAACATTGTAAAAGGAAGGGCACTGGTTCTGCAGAGCAGTGTCATCCAGTAGAAATAAAATATAACCTGTGTATGTAATTTAAAATTGTCATTTGGTGCAATGGCTTGTGCCTATAATCCCAGTTACTTGGGAGGCTGAGGCAGAGGGATCACTTGAGCCCACAAGTTCCAGGCTTTAGTGAACTGTGATCACATCACTGCACTCCAGCTCTGGGTGACAAAGCAAGACTGCATCTCAAATAAATAAATAAATAAATAAATTTTCTAGTAGCCATATTAAAAAGAATAAAAAGAAACAGTTAAAAAGGGAAACAGATGAAAGTAACTTTATTGATAGATTTGATTTAACTTATGTCCAAAATATCATTTTAACTTCTAATTAATATAAAAATTAATGATATTTTACATTATTGTTTTTCACCAAGTCTTCAAAATCCAGTGTGTGTGTTTACACTTACTGTTAGCACGTCTTGATTTGGACTAGCCACCTTGTGAGGTTTTAATAGAATGTGGCTAGGCTACCATATTGGACACCATAGCTCTCAGAATGTTTCCCTATCACTAGTTGGTATACATGGCATGCTTCATGACTGGCTTGCTTTATTAAACTCCTTTAGCCAGAAGTTCAGAACAGGTTGCATATAGAAGTTTTTTCTCTTTCTAATTTTTTGCCCTTTGCATTGATGGTGGCTGGGGATGGGTTGTTTTTAGCCATATGAATGGTCTTAGATTTTATAGTGTTAGCTACCTATAGAGTCACAGTTGTTATTTAATTTTACTTAGTATCATGCTTGAACATAGGCAAACTAGATGCAACTCTAGTCACCTTCCATTCTTGGCAATTGTTAACTTTCCTTACAGAAACTAATCACAGTTGGCTTTGGATTAGTTTCATATGTATAGTAATACTTGCCTATGTTTTAAGATTTTTTTCAATTGCTGCAAATGCATGGATATTTTGGTAAACTATTGTATGCTAAGTATAGTTAGGCAACACTTTAAAATTTTTAACCTTTATAAATTCTAGAAATTTATAGTAATTCTTTTCAATGACTATTAAGTAAACACAAATTTTTTTTTGTTTTCTTTGGTTTTAAATAGATTCTGTGTTCACTTAGGGTTTTTGGTAGAACACTAAATCAGGATGCTAATTCTAGTTCATGATTATCATACATCTCTGCATCAAAGTATATGTGTTTTTTATCAGTATGCTGTTTTAACCTATAGATAGGTTCCATGGTTTTTATTTTCAGTTAGAGTATTAACGTCAATACTTAATACCTTATCTTTGTCAATTTTTTTGACTGGTGTTACAGCAAAAGAGAAGAAAAAACCTGAAGATTCTCCCTCAGATGATGATGTTCTCATTGTATATGAACTAACTCCAACCGCTGAGCAGAAAGCCCTTGCAACCAAACTTAAACTTCCTCCAACTTTCTTCTGCTACAAGAATAGACCAGATTATGTTAGTGAAGAAGAGGAGGATGGTAAAACTTTTGTTATTTCAAAAATCCTCTGTTCCCGCTAATCTTAGTAAAATTGGGAGTATGGTTTAATTATTTTAAGCCTGCCTCTTAGAACTTATCACTAATATCCTTGCAGGTAGATATTTACCCTAAATGTATGTGTAAATGGTCAATGGATATAGTGATCAAAAGGACTGCAATCATTAAGCAAGCATTTTTTGGATGGCTAATGTGCCAGGCACGTGTTTTGAGGGGATTTAAAATAATTATAATTTTGCTGGAGTCTTAAAGATGTGGAAGAGAGAGAGAAGGCGGACAAGGTTCCAGTGGAAAACTTTGTATGCAGTAACAGTTTTTAAGCTGGACAGTTAAATAAAAGTCTCAATAGAATCAGTTGGACAGTGGTATATAGTATTGGGTTATGGGACAAGGAGATCGGAAGATGAACTAAAATGAGAGCAGCTCAAACAAGATGAGAGGCTGAGCTAAAGCTCTAGCAGAAAGAGAGGTATTAAAGATATAAAATTGGCTGCAATTCAGATGTGGAGAGTGAGAAATGGTGAAGTTGGAGGTAGTCCCTAAGCAAGGAAAACCCCCCAAAATTAACTAGAAATTCTTTTAATCAATTGTATTTTAAGATGAAGATTTCGAAACAGCTGTCAAGAAACTTAATGGAAAACTATATTTGGATGGCTCAGAAAAATGTAGACCCTTGGAAGAAAATACAGCAGGTATGTTAAGTGTAAAGGACATTTATAATGCTTTTAACAAGTCTTCTATTTAGAAGGAATAACCTAGTCTGATAATTTCTATAATTATCGATTTTACGATGCCCATGGTGATTTAAAAAACTTAAAACTAACAGGTGAAAATATTCTTTTCTGGGTGGTCCTTGTTTTTCATTAGTATGTACAGGTCTTGTTACCTGGGTCTGTGGATTATGTTGATGACTACCATTGTTGTAGAGAAGTTGGGCTTCATCTAATTTCGTTTGCTTGTGTTGTACTGATTTTTCAGATAATGAGAAAGAATGTATTATTGTTTGGGAAAAGAAACCAACAGTTGAAGAGAAGGCAAAAGCAGATACGTTAAAACTTCCACCTACATTTTTTTGTGGAGTCTGTAGTGATACTGATGAAGACAATGGAAATGGGGAGGACTTTCAATCAGAGCTTCAAAAAGTTCAGGAAGCTCAAGTAAGAACATCTCTAATAAATTTTCCTTCTAGTTCCATTGCCTTTGTTGATGCAGTAAACTTTAGAATGTTCTTATTTATTTATTTTTGAGACAGAATTTTACTCTTGTTGCCCAGGCTGGAGTGCAATGGCATGCTCGTGGCTCAATGCAGCCTTCATCTCCCAGGTTCAAGTGAATCTCCTTCCTCAGCCTCCCGAGTAGTTGGGATTACAGGTGCCTGCCACCACGCCTGGCTAATTTTTGTATTTTTAGTAGAGACGGGATTTCGCCATGTTGGGCCAGGCTGGTCTCGAACTCCGGACCTCAGGTGATGCGCCTGACCTAGAATGTTCTTACCAAATAATAATAATGGGTTGTGGCTACTAAATGGGTTTAAGGGTCTAGACTAATCAGCTATGGCCAGGAAAGAAGGAATTTTAATTTTGTTCTACACAGGGGCTATATGCCAAAAGCTACAAAACACTGATGAAATAAAAAATCTAAATTAATGGAAAGGTATATACTGTTTATGGATTGGAAAACTCAAAATAACTAGAATATCAATTTTCCGAAATTGATCTATAGATTTAACACAACACCAGTCAAAACCCCTCCAGGAATTTTTTTTTTTTTTGGGGGGGGATGGAGTTTCGCTCTGTCGCCAGGCTGGAGTGCAGTGGGGCGATCTCTGCTCGCTGCAACCTCTGCCTCCCAGGTTCAAGTGATTCTCCTGCCTCAGCCTCCCAAGCAGCTGGGACTACAGGCATGCGCCACCACGCCCAGCTAATTTTTGTATTTTTTTAGTAGAGACAGGGTTTCACCATGTTGACCAGGATGGTCTCAATCTCTTGACCTCGTGATCCACCCACCTTGGCCTCCCAAAGTGCTGGGATTACAGGCGTGAGCCACCGCGCCTGGCCAGGAATTCTTTATGGATGTACACAAGTGAATTCTAAAATTTCTATGGTAAGAAAAGATTGTATATTTGTTACAGTTGATGAATCTACATTGACACATCATCACCTAATGTTTTTACCTTTTTGTCAAAAATTTTTAACTATTGATACAATCGTGATTTTTATTAAATCTGTGAATGACATTGCATTTTCAAATGTTCAGAAAACTAACTTTGCATTCCAGCGTAAACCTCACTTGGTCATGGTACAATTTTGTTATGTGGTTGCATTCAATTTGCATAAATCTTGTTATAAATTTTTGGGTTTATATTTATCAGGATACTAGTAGTTTTCTGATACTGTCTTTGGTTTCCATGTAAGAGTAATGCTGGTTGGGCTCAGTGATATGTGTGTGTAGTCCCAGCTATTTGGGAGGCTGAGTAGGAGGATTGCTCGGGAGTCCAGGAGTTCCAGGCTGCAGTGCGCTATGATTGTGCCTGTGTATAGCCACTGCTCTCCAGCCTGGACAACAACATAGTGAGACCGCCTCTTAAAAAAATGGTAATACTGGTATCATAAAATGAATTGAGAAGTATTTTCTGTATTGCTGTTTTCTGGAAGAGACTTGGTTGTTGACTTGGTGCCATTTTCCCTTTAAATGTTGAGCAGTTTTTACCAATGAAACCACGTCTGGAGTTTTCTTAAGTTTTAAAAAACACTATTGATTTCTCTTCTTTATTATTTCCTTCTTGCCTTGGATTTTGCACTTTTTTTCTAGTTTCTTTTTTTTTTTTTTGGCTTTTGAGACAGTCTCGCTCTGTCTCCCAGGCTGGAGTGCAGTGGCATGATCTCAGCTCACTGCAACCTCTGCCTCCTGGGTTCAAGCAATTCTCATGTCTCAGCCACCCGAGTATCTGCGATTATAGGCGTGGCTAATTTTTGTATTTTTAGTAGAGACGGGGTTTCACCATGTTGGTAAGGCTGGTCTTGAACTCCTGACTTCAAGTGTTCCTCCTGACTTGGCCTCCCAAAGTGCTGGGATTGCAGGCATGAGCCACTGGGCCCGGCCTAGTTTCTTAATTTAAAAAAAGCTTAAATTATGAATTTAAGATCATTCTTTATTTCTAGTATAAGTATTTAATTCTATAAGTTTCCTTCTAAGCACTTCCTAGCTGCAACTGGCAAGTTTTAATATGTGATATTTTCTCTTTCATGCAGTTTGAAATATTTTATTTTCCTTGAGACGTTCTTTTTGATCTGTACGTTAGATGCTACTGTGCCATTTCCAAATATTTGGTGATTTTCCTTCTGTATATCATTCTCTTATTGATTTCTAGTTTAATTCCTTTATGGTTTATGAAAATATTTTGAATAATTTCAGTTCTCTTAAATGTTGTGAGGTCTGTCTTGGTGAATGTCTTCTGTGCACTTGAGAAGAAAGTAGAGTCTCTTTTTTTGCTGACATTGTGCCATTGGCAGTTCCAGTTTTTTTGGGCTGCTGTAGCACCCAGGCTGGGTTACAGGAGTGGCAGAAAAACTCCGTGTGGATCTTAACCTCCAGATTATCTCTCTGGTCCCAAGATCCTTATTCTTCCTGTTTTTATCCACCTTTCTAAGGCTTCTTAGAGGTGCTCTGTATGTTTCAGTGTAGGCATTTAGTTATAGGTTTTGAGGAGAGATAGGGTGAAGTGTGTTTATTCTATCTTCTCCAGAAGCCCAAGTTCTCAATTCCCTTTGAAATAGATTATATAATCTGTTTTGTAAATTAGCATTTAAGTGGCATAGTATTTTGTGACTTCCTCTTTGCAGAAATCTCAGACAGAAGAAATAACTAGCACAACTGACAGTGTATATACAGGTGGGACTGAAGTGATGGTACCTTCTTTCTGTAAATCTGAAGAACCTGATTCTATTACCAAATCCATTAGTTCACCATCTGTTTCCTCTGAAACTATGGACAAACCTGTAGATTTGTCAACTAGAAAGGAAATTGATACAGATTCTACAAGCCAAGGTAAATCTTGATATATGTTTATCATGTGTTACATAAGGGACACCTTATATTTGAGAAGATAGACTTTTAAAGGCTGATCCTGAAAACTCCCTTTAAAACACATTTTGATATGTATAAAGGGGCATCTTAGTAGTAGTAGTAATAATAACCAGAAAAATTATACTGTGTTGCCAACAAATAAACATGTTTTTATTGATAGAGTTGTGGTTATTAGGGAATACAAAGCATTATGATTCTGACCTATTTTCCTGAGTTTAAAAGACAATAGTGTTGTTACATGTAATTTCCTTTGTGATAGTGTTTTCATTTAAATATTGTTTGAATTATATTATCACTCAAGCATATTCAAAGTGTTTTAATTATGAAGGAATTGTAGAAATATTACGGATTTAAGAAAGTTTTATGGTACTACTTAAATGTTTCTTATTTTCTCTAATACTTTTAAAGCTTGTTAAATTAATTATTCAGTTACAGTAACATATTTGGTATTGCTTTCTCTCTTTTTCATTTCGATTTTGGGGATGGAAGTGGGAAGTTTAAGTTGTATTGCTTTGTGTACCTTACCTACTTTTTAAAAATAGCCTTCAGTGTCACAAATATTACATTTATAGGCATTTGAGAGTCTTAATGTGCTAAAAGAGGAAGACGACTTCATACCTAAAACCTCATACATTTTCATATGAGGAAAATAAGGCATGGGGCTTTCAGAGATCATGCAGCTTCACATTAGCAGAATTAAGAGAAGACCGCAAAAGTCCTTATGACGAAGTGTAAATGAGACATTTGGTTTTTATGAGCTTATTTATAGTACAGAACACAAAAAGTTTTTATACAGATGTTTCCTAAAACCCTGCCTTTGACTGAATGCTTGCTTTAGAGTATAGTAGGCTCCATAGAGCAGAAACTGTAGTTTAATATCTGGCTTAATATAGATAGCTCTCCTTCTCATTTATAAAAAATAATTTTTGGCATGCATTTGGTGTAGTATTGTAGTATTCTTTGTGAATAGCACCTGTAAAATTAGTAATACTGAAGTAGCTCAGAATTGGATGTATTTTGTAACTTGACAGAATTTAAATAACTCCCCTCATCCCAGAGTATACAAGTCTCTACTGTTCTCTCTAGGTCCTGGGGTAAAGCTTTGATATTCAGCACAAATTAAATAGTAAATTGTTCTTTTTTTCTTTTGCCAGGGGAAAGCAAGATAGTTTCATTTGGATTTGGAAGTAGCACAGGGCTCTCATTTGCAGACTTGGCTTCCAGTAATTCTGGAGATTTTGCTTTTGGTTCTAAAGGTAAGATCAAGAGGAGAGACTTTTAATGACATTGTTACAGAATCAAGCACAACTGAAAAACTAGTTTTTTGTTGCAGTATATAACTAAGTTAGAAGTTTCTTCCCTTACCCCCCAGTTTGTTTTAGTGTTTTAATAATGAAGGGCTTCTACACTTTATTTTTTGACGTCAATATAATCTTAAGAATTTTCTCTTAATTTTATATAAGCCATGCTGATAGTCCTCCCCATTCTGAAATGCAGAACCATTTTTGAGCTTTGGAATGACTCTGACTTTGATCCTTACTCTTTTAACTATACTTTCATATGTGATTTGTTAATATTTCAGGTTTTGTGAGTTTATACTTTTTAAGGATATGATTTTGTAGTTTTCTTTTTTGTACTATCTTTGGATTTCAGTATTAGGGTTGTGCTAATTTATTGTGCTAAGTTTATAATTGGTGTGCTTGCCCATCTTCTTTAGTGGAGTTTCTATTTTTAATCCATTTTGGTAACATTTCTAGAAAAGAATCCATTTCCCTGATTGTATCCGGTTTACTAGTGTAAGGCCATCCATTATATTTTTTCATTCTTGTAATATCTTTCACATTGCTCTTTATAGCACCCCTTAAATAGTTCTAGTACAAGGTGTTTGATTTATGGAATACATTTTATTGAGGATATGTGCTTAAATGATTAATGCAGTTCAGAATTCTGTTCTTTCCTCCTCTATATTTGCACTTTTTTCACAGCTCCTGCCACCTAGAAACACATAAAACTTTTAGAAATTACCTTCAGATGTGATGTTATGTTGGAATTCATGGCTTCACTGATGTCGTTTATTTTTAATTTATGAAATAGCCTGAAATCAAAGGGTAATGTGTCAGTAAATAAGCAATATAGTAGGTACACTTACACAAAAAAAATCCCAAAAAAATAGATAGGCTCCTTGTTACTCAGTGTAGCCTCTTTGAAGTATTATGTCAATATTGGACACTAAAGTGAAAAGTAGGCAGTACTCACATATCGGGAGGAAACCATGCCTAAATAAGCCTTATGCATTAACATTCACTTCTCACTACCACTTGTCATTTTTATTCACCAAGCTCTTGTGTATTGAATGCTTACTTTAGTTAATTTAGATTGTGCTTGTTAAAAATAGTATTTGAAACTGTAAATGCCTTGCAGTCAGTTTTGTTTGTATCCACAGGTTTTCATAGGGAATCTTTATACTTTTGTAAATTTCCAGATAATTTAGAGTTTCAATCTTATTTTCTCTAATGTCTCAAAGCTTGCCAAATTAATTATTCACTTACAGTAACATTACTGTAGGCCCAGTTATGACCTGTGAGACCCAGATATTGATATATTACAAATACTTTTACAAGTGGGTGATTCTAATGTGTTCCCAGGGTAGAGAACCACTATTTTGAAATAATTTTGAATTCTTCTGCCACATGTCCCTTGGGGTTATTTTTTAAATTTTTGCTTTTGGCAAAAAAGTTGCTGAACAATTTTGTTTTTGTTTTTGTTTTTGAGACAGGATGTCACTCTGTTGCCCAGGCTGGAGTGCAGTGGCATGAACACAGCTCACTGCTGCCTTGACCTCCTGGGCTCTAAAGCAATCCTTCCACCTCAGCTTCCCAAGTAGCTGGGACCACAGGTGTGTACCACCATGCCTAGCTAATTTTTACATTTTTTGTAGAGACAGGGGTCTCACTATGTTACCCAGGCTGGTCTCAAACTCCTGGGCTCAAGCAGTCCTGCCACCTTGGCCTTGCACAGTGCTGGGATTGTAGGCATGAGCCACTGCACCTGGCCCTGAACAGTTATTTTTGAGCCCCCAAGTTGGTATCTCATCCAGATCAGTGGTTACTGTTCTCAGGAAGTTCCCATGCAACCTGTGGCTTTTGTTCTCAGATCATTCCTTTGCAATATGTCCTTAAGAATTTTTGTCTTTCTGTCTCTTTTTTTTGAGACGATCATTCTGTTGCCCAGGCTGGAGTGCAGTGGCGCAGATCTCAGTTTACTGCAACCTCTGCTTGCTAGGTTCAAGTGATCTCCTGCCTCAGCCTCCTGAGTAGCTGGGATTACAGGCATGCACTGCAACACCCCGCTAATTCTTTTAGTATTTTTAGTAGAGATGGGGTTTCGCCATGTTGGCCAGGCTTGTCTCGAACTCCTGACCTCAAGTGACCAGCCCGCCTCGGCCTCCTAAAGTGCTGGGATTACAGGCATGAGCCACCACACCCGGCCCTCTCTCCTCTTTAAAAACATTTTTTTTTCCCCTCCATTAAATCTGTCTGAAAGAGAGTTGATTTTTTATTGTGTTCTTTAAGGTACTGAGTTATGTATCCTGTGACATTTTTTCTTTTTCATGAGAGTTTTTAGCAGAAGGTGTAGGGTTCTTTAAGACAGTGATTCAGCAAGTGATAAAAAGTTGAGAGGTGTTTCTTTCCTCTAAGATAGTGGGGACTTGGTCATCTAAATTGAGGTATGGGATGGAGAAGTTTCTAGTTTTCACCTTCTTGCAGGTATGCGAGAGTGAGACCATCATTGTTCCCCCATACAGAAGTAGGATGCTTAACAATCTAATACCCTTTGGGCAGTTGAAGTCAGTGAGATTCTCCCAAGGCTGCTTTCCACCAGCCCAACCAAGAAATCTACATTCCAGCATTAGCTTCTTCAGGAAGAAGTAGAGATGCAGAAATTATAAACATGTTTAGGCCATTGTGGCTAATTTGGAAGTAGCAGGTTTGGCCTGCTGAGCTAAGTTTACAAAATTTCAAGGTGGGTACTTGAAATTTTAGAAGTAGGTAAAAAGAACCTACTTCTTTACTTGGAAGTCCTTGTGTAGTTTAGTATTAGGAAGTTTATCCAAGGCAGTGACAGTCTTATCTTTGTATCGCTAAGCATAACAATAATAAATGTACTCTGTACTCAACAGTATGAGTTGAATTTACTAGCTTTTTTTTTTTTCCTTTTTTTCCTTTTTTTTTTTGGTGACAGAGTCTTGCTCTGTCACCCAGGCTGGAGTACAATGGCACGATCTCTGCTCATTGCAACCTCCGCCTCCCAAGTTCAAGCGATTCTCCTGCCTTAGCTTCCTGAGTAGCTGGGATTACAGGCACCCGCCACCACGCCCGGCTAATTTTTTTTTTTTTTTTTTTTTTAAAGACAGAGTCTTGCTCTGTCGTCCAGGCTGGAGTGCAGTGGGGCGGTATCTGATCACTGCAACCTCTGCCTCTCAAGTTAAAGTGATTCTCCTGCCCCAGCCTCCTGAGTAGCTGGGATCAGTCACCCATGACCACACACTGCTAACTTTTTTTTTTTTTTTTAAAGACAGAATCTTGCTCTGTTGCCCAGGCTGGAGTGCAGTGGGGCAATCTCAGCTCACTGCAACTTCTGCCCCCCAGGTTGAAGCGATTCTTCTGCCTCAGCCTCTCAAGTAGCTGGGACCACAGGCGCATACCACCACTCCCGGCTTTTCTTTTCTTTCTTTCTTTCTTTTTTTTTTTGAGACGGAGTTTCACTCTTGTTGCCCAGGCTGGAGTGCAATGGTGCCATCTTGGCTCACCGCAACCTCCGCCTCCTGGGTTCAAGCGATTCTCCTGCCCCAGCCTCCCGAGTAGCTGGGATTACAGGCATATGCCACCATGCCTGGTTAATTTTGTATTTTTAGTAGAGACGGGGTTTCTCCATGTTGGTCAGGCTGGTCTTGAACTCCTGACCTCAGGAGATGCGCTCACCTCGGCCTCACAAAGTGCTGGGATTACAGGCGTGAGCCACTGCGCCCAGCCTAATTTTTGTATTATTAGTAGAGATGGGGTTTCACCATGTTGGCCAGGCTGGTCTCGAACCCCTGACCTCAGGTGACCTCGGCCTCCCAAAGTGCTGGGATTACAGGCGTGAGGAATTTACTAGAATAATATAATTTTAAACATTTAAAATTGATGTACATATTACATCATCAGGAATTAGAGGGATTGATAAAATAAGAGGGGGATGAAAAATGTAAAAAATAGATACTAGTGTTTAAATATCCTGATTTATTCATCAGATAAAAATTTCCAATGGGCAAATACTGGAGCAGCTGTGTTTGGAACACAGTCAGTCGGAACCCAGTCAGCCGGTAAAGTTGGTGAAGATGAAGATGGTAGTGATGAAGAAGTAGTTCATAATGAAGATATCCATTTTGAACCAATAGTGTCACTACCAGAGGTAAATGTTAAGGAATTAACCTTTTACTAATAACTTATTTTTCATTTTTAAGTTTTACCCTGGCTTGATCTGTCAGGGTATAATTGTTTGCATTTAAGAATGTTTACTGTTTGAAATGGAAGCTCTATTTATTAGATGTCTAGCCTTTAAGTATAAATTATCTTTTTACAGTTTTTACATAAATATTGGTTTGTAAATTCTATATGTAATTATTGGTAAGAAATAATTTTTTCTTATGTTTCTAGAATATCATGTTTGTTTTTATAACATGATTCTGGGGAAAAATTAACCTCATACTCACTAAAGTCCTTTCAATAAATGTTAACCTTGTATGTTTTTTGGACAAGAACATTGTTCTAGGAAAATTACTTTGTCATTTTTTAACCTCAGTCAGTAGCTAATATTTCTCTTCAGTAGCAAACACTTTTGAAACCTCTCTGTCCTATAAAGAAAAGCATTTAATTTCCAAAGGGAAAATGAATATTATATAAAAGAAAATGTTTAATGATAAATCAGGTCTTTACTCCCTCAGCCAAATCAGATATATTCCTAGCCCTAAGATATATAACCAGTTATCACATTAACAAATTCTCTTTGTCATCACAAAGAAAATGCCTTAAAAGAATTTGGATCTTTGAAATTTGTCATGGAATTTATTATAAGCAGCAGCTTATAGAGAATTTCATCTCCTATTATAGGTAGAAGTAAAATCTGGAGAAGAAGATGAAGAAATTTTGTTTAAAGAGAGAGCCAAACTTTATAGATGGGATCGGGATGTCAGTCAGTGGAAGGAGCGCGGTGTTGGAGATATAAAGATTCTTTGGCATACAATGAAGAATTATTACCGGATCCTAATGAGAAGAGACCAGGTTTTTAAAGTGTGTGCAAACCACGTTATTACTAAAACAATGGAATTAAAGCCCTTAAATGTTTCAAATAATGCTTTAGTTTGGACTGCCTCAGATTATGCTGGTGAGTTTTTACATTCAAATGCTACTTTTCATTTTTTGGACTTTTCTAAAATCTATAACAAACAAAACAACTTATAACAGTTATTTTAATACTAAGGTCACTGCTTCCCCTTTCCCTCCCTGCCAGATGGAGAAGCAAAAGTAGAACAGCTTGCAGTGAGATTTAAAACTAAAGAAGTAGCTGATTGTTTCAAGAAAACATTTGAAGAATGTCAGCAGAATTTAATGAAACTCCAGAAAGGACATGTATCACTGGCAGCAGAATTATCAAAGGAGACCAATCCTGTGGTGTTTTTTGATGTTTGTGCGGACGGTGAACCTCTAGGGCGGATAACTATGGAATTATTTTCAAACATTGTTCCTCGGACTGCTGAGAACTTCAGAGCACTATGCACTGGAGAGAAAGGCTTTGGTTTCAAGAATTCCATTTTTCACAGAGTAATTCCAGATTTTGTTTGCCAAGTAGGTATTATTAAGTACATACCACAATTGAGGTCTTGAAGAGTGCACCACACTAATGGGAAATTTGAGTGTTTTTCCTTGACCTCATCCTGTAGTTTTGTTAAAGATTTCTTTAGGTTTTCCACACATGGAATCACATGGCATCACTACCCATTCCCTGCTCCTGCCTAAAACTTTCAACCTAAAATAATTGAGGCTGGGCACAATGACTCATACCTGTAATTCCAGCACTTTAGGAGGCCAAGGCAGGCAGATTGCTTGAGCCCCGGAATTTGAGACCAGCCTGGGTAACATGGCAAAAATCTCGTCTGGACAAAAAAATACAAAAATTAGCCAGGTGTGGTGGTGTGCGTCTGTGATCCCAGCTACAAGGAAGCTGAGGTGGGAGCATCCAGGAGGCCAAGGCTGCAGTGAGCTAGGTTTGCACCACTGCACTCCATCCTGGGCGACAGAGTGAGACAGCCTGTCATTAAAAAAAAAAAAAAAAAAAAAAAAAAAAATCAAATTTTCAGTACTTGAGATCTAGTAGAAACTAAGGGATGGGAAAAACCTTTTCATTTTTCATCTTCTTTCCAACAATATGAATTTCTTAGTTTTCAAACTATACTCAGGAAAGCTGGGCTTTAGGATTTAACATGTAGTGATGAGTTCTGTGTGTATTTTAATATTTTACTCAGGATTCCTATTAATTGAAAAAAATTTTTAACTTTTTTATTATAAATCTTTTTTTCAGGGAGGAGATATCACCAAACATGATGGAACAGGCGGACAGTCCATTTATGGAGACAAATTTGAAGATGAAAATTTTGATGTGAAACATACTGGTCCTGGTTTACTATCCATGGCCAATCAAGGCCAGAATACCAATAATTCTCAATTTGTTATAACACTGAAGAAAGCAGAACATTTGGACTTTAAGCATGTAGTATTTGGGTTTGTTAAGGATGGCATGGATACTGTGAAAAAGATTGAATCATTTGGTTCTCCCAAAGGGTCTGTTTGTCGAAGAATAACTATCACAGAATGTGGACAGATATAAAATCATTGTTGTTCATAGAAAATTTCATCTGTATAAGCAGTTGGATTGAAGCTTAGCTATTACAATTTGATAGTTATGTTCAGCTTTTGAAAATGGACGTTTCCGATTTACAAATGTAAAATTGCAGCTTATAGCTGTTGTCACTTTTTAATGTGTTATAATTGACCTTGCATGGTGTGAAATAAAAGTTTAAACACTGGTGTATTTCAGGTGTACTTGTGTTTATGTACTCCTGACGTATTAAAATGGAATAATACTAATCTTGTTAAAAGCAATAGACCTCAAACTATTGAAGGAATATGATATATGCAATTTAATTTTAATTCCTTTTAAGATATTTGGACTTCCTGCATGGATATACTTACCATTTGAATAAAGGGACCACAACTTGGATAATTTAATTTTAGGTTTGAAATATATTTGGTAATCTTAACTATTGGTGTACTCATTTATGCATAGAGACTCGTTTATGAATGGGTAGAGCCACAGAACGTATAGAGTTAACCAAAGTGCTCTTCTCTAGAATCTTTACACCTCCTGTGTGGTTACAAGTTAACTTTGTAAGTAGCGTACCTTCCTTCCTTAAAATATCTAGCTTCCTGTGCCCTTTCATAGATATTCGATTAATTTTTACATTTTAAACAAGTTGACTATTTCCTTTAGGGGTTTTGTTTCAAACTTTTCTGTCATCTGTCTCTACTACCTCAGAAACTGCAGCTTGGTTCTGATGATAGAAATTGAATTTTTCCTTGTAGTTATTGTGATAAAGTATGAATATTTTTAGAAAGTCTATACCATGTTCTTTCGTTAAAGATTTGCTTTATACAAGATTGTTGCAGTACCTTTTTCTGGTAAATTTTGTAGCAGAAATAAAATGACAATTCCTAAGAGCCACTGACATCCAAAAAATTCATTACTTACGCTTCGGGTTCATTCTAAAGTAAGGAAGACAATTTAAAGGCAGTAAATTCAAACTGCTGCATAATTTCCAGAGCTCCTAGTTTCTCAAGTTTGATACACACCAAAAACGTATTTGGAAATGGCTTGTATCAAATGTTAGGCAAATTGCTAAAGAAAAGAGGATGTTCTTATTGGCCTACTCAATATGGAACTACAAAGAATCCAGGTAGAACACAAAATTTTGTATATTGCAATTATGAATATTGACTGTCTTCCACCCATCTGTGTTCTTTCGGGTGAAATTACCTCATTTTATTTAGTGAGGAAAGACAGGTTTATTCCCTGTTACATGGGGATTTGGAAATTGGGTATCCTAAAGCAAGTAACTGTTCAACCACCAGTCAAAAGAGGGGAGGGATGTTGTGCGAGTAATGAGTGATGGTATACCATCACCATTCCACTCGGCCACAAAGCCAGATACTTGAAATAAACCTACTCCAAATGTATCAGTTCAGTCTTGAACCATGGATTACATATGTTTACACTAAATATTTCAAATTGGCTTATTTGGAAATCTATGTAATATAAACTGATGTAAAGTGTGTTGTAACTTTTCAGCTGAGACAGTTGATGCCTTCGTCATGATTTTAGAATAAATTCTTAAGTTAATGCAAGTGCTTTTTAAGAGACTTTTTACAGATTTGTATGCTTTCCTAAAGCACTAAAGTTACAAATTAAAAAGCTTTAAAAACTTTGACCAAAAATTTGACAAAATGACATGTAAACTGACTTTTCCCGTATTAGTATTCCAAAGATGCTTAAAAGTGGCTTGTGGCATTTATGAGAAAGTCTTTGTGTCACATTTCAGGAAAGGACTTTGATTTCTCTTTGTTATTTAATCACTGATGTGGTCTAAACCCACGATAATATGTATCTTTCCTTTTAAACTGGATTTTATGTTGTCTCATTAAAATCTGCTTAAAGATAGAATAAAATTCATTATTTGTACATCTTAAGTGGTACTTTATGGCAAAAAGTATGGCCTAAGTAATTTTCAGATAATAACTGCTGAAGTACAGATTTTATAAAACTTGGGCATTTGGGAACTTTAATCCAGAGAATTTAGGAGTTGTTAGTCCAGAGATGCAGCTGACAGTCACAATTTAGAAAGTAAAAGATTACACCACTGTAATTTTATGAATGAGAAAAATGAAGTGGTTGTACAGTTCCCCTCAGTCAGTTTTGTTTAACATAGGTTTTCAGGTTGATGTATACTATGTACTATGGTTAGCACTGTTGTAGGTATTGGCAAAAGCTTTTTTCTTTTCAAAAAAAAAAAGTTTTTTTTCCAGGGTGCTTACATTCTAACTATTCTTTTTAATACCCTGTTATACCCCATATGGAACACAGGGAAAGTGAGGTAATCTGCAATGTCTATGCTCAGCTTTCCCTTTTTTTTTTTTTTTTTAACTTTAAGAGATGGGAGTCTTGCTATGTTACCCAAGATAGATGTAACTCTCAGGCTCAAAGCAATGCTCCCGCCTCAGCCTCCTTAGCAGCCGGGACTACACGCGCGCCACCACTCCCGGCTCAGATATACTCTTGGTTTTTCTTTTATATGGCAGTTAGCAAAGGTCACTTCTGATGGAACGACCGGTCTATGTGGTGAGCGCAACGCACACCAAACTTAACAGGTTAAATGGAGCTGGAGCGGAGCGCTGCAGGCAGGTGCGGGGCCTCGGTGCCCCTCAACCCGTGGCACCCAGGCAGCCGGGGCAGGACTATCGCGGGGAGATGCAATACTACTCAGTTACGAGGTGTGTAGTGCTAGCACGAGAAACTTGGAGGACGCGCTGACAAGCCGGGCTGCAGTCTCCGGGTCGCCCCGCCCCGCCCTTTCCCTGCCGCCGTGCGTGCCTCGGGGGGGCGGGGTCTGGCACGTCGTGACGCACTGCGGCCGCGTAGCGCCGCGGGTTTGATGAACGCGGTTCCCGGGGAGACTGGTACGGTTGCTGTGTGCTATGGAGCCGAGGGTCGTCAAGCCACCGGGGCAGGATTTAGTAGTGGAGAGTCTCAAAAGCCGCTACGGACTCGGGGGCAGCTGCCCCGACGAGGTGAAGCCGCCGCCTGAGGTCCGCGGGTGGGCTCCTGCTGCTGGGGGGCGGCCCGCTCCGTGCCCCGCGCAGCCGGCCTGGGGGCGCGCAGCGGCTCTGGTCCCGGCCCCGGCACTCCCGCCGTGGCTGCGGCTTGGGCCTCGTGGAAGCAGGCGGGAGGGGCGGGCGTTGCGCTGCGGGGGTGCGGGGGTGCCGCTTCACCTATGCCTCTGTGTTCCTGGTATACTGGGCATGGTGTGGTGTTGGAGAAAGTGCTATTCAGCTTTTTTTTGCAGTGATGTGAGTGGAGTTGTGAAAACAATTGAATTGCTTTTTAAAAGCGGCTTATTTCGAAATAATTTCGGACTTACTCAAAAGTTGCTGCAGTATTACCAAGAATTCCCTTGTACCCTCACTTGCATTCACAAATTAATATTTTGCCACATTGGCTTTACCATTCGTTCTCTCCCCTTCCCTCCCTACAAACGCATTTTTTCCCTTTGAACTATTTGAGGGTGATTTGCAGGCATCATGCCCCTTTACCTCTGAATAGAAATAACTTGTGCATTTTTCCTAAGCATAAGGACGTTGTCTTTTAATAACCACAGTAATATTTTCAGGAAATTTAGAATTGGTATAATATTTGGTAATCTAGAGTTCATAAGAAATTTCAGCAATTATCTCGATAAAACCTTTTATAGGAAAATTTTTTCCTAGTGCAGATCCGACCCAAGAACGAGCATTGATTGTATTTGATTGTCCTTTTTGTTGCCTTTAATCTGGAACAGGTTCACAGCCTTTGTTTTCTGTAAGGTTGTTTTTTTTTTGAGAAGTGTAAGAATTATTTATTGGATTGTTTCTCCGTTTGGGTTTATCTTATAGATGCTTCTTCGTTAGATTGATTATGCATTTTTGGCAGGAGCATGAGATGAGTGATGTGTGGCCTGCTGTGGGGAGGAACATGACGTTGGTTTGTCACATTATTGATGATATTAGTTTTGATCACTTGGTTAAGATGGTGTCTACAAGATTTCTCCACTCTAACCTTTGTAATTAATACATAATTTGTGGGGAAATATTTTGAGACAGTAAATTGATTTTTAGTATACAAATTAAATCTTTTCTTTTTTTTTTTAGTATGATTTTTCAAATTTTTATCAGTCTAAGTATAAGAGAAGAACTCTAACCTCCCCAGGTAAGCCGGTATTTTGTATATTTGGGGGTTTCAAAAATTTAATTTGAGGCTGGGCGCGGTGGCTCACGCCTGTAATCCCAGCACTTTGGGAGGCCGAGGCAGGCGAATCACCTGAGGTCAGGAGTTCGAGACCACTCAGGCCAACATAGTGAAATCCCGTCTCTACTAAAGATACAAAAAATTAGCCGAGCATGGTGGCGGGCGCCTGTAATCCCAACTGCTGGGAAGGCTGAGGCAGGAGAATCGGTTGAACCCGGGAGGCAGAGGTTGCAGTGAGCCGAGATGGCGCCACTACACTCCAGCCTGGGCAACAAGAGCGAAACTCAGTCTCAAAAAAGAAAAAAATAGGCTGCGCGCGGTGGCTCACGCCTGTAATCCCAGCACTTTGGGAGGCGAGGCGGGCGGATCACGAGGTCAGGAGATGGAGACCATCCTAGCTAACACGGTGAAACCCCGTCTCTACTAAAAAAAATACAAAAAATTAGCCGGGTGTGGTGGCGGGCTCCTGTAGTCCCGGCTACTCAGGAGGCTGAGGCAGGAGAATGGGGTGAACCCGGGAGACGGAGCTTGCAGTGAGCCGAGATTGCGCCACTGCACTCCAGCCTGGGTGACAGAGCGAGACTCCGTCTCAAAGAAAAAAAAAGAAAAAAAAATTTGAGAGAGAAGATTTTAAAAATAGTATTATTTAGACTTATGGCCAGTGCCAGATATTTTGTGATATATTGTTGTGGTAATCTTTCATGGTTTCTTTGTCGTTGACAGGTGATTTGGATATCTACTCTGGAGATAAAGTTGGTTCATCGTTAAAATATTCTGATGAAAGCAAGCATTGTAGAACACCATTGGGCAGCTTATTCAAGCACGTAAATGTGAATTGGTAAAGTACCCTGAAACTTTACTGTTGCTACCCCCTCAGTATCTCAAAAAACTGAGAAAGAGAAAAGGGCAGGTTATATTTTTGCTCTTTCCTGAGGACAAGTATGAGGACAAGTATAAGGCAGTCTGGAGCCTGCTAAATAGTTGAAGCGAGTCACTTATTAATTTTTACTGAGAATCTCTGTAATAAAAGCATAGACCTAGCATTATATTTAGTGGCATAATGGAAAGTTATTTATATAATGTAAAAGATGAAAAAATATATTTTTATGGTTATTCATTCAGGACCCAAATGAAGACTCTGCTCCCTTTCTTTAAAAATTTTTTTTTAGAAAAGGAACTATGGGCCAGGTGCGGTGGCTCACGCCTGTAATCCCAGCACTTTGGGAGGCCGAGGCGGGTGGATCACCTGAGGTCAGGAGTTTGAGACCATCCTGGCCAACATGGTGAAATCCCGTTTCTACTAAAAAATAGAAAAATTAGCCAGGCTTGGTGGTGTGCGTCTGGAATCTCAGCGACTTGAGAGGCAGAGGCAGGAGAATCACTTGAACCCGGGAGGTGGAGGTTGCAGTGAGCTAAGATTGTGCCATTGCACTCCAGCCTGGGTGATGAGCAAAACTGTCCTGAAGAAAGAAAAAACGAACTACAAAAAAAACTGCCATACAGGTTTTGTTAGGCAGCAGCATTTTACTATCTCTGGTGTGTCTGGTATTGTATGCATTGTATTTAGGTGATTGAGAGAGATTGAAGAAGGTGGTCTGGGGAGATGGTAACTACAGGGTATGTAGGATACAGTGCTGGGTTAAAAGAAGTTGCCGTTCTGTAAGGAAGATACTATTTACTATGGGGAAAAAATATAAAAACAGTGGAAGCTAAGGTAAAATAAAGATCTAAGTTGGATATTATTTAATGCTAAAAATATGTGGCAGAAAGAAATGCTATGGGTATCAAGAAGGAGTAAGCATTTTGAAATAAAGATGTATCCATATATAACATGAAATGTTGAAATAATTGTGGAGAGAAAAAATAATTATGCCTAAAGTATCTGTATGTTACATAATTAGTATTTGGGAGCTTGACTTTTTTTAATACAGTTTTCTCTTTCTCTACTTAAATAAGTTAATCTGTGTAACACACTTTGAACAGTTCTGGGTAAATAATAAGTACTCAAATGTTACCTATTATCATTATTATTACTATTTCATGTTGCACTCACAAAATCTAGTTGATCTAGATTTAGGATTTAGACATGAGCTACGTTGAATGTAGGGTAAGGAAAGTGAAAATTGCTTTTAAGGTAATAATTATAAATTTATGGAAATTATTTTCTTTTTAACTGAGTTTTATCATTTTTTATATAATGACCTGGGTATAACTCTAAACTATAATCTAAAGGTTTTGGACTATGAAGGTTTTCATAACATTGGACCCCTAGTTGTGATCTGGTCTGAAACTATGCTGTCCAGCACAGTAGCAACAGGCCACATGTACCTATTGAGTACTTGAAATGGGGCTGGTCTGAATTGAGATATGCTGTAAGTGTCATATACACACTGGCTTTCTAAGACTTAGCATAGATAACAAAAATTAGCCGGGCATGGTGGCGGGTGCCTGTAGTCCCAGCTACTCGGGAGGCTGAGACAGGAGAATTGCTTGGACCCGGAGGCAGAGGTTGCAGTGAGCCGAGATCGCGCCACTGCACTGCAACCTGGGTGACAGAGTGAGACTCCGTCTCAAAAAATAAATAAATAGGCATGGATAAAATAATGTAAAATATCTTAATTTTGTGTGGGTGTATGTGGGTTTGCAGGGGGCGAGCCTGTTGCCCAGGCTGTGAGTGCAGTAGCATAATTGTAACTCACTGTAGCCTCCAACTCCTGGGCTCAAACGATCCTCTCACCTCAGGCTCCTGAGTAGCTGGGACTACAGACGTGCACCACTACTCCCAGCTAATTTATTTTATTTATTTTTCTTTTTGTAGAGACAGAGTCTCACTGTGTTGTCCAGGCTGATCTTGAACTCCTGGGCTCAAGAGATACTCCCACTTCGGCCTCCCAAAGTGCTGAGATCACAGGCGTGAGCCACCATGCCTGTTCTATCCTAATAATTTTTAACATTGATTACATGTTGAAATGATAAACTTTTAGATATATTATATTAACTAATATTTTTAAAATTTATTTTTTTAACGTGCTACTAGAAAATTTTAAATTACCTATATGACTTGTGTTATATTGCTTTTGAACAATACTATTCCAAAAATTTCAACTCAGATTGTCTTTTTGGAGACAACACCTGGAATTCTAGTTCTGCTCCACTTTCTACTCGTTATGTCACCCATCAGTTATTTGACTTACTTAGGTTTAGTTTACTTATGTATATTATTTTAGCTAAAACTACCTTATAGATAACAGATTATTGGGAGTCAAAATAAAGTGTTCCTTAGCTGTAGAATATACCACAGGTAGGTATATGTCATTTTAAATTAAGTCTATTTAATGTGTAGAAAAAGATGCTTGTAGTGGGTTATCAAT
This sequence comes from Homo sapiens, assembly GCF_000001405.40. Taxonomy (NCBI): domain Eukaryota; kingdom Metazoa; phylum Chordata; class Mammalia; order Primates; family Hominidae; genus Homo; species Homo sapiens. Next base: position 108,791,500 of record NC_000002.12, read on the forward strand.
GATCAGTGACTGTTAGTTTTTACGTTTTTTCTTTTTACATGTTTACATTTTGCAGTTTAAAAAATGTTTTTACATTTTTTCTCAGTTATGCTGTTAATATTTGAAAAGCAGTTTTATCTTTTTAAAGTGCTATAGTAAACTTCTAGATTGCTGTGATACAATTATTTTTTTAAAGCCTAGATGATGAACTGGATTCTTTCCATGATTTGAAGAAACAGGAAACAGAAGAAGAGTTAATTGAAAATGATTATAGAGTTAGTACCTCGAAAATAACCAAGCAGTCTTTTAAAGAAATAGAAAAAGGTAAAATAAATATTTTAGAACAATCAATTCAGTAGTAACTTTGTCAAGTAGAGTAAATGAAGCTTCCCTCCTAGTAATAACACTGGCCCCCAAGAGTTTGCATATTTCTGTGTTCTGAACTTCTGTAAGCTAGGAGATAGTTACTGTGCTTATTATTAAACTAAAGGAGCAGAGAAAATTAAACTTCATTATTTTTCAGTAATATTCCTGTACCCTCAAAATTTATCAAAATAAGTTAATAACTGAGTAGATGATTGTGGTAGTATTTGACTACAATATTTTGAGAAAATACTCCAGATTATTTGAAGTATGGATTTCTGGGCACTGAACTGCCAGCAGTTTTCTGTGTATCTGGCTGCATTTCATAGTTGTGGCGGGATTTCAAGGAATGAGACAACCAGAAATGGCACCCTTCACCCTCTGGGCTACAAGACTTTGAGTTGCCCTGTTGATAATACTGGTGCTGGTATTATGGTCTACACACAACAACATTCATTTTCCTCTTTTCCCTCTCCTTTGTTTTCCTTTGTCCCATTATTCTCATCATTTGAGGAAGATGAAAAATAATTCTGTCGGGACTTGAGTTTCCTGCTATATGGTCGATTTTCCCAGTGGAAAACATGGGATAAGGTATAAAGAAAATGTTGCTTGTATTCCATTAAAAGTAATGGCAAAAGCCACAATGACTTTTGCACCAACCTCATATTTGAAAGTAGACAAAATTAAGAAATGCTCGGGCCAGGGATTGGTGAGTCGGGAACCTAGACAGGCAAGTAGAGCTCTGTGAATGTGCCTTTCACTTTTAGGGCATTTGCTGAACTGAGTGAAGTGAAGCTTTTCATTTTAAAAAATTCATACTATGTTTTATTTTTACTTCTCCGTTGTCTGTTCAAAATGGAGTATAATGGAAGACACACCCCCCTCCTTTTTTAAAGCTGGGGCTTCCATGAGTCTAGTGCAAGTTAAAACCACTGAGCGTCGGCCAGGCGCGGTGGCTCACGCCTGTAATCCCAGCACTTTGGGAGGCCGAGGCGGGTGGATCACGAGGTCAGGAGATCGAGACCATCCTGGCTAACACGGTGAAACCCTGTCTCTACTAAAAATACAAAAAATTAGCCAGGCATGGTAGCACGTGCCTGTAGTCCCAGTTACTCGGGAGGCTGAGGCAGGAGAATCACTTGAACCCGGGAAGCGGAGGTTGCAGTGAGCTGAGACTGTGCCACTGCACTCCAGTCTGGGCGACAGAGAGACTCTGTCTCAAAAAAAAAAGCAAGGCCGGGCACGGTGGCTCGTGCCTGTAATCCCAGCACTTTGGGAGGCAGAGGTGGGCGGATCACGAGGTCAGGAGATCCAGACCATCCTGGCTAACACGGTGAAACCCTGTCTCTACTAAAAAAAAAAATAACAAAAAAATTAGCCGGGCTTGGTGGCTGGCCCCTGTAGTCCCAGCTGCTCGGGAGGCGGAGCTTACAGTGAGCCGAGGTCGCGCCACTGCACTCCAGCCTGGGCGACAGAGTGAGACTCCGTCTCAAAAAACAAAACAAAACAACAACAAAAAAACACTGACCGAGAGCATTTTATACTCTAATTGTTAAAAGAAAATAAATTCTGACAGTATAGTGCTGGCAAGGATATCAAGCAAGAGGAACTCACCTACTGCTGTTGGGAGAGTAAATTGATACAGCCACTTTGGAAAACAATTTGGCATCACTAGTAAAGTTGAATCTGCACATATACCCTATGATCTAGCAATTTTGCTACTACTTATATACCCTCAGGAAACTTTTTTTTGTTTTGTTTTGTTTTTTTTTTGAGATGGAGTCTCGCTCTGTCGCCCAGGCTGGAGTGCAGTAGCGCGATCTGGGCTCACTGTAAGCTCCGCCTCCCGGATTCACGCCACTCTCCTGCCTCAGCCTCCCGAGTAGCTGGGACTACAGGCACCCGCCATCACGCCCGGCTAATTTTTTTTTTTTGTATTTTTAGTAGAGACGGGATTTCACCGTGTTAGCCAGGATGGTCTCAATCTCCTGACCTCATGATCCGCCCGCCTCGGCCTCCCAAAGTGCTGGGATTATAGGCGTGAGCCACCGCGCCCTGCCACCCTCAGGAAACTCTTAAACTTGTACACCAGAAGCCACGTACGAGACTGTAGCATCTGTATAGCCAAATCAGCTCAAATTTCCACCTATAGGAGGATGCTGTATACAGTGTTTGCAAAATAGGATATACAGTGAAGATTTGTGAACCTGTTTAAAAGAAGAGGTTATAGAAATTATGTTAATATAATTACATATAAAATATAAAAGGCAAAACAAGCAAGGACTTTTAAGATTAAGTAGTGGAGATTAAACAGCAAAGCAAAGCAGCATGTAACACTTACTTGCATTAGTGGTAAATTTGGTTTAGGGGAGAGAGGGGAACATGATTAGGGGCTTTTAAGGTTGCTTTCCATTTCTTGGCAATTAGTGTCTTTTTATATCCTTTAAAATATTTTATTTTGAAATCATTTCAGACTTACAGAAAAGTTGCAAAGATAGTGCAATCAATTGCTGTATACCCTTCACCCAAATTTTCGATGTTACCACTTTACCATATTTGCTATATTTTTCTTTGTCTCTCTTGAAACTTTTTAATGTTATATTTTGTACTTAAAGCATCTCTTCCTAAAGGTTACTCTGAGAATATTTGAAACAATAAGTTAATAAAGTTTATAATGCAAATGTTATTTTCTTTGCAGTTGCCTTGCCAACTAATACGACCTCATCGAGACCTCGGACTGAGTGTTGTAGTGATGCAGGTGACTCTCCTTTGAAACCTGTCAGCTGTCCAAAATCTAAAGCATCAGACAAGCGGAGTTTACTTCCACATCAGATCAGTCAGATATATGACGAATTATTTCAGATACATCTGAAATTGCAGGTAAGAACTAAATACTGAATCGAGAATTCAGAAATATTTATGTTCTAAGAACCAAGCATTTACGAAATTTGAATATAATATATTTCATTTTAATTACTTTAGATAAGTTTGTCAAGAGAAGGACGGAAGGGGACAAACTCAAATTATAGGGACTAATGAAGGGAAAAATACAGTGGCTGAGAGAAAATAGAGACAGTGGCGTTTTTATTTGTAGGTGTGTGTTTCAGACTGTCTTGTATTTTATTTGATTTCCATCCCATCCTTACTTAAGTAATAAAATCTGATAAAGTATGGTTTTTGATGTAGATGCTCTAGCTTTATTGTTTTAAGTACTTATATATAAAAAGTCTTCTTGTCAACTCTCATCAAAATTGAACTCTTAACATTTGCTTATTATCTGCCTTTCGGGTTTTTTGTTTCTAAAGTGTATTTTTTTTTTTTTTTTTTTTTTGCGATGGAATCTTGCTGTATCACCCAGGCTGGAGTGCTGTGGTGTGATCTTGGCTCACTGCGGCCTCCGCCTCCTGGGTTCCAGTGATTCTCCTGCCTCAGCCTCCTGAGTAGCTGGGATTACAGGTGCACCCCATCCCGCCCAGCCAATTTTTTGTATTTTTAGTAGAGATGGGGTTTCACCATGTTGGCTAGGCTGGTCTTGAACTTCTGACCTCAGGTGATCTGCCCCCACTTGGCCTCCCAAAGTGCTGGGATTACAGGCGTGAGCCACAGTGCCCAGCCTAAAGAGTATAATTTATATATTAAGCATCCACGAGAAGTAGAGAAGGAAGCAGAAGTGTATGTAATGCGCAGTATCTGTTTGAAATTCTTCCCGTTGGAAACACATGAAATAGTTAAGCATTTCTTTAAAACCAGTATTTCGTTTTGTCAAAGTAATTCAGATTGTAATTACCATAGCATTTTAGAAAAAGATTATTTTAGCCTAAAATCACCAGGAAAAGTTTAGGGAGAGACTTAATCTGGTCTTTGACTGAGAAAGATAATAGTGGAAAGGGCATTCCAGGTGTAAGGAATTGGAAATGAGAGGTGTTCTGAAAAGCAGTGATTGTCCAATTGTGCATTTATTAGCCTGTCTGGAAGAAAGAAAATAATGAAAACTCAGGCTGGGTATTTTACAAGTTTTTAAGCAAAGGAATGTCAGAGTAAAAAGTCAGGTTTTAGGAAGATTCCTTTGATAACACTTTATAGGATAAAAAAGAATAGGCAAGATTGCAAGGATGTATCTATCATTTGTAGCAAACAAAGATGTTTAATAAGAAAAAAATGAAGTGCAATGGATTAACTGGTTTAATCAGTCTATAGTTTATTTTTATTTATTTATTTATTTTTTTGAGACGGAGTCTCACTCTGTGCCCAGGCTGGAGTGCAGTGGCGCAATCTCGGCTCACTGCAAGCTCCGCCTCCTGGGTTCATGCCATTCTCCTGCCTCAGCCTCCCGAGTAGCTGGGACTACAGGCACCTGCCACCGCGCCCGGCTAATTTTTTTTTTTTGTATTTTTAGTAGAGATGGGGTTTCACTGTGTTAGCCAGGATGGTCTCGATCTCCTGACCTCGTGATCCGCCCGCCTCTGCCTCCCAAAGTGCTGGGATTACAGGCGTGAGCCACCGCGCCTGGCCAAATCAGTCTATAGTTTAATCTGACTTTAAAATTTACTTTGTAAGTACAGCCACTGTGGAAAACACTTTGGAGGTTCCTTAAACTATAAGTAGAACTACCGTATGATCCAGCAATCCCACTCCTGGGTATATCCCCGAAAAAAGAAAACGGCGTATCGAAGAGATACCTGCACTCCCTTGTTCATTGCAGCTCTGTTCATAATAACCGAAATATGGAGTCAGTCTCAGTGTCCATTGGCAGATAAAGAAAATGTGGTATCTATACACAATGGAATATTATTCAGCCATAAAAAGAATGAAATCTTATCATTGACAGCAGCATAGATAGAATTGGAGGTCATTATATTAAGAGAAATAAGCCAGGCACAGAAGGACAGACATTGCATGTTCTCACTCGTGTGGGGTGGGAACTAAAGAAGTGGGTCTCATAGAAATAGAGATGGAATGGTGGTTACCAGAGGCTGGGAGGGGAAGGGTAGCAGGGGTGAAGAGAGGTTAGTTAATGGGTACAAAAATACAGTTAGATAGGAGTAAGTTTCAGTATTTACTAGTACAATAGGGAAATTATAGTTAATGATAATTTATTGTATATTTTAAAGTGGCTAGAGAAGAATTGTAATGTTCTCAACACAAAGAAAGAATAAATGTTTGAGGTAATAGATATCCCCATCACCTTGGTGAGGATGTTAAGTAGGCTGTTTGGACTTGACTTTGGAGCCTGTGAGAAAGATCTGAGCAGTTGTAGGTTGGGAACAATTAGCATATACTTGGTAATTTTAGCCATTGAGTGGATATAATTAAGCAGAAAGGGTATAAGGAATGAGAAGGAAAATTGCTCCAGCCCAAATCATAAGGAATATTAGTAATTAAGTGACAGTAGAGGAAGCAGAGCCTATAAAGGAGCCTGAGAAGCCATGGCCAGAGAGAGTTGGTGGAAAACTAGGAGAATGGTGTCATGGAAACCAATGAAGGAGAGCATTTTAAGTTGGAGGAAAGAGACGGCAGTATAAAATGCTATTGAGAGAATCAATAAAATAAGGACTGAAAAGTGACCTTTAGATTTAGTAATAGGTAAGTCATTTCAATAGAGGAATATGGGCTGAAGCCAGTCTTAAGTGAGTTGAGGAGTGATTCTGAAATGAGAGACCTCAGCAAATGTAGATGGTTGTAAAGGGGAGGAGGTGAGTGGGTGGGGCCAAGAGAGATTTTAGTTCAGATGGGGTGGGAGAGATTCAAAATAATAGAGGGATAATCAGCAGAGCAGTCTTCACAGGATGGCTTAAGGCAATATGATCCTGAGCCTGCCTTTTTAATGAGGGAAGGAGAAGCATGTATATATGTATTTTATGAGAAAGAGATTGATGTTTTCTTATGCTGTCTTCTGTTTTTTCCCTGTGAAGTTAGAGACCAGGCTATTCACAAAGAGTGGAATATAGGACATGATGTATTCCAAATTAGTAGAATGGAGAAGGCTCAAAATAGACACTTTGGAGAATGAGGGAGAGAGAGTTGGCTGTGAACATATAAAAAGATTTTTGGACTGCATTGAGAATCTAGTACAGGATTGAGACCATGAATTCGCAATGGGGCCACTTTTCACGGTGTGTGATTTTTTTTTTTTTTTTCTCCAGTGGTACTTAGCTGAGTAGCATGGGACCAGGGAAGGTGATCAGTGTGCTAATCTAGACCTCGTTCTTTCAGCCCAAGGTGATAGACAACAAGATGAGGGAGTGGAGGGTATAGGTAAAATAGTGGACTATGATGTGGAAGCAGAGCATGGAATTTAAGCTGGATCGGGAACTAAATCTGCATAGTGCTGATCCATTTTGGACCCTAAATTCTCTTGCATCATCACAGTGGACTCTTACTATAGTGTCATATCATTTAAAATCAAGATATAATTTCTGTGCAAGTTTACTTGCTATACTAGTCTAGCTACTGTAATCCAGATTGTCCTTAGGTACCCCTGTATTCCTGAAAACCACTTGGTTAAACCACAGTGTCAGCCAATAGGAATATAATTTGCAGAATTTGTGACTTTTCAAGAGCATTAAAGTCTGGCATTTTGATACAGTGTGAAACTGCAGCACAACAGAAATTTGCTGAAGAACTTCAAAAGCGAGAACGTTTTTTACTTGAAAGAGAACAACTGCTTTTCAGACATGAAAATGCCTTGAGTAAAATTAAAGGTGTTGAAGAAGAGGTTCTTACAAGATTTCAAATTATAAAAGAGGTAACTATATAGCCTTTGATTTTAGAGTGGTATATTTCTTCTTTTCTTCTTAGATTCACTAGTTACTAACATTTTGTCACATTTGCTTATTTCTCCTTCCCTTCCTCCTCCTCTCCACGCCTACACACACACACACACACACACACACACACACTTTTTCTGATCCATTTGAAAGCACATTTTGGCACATTTGCTTATTTCTCCTTCCCTTCCTCCTCCTCTCCACACCTACACACACACACACACACACACACACACACACACACATTTTTTCTGATCCATTTGAAAGCAGTTTGTAAAAATCATGATTCTGTCCCTAAATACCTCAGTATGTATCTCCTAAGAATAAAGACATTCTCCAGACCATTAGCGCATATCAGGAAATTAATGCTAACTAAATAACTTATTTATAGTCCATGTTTACTTTCTCAGTTGGTCTTCAGTATGTCTTTTATTGTTTGTGGGGCGGGGGGGTTGTTTGTTTGATCAAGCAACTAGACAAGATTCATGCGTTATATTTGGTTGTTATATCTTTTTGGTTTCTTTGAATCTAGAGCACTCAACCTCACCATCTTTGAAGAATTCAGGCCAGCATTCTTATATGTCACATTGTGGATTTGCCTGATTGCTTCGTAACGATAATATGTAGACAAAATATTTTTGGCAAGGATATTGTATAGGTGGTATAATATACCTTGCTTCATATTAAGATATATTTTACTGTACATATAACTTACTTGGAGTAAAATTCATTGTTGTACATTTCTATGAGTTTTGAAAAATGCATTCAGTTTTGTAATCACAACCATCAACAAGATCAAGAGTAGTTCAGCTCGCCAGCAGTTCCCTTACGCTCTCTTGTAGCTATCCCTTTCCTCCAGCCTCAGCCCTTGGCAACCACTGACCTATTTTCTGTCCCAGTACATCTGCCTTTTCCAGAATGTCATGTTAATAGCATCATTTTATGATTTTTCTTTATCTTTGGTTTTCAGTAGCAGTTTATTTACAGTGTTTCTTGACATGCTTTTCTTTCAGTTTGTTCTGTTTGTGGTTAACTGAGCTTCTTCAATTTGGAAATTTCTGTCTTTGGCCAAATTTGGGGAATCTTCAGCCAATATTTCATCAAATATTTTTTCCACTTTCTTTCTTGTCTTCTCTTGGATCTCCAGTGACTCCTTGTGCTATTTCCCCAAAGATTTCTGAGGCTCCATTCCTTTTTTTCCCATTATTTTCTTCAGTGTTCTTCAGATAGTTTCTTGATCCATCTTAAAGTTCATTATTTCTTTTTTAATCTCCATGTTGCTATTGAGCCCATCTAGTGAAATTTTTATTTTTGATATTTAAAAATTCTAAAATTTCAAGTTGTTTAAAAAATTTATTTTTGTTTTTCTCATAAGCATTTCTGTCTTTATATTTACATCTATATATATTTACTTTTACCTCATGGAGCATAGTTTAAAAACTATGTATCACCTGTATCATCTCAAGATAGGGATCTGTTGATTATCTTTTTTCTTGAGGCTTAGTCACATTGTTTGGTTCTTTGTATGTTCAGTGATTTTTAGGGTATATTCAAGACCTTCTGGTTAATGCATAGATTTTGGGTTCTATTGTTACCTTCTGGAGAATATTATTGATTTTAAAGCATTCAGCAATTAGATTTAGGCCTCACTTTTTTTGTTGTTGTTGTTTTGTTTTGAGATAGTCTCGCTCTGTCATCCAGGCTGGAGTACAGTGGCACGATCTCGGCTCACTACAACCTCCACTTCCTGGGTTCAAGCGATTCTCCTGCCTTAATCTCCTGAGTAGCTGGGAATACAGGCGCCCACCACCATGCCCGGCTAATTTTTGTATTTTTAGTAGGGACGGGGTTTCACCATGTTGGTCAGGCTGGTCTTGAATTCCTGACCTCAAGCAATCCACCTGCCTCGCCCTCCCAAAGTGCTGGGATCACAGGCGTGCCTGGCCAGGCCTCAGTTTTTTCTCACCTCCTCTGGGCAGTGGTTCTCATCTCAGTTTAGCTTTTTTTTTTTTTTTTTTTTTTTTTTTTTTAATTATACTTTAAGTTTTAGGGTACATGTGCACATTGTGCAGGTTAGTTACACATGTATACATGTGCCATGCTGGTGCGCTGCACCCACTAACTCATCATCTAGCATTAGGTATATCTCCCAATGCTATCCCTCCCCACTCCCCCCACCCCACCACAGTCCCCAGAGTGTGATATTCCCCTTCCTGTGTCCATGTGATCTCATTGTTCAATTCCCACCTATGAGTGAGAATATGCGGTGTTTGGTTTTTTGTTCTTGCGATAGTTTACTGAGAATGATGGTTTCCAGTTTCATCCATGTCCCTACAAAGGACATAAACTCATCATTTTTTATGGCTGCATAGTATTCCATGGTATATATGTGCCACATTTTCTTAATCCAGTCTATCATTGTTGGACATTTGGGTTGGTTCCAAGTCTTTGCTATTGTGAATAATGCCACAATAAACATACGTGTGCATGTGTCTTTATAGCAGCATGATTTATAGTCCTTTGGGTATATACCCAGTAATGGGATGGCTGGGTCAAATGGTATTTCTAGTTCTAGATCCCTGAGGAATCGCCACACTGACTTCCACCATGGTTGAACTAGTTTACAGTCCCACCAACAGTGTAAAAGTGTTCCTATTTCTCCACATCCTCTCCAGCACCTGTTGTTTCCTGACTTTTTAATGATTGCCATTCTAACTGGTGTGAGATGGTATCTCATAGTGGTTTTGATTTGCATTTCTCTGATGGCCAGTGATGATGAGCATTTTTTCATGTGTTTTTTGGCTGCATAAATGTCTTCTTTTGAGAAGTGTCTGTTCATGTCCTTCGCCCACTTTTTGATGGGGTTGTTTGTTTTTTTCTTGTAAATTTGTTTGAGTTCATTGTAGATTCTGGATATTAGCCCTTTGTCAGATGAGTAGGTTGTGAAAATTTTCTCCCATGTTGTAGGTTGCCTGTTCACTCTGATGGTAGTTTCTTTTGCTGTGCAGAAGCTCTTTAGTTTAATTAGATCCCATTTGTCAATTTTGTCTTTTGTTGCCATTGCTTTTGGTGTTTTGGACATGAAGTCCTTGCCCACGCCTATGTCCTGAATGGTAATGCCTAGGTTTTCTTCTAGGGTTTTTATGGTTTTAGGTCTAACGTTTAAATCTTTAATCCATCTTGAATTGATTTTTGTATAAGGTGTAAGGAAGGGATCCAGTTTCAGCTTTCTACATATGGCTAGCCAGTTTTTCCAGCACCATTTATTAAATAGGGAATCCTTTCCCCATTGCTTGTTTTTCTCAGGTTTGTCAAAGATCAGATAGTTGTAGGTATGCGGCGTTATTTCTGAGGGCTCTGTTCTGTTCCATTGATCTATATCTCTGTTTTGGTACCAGTACCATGCTGTTTTGGTTACTGTAGCCTTGTAGTATAGTTTGAAGTCAGGTAGTGTGATGGCTCCAGCTTTGTTCTTTTGGCTTAGGATTGACTTGGCGATGCGGGCTCTTTTTTGGTTCCATATGAACTTTAAAGTAGGTTTTTCCAATTCTGTGAAGAAAGTCATTGGTAGCTTGATGGGGATGGCATTGAATCTGTAAATTACCTTGGGCAGTATGGCCATTTTCACGATATTGATTCTTCCTACCCATGAGCATGGAATGTTCTTCCATTTGTTTGTATCCTCTTTTATTTCCTTGAGCAGTGGTTTGTAGTTCTCCTTGAAGAGGTCCTTCACATCCCTTGTAAGTTGGATTCCTAGGTATTTTATTCTCTTTGAAGCAATTGTGAATGGGAGTTCACTCATGATGTGGCTCTCTGTTTGTCTGTTGTTGGTGTATAAGAATGCTTGTGATTTTTGTACATTGATTTTGTATCCTGAGACTTTGCTGAAGTTGCTTATCAGCTTAAGGAGATTTTGGGCTGAGACGATAGGGTTTTCTAGATAAACAATCATGTCGTCTGCAAACAGGGACAATTTGACTTCCTCTTTTCCTAACTGAATACCTTTTATTTCCTTCTCCTGCCTGATTGCCCTGGCCAGAACTTCCAACACTATGTTGAATAGGAGTGGTGAGAGAAGGCATCCCTGTCTTGTGCCAGTTTTCAAAGGGAATGCTTCCAGTTTTTGCCCATTCAGTATGATATCGGCTGTGGGTTTGTCATAGATAGCTCTTATTATTTTGAAATACGTCCCATCAATACCTAATTTATTGAGAGTTTTCAGCATGAAGGGTTGTTGAATTTTGTCAAAGGCTTTTTCTGCATCTGTTGAGATAATCACGTGGTTTTTGTCTTTGGCTCTGTTTATATGCTGGATTACATTTATTGATTTGCGTATATTGAACCAGCCTTGCATCCCAGGGATGAAGCCCACTTTGCTTTCAAAGCCTTTGCAATGTTGCTGTGGAGTTGTCTTGTGCCTGTGCCTCTTAAAGGTTGGTCTGAGACTTGGGTAACAGTTTAAAATCCTAATGCATTTCTCAAAGCTTTTGCTATGCTGCTCTGGGTGTTTTTTGTGCAGGTAAAGAGGCATTAAAGTGTTAGCCAAGACTTAGGTAATAGTTTTAAACTGAGCTCCATTCTCCAAGCGTTTGCTCTACTGCTTTTGGTCTGTCCTGTGCCCGCCTGAGCGGCTCAAAGTTGAGCCCAATTTGTACAGGTTCGTAAACACCAGAGTGAGAGGATCCTCTGTTTGAGTCTCTCTTCTGCGGGATTCTCCCCACACTCTGGCTCATAGAGGCCCCTCTTCCTGATTATCTTGCCAGGAAGACTGGTTTTCTCTCATTTCTTTAGTGGACATTTTTTAGAGCTTTAGTGGAAATTAAAAAAAAATTTTTTTTTAATTGTTTTAGAGACAGAGTCTTGCTGTGTTGCCCAGGCTGGAGCGCAGTGGCTATGCACAGACGTCATCATAGCTCACTGCACCCTCAAGTCATCTTCCTCCCTCAGCCTCCTGAGTGCCTGGGACTACAGATGTGCACCACTGTGCCCAGCTAGTGGAAGTTTTTGTTCTACTTCTCCATGTCTGGGACCCACCCTGAGGCAAAATGTTGAGAGAAGAGCAAAAACAAAAATGCAGGAAACTTTACCCTTGAGGGTTGCTTCTACAAGTTTTCTCTCCCATCACAATGTCCTCCCCTTTTTTCTTTTCACAGTTGTCAGTTAGTTGTTTTATGGTTTATTTAGGGCTTTTAGCTATAATCAGTGGGAGAAGAGTGTATTGAGCTTATCCTGCTGTGCTAGAAATGGAATGCATATGTTTTTAGTATCTTTTAGATATGGAAAAAGTTGGACAATGAAAATATTAGTTTTAAAAATAACTGTATTTGTGACTATATCCTAAGTTATTTAAGGAATCAATATAGTAATAAAGTCATACAAAGATTAACTTCTTAGAATATTGGATTTTTTTCACAGGGCTAAAGAATGCTTAGATTCTCTGATCTCTCCATTTTTGTCTTATTCTTGATTCTCTTTAGATTTGTGTATCTATTTTTATTAAGTATAAGGATAACTGCCTTATTTTCATCGTATTTATATCACTACTTGGAAGAAGGGAATTAATTCAATTTTTTGATTTCCTGTAGAAACTTGTTTTAAAGCTTTATAAGTAAGTTGAAAGTGAAAGGTGAAACTATTAAGTATTCACATTTAAAATCTAAAACATGCTATCCCATTTAAATGTAATTAGAGGGGAAGTTGATTTGAATTATTTATAGAACTGATTAAGAAGAGTCAAATAGTTTGGGGCTAAGAAATTTTATTATGTATCTAACATATTTTGAGATGAAAAGCAGGCATCAAAAATTTTAGCTGCTTTATGAGGACAAGAAATTAGTTGGTTTTATGAAAGATTTCTTTCATTTCTCAAAGGTAATGTAAATTATACACTTTATAAAGCCATAAATAGCTTATCTCTTGAAGAGTATCAGAAATTCTTTACTGTTTTATTATTCCATGATGTCAAAGAAAATATTTCCATGAGTTTGTGTGAGTGGATTTTTCTGAGCAGAAGCAGAAAATAGACTCATTGCTACTTTGTAAATGCTAATATGTTTTAATAAGTATGTTGTAAATGCCTTTGATGTTTTGTTGTTATCTTGGTAGATTGCATGGTTTTTATAAATTACTTGCCACACTAGTCACTTGTGCTTGCATACACTGATTAAAGTTTTTGTGATTGAAGGAGTTCTTACTTGTAATTAATTCACGTTCCATAGTATTAGTGATATACAGTCCTTACAAGTTTTAGATGAGAGTTTTTTTTTTCTCCTCCTAGCAGCATGATGCAGAAGTTGAACACTTAACCGAAGTTCTTAAGGAAAAGAATAAAGAAACCAAGAGACTGAGGTCCTCTTTTGATGCATTGAAAGAATTGAATGATACCTTAAAAAAACAGGTAAGACCTGTTTTAATATATACTGAACATAAGACATTCTAAGAAGTATATTTTATATATAACAAATTAAAGTCAGCCTTAGAACACGTTTCAGCTAGAGAAAATTTGGATTACATTTGTTAGCTTTATTTTAAAATACTTCCAAATGTAAATAAAGTATTCTTTAGCTCTTTGGTCTCTTCTCTTTATTTGTTCTGGCAACCAACTGACAAACAAAAGAAAAAAACCTGATAACCTGAGAACTGATTACATTTTTAGGTACTGATCTCTGGCTTTAATACTTATTATTTATCACTACTTATTTAACATTCATTTATTTTTGAGTATCTATTATATCCTAGGCATCATGCTAGACTCAGACCTTCACATTGCTCATGTTCTCATGGTTATAAACTGGTATCACATTGCAGTATACTTATTTATATAAGTATTGCAGGCCAGGCGCGGTGGCTCACGCCTGTAATCCCAGCACTTTGGGAGGCTGAGGTGGGCGGATCACGAGGTCAGGAGTTCGAGACCATCCTGGCTAACACAGTGAAACCCCGTCTCTACCAAAAATACAAAAAAAAATAGCTGGGCGTGATGGCGGGCGCCTGTAGTCCCAGCTACTCGGGAGGCTGAGGCAGGAGAATGTCGTGAACCCAGGAGGCGGAGCTTGCAGTGAGCCGAGATTGTGCCACTGCACTCCAGCCTGGGCGACAGAGCGAGACTGTCTCAAAAAAAAAAAAATTGTAATTTAGATTAATATATAATACCAGAGTTGCATAACATAAATAGTTTTGTGAGTTATGTCTATTTTTTTCCTTCCATCTGCCAGTTTTTGGCAGAAAGATGTGAAAGTAAAGGAGTATGTTAAAGAGAGACAAGAGAATGATTATGTATATATTAGATTGTGTGGGGAGTAGATGTTGGAGCAGAAATTGGAGTAAACCCCGTCACTTTGAAAATGAAAGCATTGGGCTGGGAATCTGTATGGATTATGTAACTTAAGCCTCAGACTCTCCTAGAGTTCCTTTGCCAGCTGTCCTTTTCTGTTTCTGCTTTTGTTTCCCTTTAATCTCTACTTGTTGTGATCCTCCTCCTTGGCAGTGATACATAGGTACCCTTTTTCTCACCTGATCTAATTCTTTAGCTTCCTCATTTCATTTATGGCTGTTACTATTAGACTTATGAATTTGACAGCCTGTTGTCTGTTTGGAATCCCACTTTATCCATGGAGAGATTGCTCTTTCTCATTACAGTCTCATTCTACCACTCTCTTGTGAGGATTTTAAAAATTCCTAGCATAGATAAACTGTTGCCCATACCTATCTCTTAGGTTTCTGTAATCCTTAATAATTTTGCATGTAGTTGCATGAGTGTGTGGTAATTGGGGTGGATATGTGGATTATTAAATATTTGGACCTATTGATAATTGGATTTATGAGCTAATGTGTACAAACTGAAAAAATTTGGCAGAATGCTTTTTTATGGTTTCTGTGTTAAGATTAGATCAGAGGTCAGCACGCTTTTTCTGTTAAGGACTAGATAGTAAGTACTTTGGGCTTTGTAGGCCATGTGGTCTCTCTTTCAGTGACCCAGCTCTGCCATCGTAATGCGAAAACAGCCATAGGCAATAAGTAACGAGCGTGGCTGTGTTCCAAAACGACTGTATTCATAAAAACAAGCAATGGGCATATTTAGCCAGCTCCTGGCTAGATGAATAACATGTACTTTGAAATTGCTGAAGAAAAAGATATGTTATTTCTGTGACTGACTTACATAGTAATTTATGCTAACACTGGATATACATTTTCTAATAATTTAAAAGCATTTCTCATTAAGTCTAGCCAAGCTGAGGAGGCAAGGATTAATGTTCAAGCTTCATCATAGGGAGATAGTCCCAGTGAACACCCCAGGATCTCAGTTGAAAGGAGCAGCATTGTGCCTTGGGACTGGGTGAATTAGAGGGAGACAGAACTTTCCTAAACTGAAACCTGGCCTTGATTAAGTGCAGTTCCTGATCAGATTAAGGTGCTTACTCCTCAGTTTAAATGCCTAGCAGAGGAAAATATGTCTTTCATTCTATACAAAATTAATAAGCATGTCAAAAGACAGAATTGCATAACTGAGAATGAAGAAAAAAACCCCAGAGAATATAAGCATACTTGCGAGTGATCCAGATATTGGAATTTAACAGGCAATGACTTTAAAATAATGATTAATATGTTCAAGAAAGTAGAAAAATAGATTGACAACTTCATTAGAGAATTCCTAGCATAGGTCCATTTTTGCCTATATAATAAGTCTATGGAAAGGAATTAAATTGAAATTTGAAAACTAAAAAATACATCAATTGAATTTAAGAACTCCATTGAATGGGGTTTTAAAATTATTTTTAATTGACATAATTATGCATAATTATGGGGTACAGTGATATTTGATACAGTAATGTGTAATGATCACAGTAATTAGCTAATCCATCAGCTCAAACATTTATCATCTCTTTGTATTGGAAATATTCAAAATCCTCTCTTTATCTATGTGAAAATATACCATAAATTGTTGATTGTAGTTACCCTGTAGTGCTATAAAGCTAGAACTTATTCCTCTTATCTGGTTCTTCTTTTTGTTTTGTTTTGTTTTTTTGAGATGAGTCTCATTCTGATGCCCAGGCAGGAGTGCAGTGGCATGATCTCGGCTCACTGCAACCTCTGCCTTCTGGACTCAAGCGATTCTCCTGCCTCAGCCTCCCGAGTATCTGGGATTACAGGCGCCCACCACCACACCTGGCTAATTTTTGTATTTTTAGTAGAGATGGGGTTTCACCATGTTGGCCAGGGTGGTCTCAAACCAAGTGATCCACCTGCCTCGGCCTCCCGAAGTGCTCGGATTACAGGCCTGAGCCACTGTACCCAGCCCCTCCTATCCAGTTCTAATTTTGTGTTTGTTAGCCAACTTCTCCACATTCCTTCCTTTCCACAGCCATCCCAACCTCTAGTAACCAATATTATATTCTGTACTTCTGTGAGATCAACTTGTTTTTTAGCTTCCACATGAGTAAGAACATGTGGTATTTATCATTCTGTACTTGGCTTATTTCACTTAACATAAGTGTGTGGTAAGGTCTTTCAGGTTCATCCATGTTGCTGCAAATGACAAGATTTTGTTCTTTTTCATAGCTGAACAGTATTTCATTGTGTATGTATAAAGAAAATGTGGTTATAAAGAAAATGTATAACCACATTTTCTTCATAAATTTATCTATCGATGGACACATAGGTTGGCTACTTTCCATACTTTGGCTATTGCAAATACTGCTGCAGTAAACATGGGAGTGCAGATATCTCTTCAATATACTGATTTTCTCTCCTGTGAATATATACCCAGAAGTGGTATTGCAGGATCATATGGTAGTTGTGTTTTCGTTTTTTTGGGAACCTGAATACTTGTGTTTTTCGTAATGGCTGTGCTAATTTATATCCCCACCAACAATGTAAAAGAGTTTCCCTTCTCCACATCCTCACCAACGTTTATTACTTTTTGTCTTTTTCATAGCCTTTCTAACTGGGATGAGATTGATACCTGATCATGGTTTCGATTTGCATTAACCTGATGATTAGTGATATTGAGCATTTTTTCATATACCTGTTGGCTGTTTGTATGCCTTTGTTTGAGAAATGTCTAGTCAGATTATTTACCCATTTTTTATTTGGATTATTATTTTTTTGCTGTTGAGTTCCTTGTATTGTCTGGATTTTCACCCTAGTTGGATGAATAGTTTGCATATATTTTCTCCTATTCTGCAGGTTGTATCATTATTCTTTTTATTGTTTCCAATCTCATTTGTCTGTTTTTGCTTTTGTTGCTTGTGCTTTTGAGGTCTTATCCATAGTATCTTTGCCCAGGCGATTGTCGTGAACTATTTCCCATTTTTTCCTCTAGTAGTTGCATAGTTTTGGGTCTTATATTTCAAAGTCTTTAATCCATTTTGGGTTGATTTTTGTCTGTGATGGGAGATGGGGGTCTAGTTTTATTCTTAGGCATATGGATATCCATTTCCTGCATGATTTGTTGAGGAGACTGTCATCTCCCTTATTAATGTTGTTGGCACCTTTGTAGAAAATCAGTTGGCTGTAAATGTGTGGATTTATTTCTGAGTTCTCTATGCTGTTCCATTAGTCTATGTGTCTGTTTTTATGCCAATACTATGCTGTTCTGGTTACTACAGTTTTGTAGTATATTTTGAGTTTAGGTAGTGTAATGCCTCCAGTTTTGTTGTTTTCGCACAGGATCGCTTTCGCTTATTTGGGGTCTTTCATGATTTCATACACAGTTTAGAATTTTTTTCTATTTCTGTGAAGGATGTTGTTGGTATTTTAATAAACATTATGTTGAATCTGTAGATGACTTTGGTTATTTTGACAGTATTAATTGTTCCAGTCCATGAACATGAAATGTTGTGTGTGTGTGTGTGTGTGTGTGTGTGTGTGTGTGTGTGATCTTCAGTTTCATTCATCAGTGTTTTATAGTTTTCATCGTGGAAATCTTTCACTTCCTTGGTTAAATTTATTCCCAGCTATTTTATTTTATTTTTGTAGCCATTGTAAACAGGATAGATTTCTTTCTTTCTTTTTCAGTTAGTTTGTTGTTAGTGTTTGGAAATGCTACTGATTTTTGTATGTTGATTTTGTGTCCTTCAACTTTACCAAATTTATCAGTTCTGAGAAATTTTTGGTGGAGTCTTTCGGTTTCTTTGCATTGAAGATCATGTCATCCAAAGAAGGACAATTTGACTCATTTCCAATTTTTGTTTGTTTGTTTGTTTGTTTGTTTGTGATGGAGTCTCACTCTGTCGCCCAGGCTGGAGTGCAGCAGCACGATATCTGCTCACTGCAACCTCCACCTCCTGGGTTCACACAATTCTCCTGCCTCAGCCTCCTGAGTAGCTGGGATTACAGGCATGTGCCACCACATCTGGCCAATTTTTGTACTTTTAGTAGAGACGGGGTTTTGCTGTATTGGCCAGGGTGGTCTTGAACTCCTGGCCTCAGGTGATCCGCCTGCCTCGGCCTCCCATATTGCTGAGATTACAGGCATGAGTCACCACACCCAGCCTGTTATTTCCAATTTGGATGTCTTTTATTTCTTTTTCTTGCTTAATTACTCTGGCTAGTACTTCTAGTACCATGTTCAACAAGAGTGGTGAGAATGAGCATCCTTGTCTTGTTCTAGTTCTTAGAGGAAAAATTTTCAGCTTTTCCCTGTTCAGTATGATGTTAATTGTGTGTTTGTTATATATAGCTTTTAATGTGTTGAAGTACATTCCTTCTGTACCTAATTTTTTGAGAGTTTTTACTGTGAAGAGATGTTGTTGAATTTTATCAAATACTTTTTCTGTGTCTATTGAAATGATCGTAAGGTAATTATATTTCATTCTGTTATACTCTTCATTCTGTTAAAACGTGATTATCACATTTTTTTATTTGCATATTTGAGCCTTCCTGTGTCCCTGGGATAAATCTCACTTGGTTATGGTATATTATCTTTTTGGTGTGTTGTTGAATTTGGTTTGCTAATATTTTGTTGAGGATTTTTGCATCTATGTTCATCAGGAATATTGGCCTGGAGTTTTCTTGTTGTGTCTTGGTTTGGTTTTGGTATCATGGTAGTGCTGGCTTTGTACAATGAGTTTGGAAGAATTCTCTACCCTTCAGTTTTTTGGGATAGTTTGAGAATTGGTATTTGTTCTTTAAAAGTTTTAATTCAGCAGTGAAGTCATTGAGTGAATTTAAAAGTACAGTTCAGCAGTGAAGCCATTTAGTTCGGGCTTTTCTTTGTTGGGAAACTTTTTACTACAATTCAATCTTGTTACTTATGATTGGTCTGTTCTAGTTTTCTGTTTCTTCTTGGTTCAGTCTTACGTTATATGTGCCTAGGAGTTTATCCATTTCCTCTAGGTTTTCCGGTTTGTTGGCATATAGTTGTTTCATAATGATCTCTGTAGTCTCTAGTGATCCTTGTATTTCTGTGGTACTGCTTGTAATGTCTCCCTTTTTGTTTCCGATTTTTCCGATTTTATCTGTTTGGGTCTTTTCTCCTTTTTTCTTTTCTTTTTTTTTTTCTTTTTTCTTTCCTTCTTCCCTTCTTCCCCTCCCTCTGCCTTCCCTACCCCCCTAACCCTGCCTTCCTTTTCTGTTTCCTTCCCTTCCTTCCCTTGCTACTATTTCTTCTCTCCCTTTTCTTTCTTTCTCTCTCTCTTTTTTTTTTTTTTTGACTGTCTCCCTCTGTCTCCCAGGTTGAAGTGCAGTGGCATGACCACGGCTTACTACATGTAGCCTTAACCTCCAGGGCTTAAACCACGCTTCTGCTTCAGCCTCCTTAGTAGCTGGGACTGCAGGCATGCACCACCACCTCTAGTTAATTTTTTAATTTTGTTGTAGAGATGAGGTCTTATTGTGTTGCTGAGGCTGGTCTTGAACTGGGCTCAAGTGATCCTCCTGCCTCACCCTCCCAAAGTGCTGGGATTACAGGTGTGAGCTACTGCACTCAGCCTCTTCTTTTTTCTTAGTCTAGCTCATGGTTTGTTGGTTTTTTTATTTTTTCAAAAAGCCACTTTTCATTTTTTAAGAAAATTATTTTAGATTCAGAGGGTACATGTGCAGCTTTGTTACATGGATATATTGTGTAACAGTGAGGTCTGGGCTTCTAAAATGTACTCTTCACTCAAATAGTGAACATTGTACCCAGTAGGTTAATTTTCAACCCCTACCCCTCTCCCCTCTTCCCTTTTGTAGTCCCTAGTATCTGTTATTTCCATCTTTATGTCCATATGTGTGTACCCATTGTTTATCTTTGACTTATAAATGAGAACATACAGTATTTAATTTTCTGTTTCTAAGTTATTTCACTTAGGATTAATGACCTCCAGCTCCATCCATGTTGCTGCAGAAGACATGATTTCATTCTTTACTATGGCCACATAGTATTCTATTCATGGTGTATATATATCACAAATTTTATTGTAAGATACCATAAGTAATATAATAAAAAAATAATTGGATACCCAGGAATAAATCTAAAGAGAGATGTGCAAGACATCTCTACTTGAAAACTACAAAACATTATTAAAAGAAAATAAAACCTAAATAAATTGAAGATATGTTCATGGATAGGAAGACTCAATATTCTTCCTTTCCATATATAGGAAGTCAGTTCTTCCATATATATATACATATCAGTATATACACAGACACATATACACATAGTCCCAGTAATGCAATCCCAGTTATAGCTCATTGTACTGCATACTTAGGATTTTATACTTTTCTTTATATGTGTTATAGTTCAGATAACAGTGTACTTATTAATAAAAACATTTTCACTAAAATATATGTATATGCTTTTAAGACATCTGGAGTCTTGTACATTTTTCATAAAATGAAGTAAATGATCTTACAAACCATTAATATTTTAGGGAAAAACGACAACTTCAGTTGTGATCTAAGTTAATCATGAATGCTGTCTCTGTTTTGTTACATTGGTTAGTAATATCAACCAGATTAGATAGTAGATTGGGAAACCCTTAGTATGAAACCAGTTGAAGGTGTATATTGAAATATCTAACTTTTTCTACCCTTTAGTTAAATGAAGCAAGTGAAGAAAACAGGAAGATAGACATTCAGGCTAAAAGAGTTCAAGCTCGTTTAGATAATTTACAGGTAAGTTGCCTGTTCTTCTCTACAGACAGAAGTATGTTTTTAGATGATTACCTTTGAGTTTACTCATTTAGATACAATTGTTCTTTAATTCACGCATATATACTGTTGCAGAGGAAGTACGAGTTTATGACAATACAGAGATTGAAAGGAAGTTCCCATGCTGTTCATGAAATGAAAAGTTTAAAACAAGAAAAAGCACCAGTTTCAAAAACTTACAAGGTAAGTTTGAATTATGATTTGATATGATTGAAAATTTCTCGGCTGGGTACGGTGGCTCACACCTGTAATCCCAGCACTTTGGGAGGCTGAGATGGGCGGATCACGATGTCAGGAGATCGAGACCATCCTGGCCAACATGGTGAAACCCCGTTTCTACTAAAAATACAGAAAATTAGCCAGGCATGGTGGCACACGCCTGTAGTCCCAGCTACTCGAGAGGCTGAGGCAGGAGAATTGCTGGAACCTGGGAGGCGGAGGTTGCAGTGAGCCGAGATTGCACCACTGCACTCCAGCCTGGGCGACAGAGTGAGACTCCGTCTCAAAAAAAAAAAAAAAAAAAAAAAAGAAAATTTCTCCAATGGAAAGCCAGGAAGATTTCTCTTGTGCTTTAATCTTTTCTCTTTGATTTAGCAAACATTCTTTTTGGAATGTTTGCTATGGAAGGGATTCACCATAATAATTTTTTAATAGGGAAATATCTCAAGAATATTTAAAATATACTTTCATTTGTGAAAACAAAACTATTATATTTCAGCAGTGTTTCAGGTACGTATCATTGACACATCATTAATGGCTTTATTGCTTAGTATGTTTTGACACTCCACAAGCATTTGCTATTATATTTCAGTCAAGACTACAACCCATCCCTGAATGGATTTCCATATGTCTTTTTTTCCCTAAGAATTTTTAAAATTTGAGATATAAATTACATATGGTAACATAATGCAGAAATCCTTTAGTGTAAAGTTTGATTAATTTTGATAAATATTTCATGTTGTCTATAACCAAATACAGAATACTTCCACTATCCTAGAATATAGAACTTTCCACTATCCTAGAAAGTTCTCTAATACCCTTTCCTGGTCATTCTTTTCTGCCAGAAGTTTTGCAGAAATTAGTTTTGCCTGTTTGAGACATTTGGTCAGTGGAATTGTATTGTGTGTACTTGTTTGTGTAAGGCTTTTCTCAGCATAATTATGAGTGTATCAGTAGTTTGTTCCTTACTATTGCTCAATAGTATTTCATTGTATGACTGTATCAGAGTTTGTTCCTTCATTCTTCTGTTGATAGACACCTGGGCTTTTTCTAGTTTTTGTCTGCAATAAATAAAGCTGCTACGAATATTGGTGTACAGAGTTTTTATGGATGTATGTTTTCATTTCTTTTGGATATATACCAGGACTACAATTTCTGGGTCATAAGGTCGATAAAGGTAGATGTATGTTTTTAAGAAACTGACAGTTTTCCAAATTGGTTGTACTGTTTTGTGTACAAATGGGAGTGTAATGATACACTCCCATTAACAGTGTATCAAAGTTTTGGTTGCTCCACAACCTTGTCAACATTTGGTGTTTTCAGTTTTCTTCATTTTGACCCTTCCAGTGGGTGTGTAGTAGTATCTTATTATGGGCTTTGATCATTTTGATATTTTGATAAATTTTCTAGTTCTTTATAAATTGAGAAAATTGGAGTAAATTGAAAAGGTACAGACTTTATATTCAGGGACTGAAGATAATCGAAGTTTTCATCTAAAGGGAGTTAGTTTCTATTTGAAAAAAATTGAGAAAGTGAAAAATTGCTCTTCAGAATAATGTGGTAATGCTACTATTTATCATTTTGTCTTTAGTCATTCTGATTGTGTGGATTGCCATCGGCTTAATGTTGCCTATTTATTAATTTGCTTTTATATTTCTCTGTCTTTGAATTTTTTTGTTTTTTTATTTTTTAATTTATTAATATTTTTAATTTTTTTTTTTTTGAGATGGGGTCTCACTCTGTCACCCAGGCTGGAGTGCAGTGGTGCAACCTTTGCCTTCTGGGTTCAAGCCTCCCGAAGAGATGGGATTACAGGCGCCCACCACCACGCCTGGCTAATTTTTATATTTTTAGTAGAGACAGCGTTTCACCATGTTGGCTAGGCTGGTTTCAATCTCCTGACCTCTGGTGATCCACCTGCCTCTGCCTCCCAAAGTGCTGGGATTATAGGCATGAGCCACCACATCTGGCCTGCAGATTTTTAAAAAAATAAATTTAACATAGTTCCCTCCTTAAGGTGGATATGTGTAGTGGTATCTTATTAAAAAAAATTGAATTAAATTAGAAATGTGTTTTGTAATAATACTTAGTCTAATTAAATTTATAAATTACTTTGTTATTTTACTTTTCATTTTGGTAGGCTGTCAGAGGACAAGATTTCTAGGAAAAAAATGTTCATATGTGTATTGAATGATATACTGGAAAGACAAAGTAACAATTTTTGTGAGAAGAGAAAGATAAGTTTCATAGTGGAAATTCTTTAGCTCTGGAAACCATTAATTTTTTTTAGAGTCTTTTAATTGTGGTGATTCATGCTCTTAAGTTAAGGCTAATTTTACTTTTTTTCCATCTTATCAAACTTGGATAAAGAATTTTTATGAAAAGTTTTCTTTTAGTAATAAGGTACAGTTATTCCAACTTCCTGATTATGACTTTTCTTGCCTTCTCTCAGTTGTCATTTAACATGTTTTTAATATTAGTTGGGGAGGTTTTTGGTGTTTTTTTTTTTTTTTTTTTTTTTGAGATGGAGTCTTGCTCTTTTGCCCAGATTGGTGTGCAGTGGTGCGATCTCGGCTCACTGCAGCCTCCACCTCCTGGTTCAGGTGATTCTCCTCCCTCAGCCTTCCGAGTAGCTGGGATTACAGGCATGCACCACCATGCCCAGCTAATTTTATTTTTAGTAAAGACAGGTTTTGCCATGTTGGACAGGCTGGTCTCGAACTCCTAGGGAACTTCAGGTGATCCACCCACCTCAGCCTCCCAAAGTGGTGGGATTACAGGCTTGAGCCACTGCGCCAGGCAGGTTGGGGAGGTTTGATTTGGAATTCTTTTGTTTGTTTGGAGAAGCTCTGTCCTTAACACATTTTAGTGAATTACTTTAGTCAAATTATTCTTATTACTTAACAAATTTAAGGTTTGTCTTTGAAGTTTTATGAAGTTGTGAACTGAAATAAATGATTTAATTTTTGACATATAGGTACCACTTAATGGGCAAGTTTATGAACTTTTAACTGTCTTCATGGACTGGATTTCGGATCATCATCTTAGCAAAGTGAAACATGAAGAATCTGGAATGGATGGTAAAAAACCACAACTCAAATTTGCTTCCCAGAGAAATGATATTCAGGAGAAGTGTGTAAAGGTTTGTTTTTTAATTTGAAATATGTGATTCAGAATATATGAAGATTAAAAAAGGAAAAGCCAGGGCCAGGCACAGTGGCTCACGTCTATAATCCCATCACTTTGGGAGTTCGAGCTGGGCAGATCACCTGAGGTCAGGAGTTTAAGACCAGCCTGGGCAACGTGGTGCAACCCCGTCTCTACTAAAAATACAAAAAATAGGTGGGCATTTTGGCACGTGCCTGTAATCTCAGCTACTTGGGAGGCTGAGGCAGGAGAAACGCTTGAATCTGGGAGGTGGAGGTTGCAGTGAGCCAAGATTGCAGCACTGCACTCCAGCCTGGGCAACAGAGCAAGACTCTGTTTCAAAAGAAAAAAACAAAAAACAAATTTGAGGGGCTGCCTCTGATGAGGCCCTTCTTCCTGGTCTCCTGCAGAGTCCAGAGGTGATGCAGGGTATCACATGGCTGGGGGCTGAGTGTGCTAGCTGAGGTCTGTCTCCCTTTTATAAAGCCACCAGTCCAGTTCCCATGATAATCCATTAATCCATGAACCCTTGGATGAATTAATGCTTTCATGAGGGCATCCCTCATAACCCAGTCACCTCTTTTTTAAAAAGCTTTTGTGTTAGAGATGGGGTCTCCTTGTGTCACCTAGGCTGGAGTGCAGTGGCCCAGTCATTGCTTACTGCAGCCTCCAAACTCCTAGCCTCAAGTAGTCTTCCTGCCTCATCCCTTTGAGTAGGGTCTACAGGTATACACCACCTTGCCAGCTAATTTTTAAAAAAAATTTTTGTAGAGATCAGACCTGGCTTCATTGCACAGAATGATCTTGAACTCTTAGCTTCAAGCATTCCTCCTGCCTTGGCCTCCCAAAGTGTTGTCATTACAGATGTGGGCCACTGTGCCCAGACCCAGTCACTTCTTAAAGGCCCCACTTATCAATACTGTCATATTGGGAATTAAGTTTCAACATGACTTTTGGAGGAAACAAACGTTCAAACCATAGCACATGGCAAAAGGGAATTAAAGTTGTTAATCAGCTGACCTTAAAATAGGGAGGTTATCCAGGATTATGTGGGTGGTCCTGGTAATCACACAAACTTTTTAAACCAGAAGGATTCAGAAGAGTAGGTCAGAGACTCAACCCCCTCTTGCTGGCTTTTGAAGATGGAGAAAGAGGGCCATGAGACATGGAATTCAGATAATCTTTTTTCTTTTTTTTTTTTGAGGCGGAGTTTTGCTCTGTTGCCAGGCTGGAGTGCAGTGGTGCCATCTTGGCTCACTGCAGCCTCCACCTCCCGGGTTCAAGTGATTCTCCTGCCTCAGTCTCCCAAGTAGCTGAGACTACAGGTGTGTGCCACCACGCCCAGCTAATTTTTGTATTTTTAGTAGAGACGGGGTTGCACTGTGTTGGCCAGGATAGTCTTGATCTCTCGACCTCGTGATCCACCTGCCTCGGCCTCCCAAAGTGCTGGGATTACAGGCATGAGCCACCGTGCCCAGCCATCAGATATCTTCTGGAAGCTGGGAATTGCCCTCAGCTGACAGTCACAAAGGACATACAAATCTCAGTGCTCTAACTGCAGCAAACTGGATTCCACATGCAACTTGAATAAGCAAGGAAATGGATCCTCCCTTAGCCTCCAGAAAGGAACACAGCTCTGTATATACATTGATTTTGGCTGGCTGAGACCCATTTTAGACTTCTGAACCTACAGAAGTGTAAAATAATGAATTTGTGTTGTTTAAATGTTAAGTTTGTGGTATTTGTTACGGCAGCAATAGGACACAAATACACCTTTGTTTAGAATTTTGTCTCTTAGTACCTACATCAATTATTTCCCTAAATCTAGCCTTATTTTAGAAGTAACTGCCAATTAGGAAGGCCTGCCGTATTAAAGTTCTGCAGAGAAATTTTATTTGTTAGAACTAGATGAGGGCTGGGCACGGTGGCTCATACCTGTAATCCTTGCACTTCGGGAGGTTGAAGTGGGAGGATTGCTTGAGCCTAGGGGTTTGAGATCAGCTTTGGCAACATGGTGACACCCCATCTCTACAAAAAATACAAAAGTTAGCCAGGCCTGGTGGCACGCGCCTATAACCCCAGTTCCCTGGGAGGCTGAGGTGGTAGGATCACCTGAACCTGGGGGGGTCGAGGCTGCAGTGAGCCGTGATTGTACCACTGTACTCCAGCCTGGGCAACAGAGTGAGACCCTGTCTGAAGAAAAATAATGGAATCGGGATCATGTAATACTGTGTTTTTATATTAGTCTAATAACACAAGAGAATAATATTTAGCACGTGTATTTCTCAGGATTCATTTTAACATCTGTAAATAAAAAGTTGTCTGTTGACATGTTCAGGATTTACAGTTTCTATTAAGCCTAGATCCTTTCAGTTAAAATATTGTTTTCAACTTAATTACTATATAATAATAAAGGTAGAACAATTTTAAGGTGTATAAATAAGCTTTTAAATATAATAATAGAAGAGTAAGTAGTACCAGATTAACTAATTAAATACTTGTGGCCATCGCAAGCAGGTATTCACATCTCTTTAGGAAGATGTAAAATTTGTAATTTTAAATAATGTAACCTTATCTTAAAATCTTTTTTTTGTTATCGGACTCTGTTAACCACTTGGGCAAGCATTTTATTTATTCTAAGAATACTAGTATAACTCAAAATATTTTAGCAAAGTAATCTCTTCAGAAATTACCTTTGGAAACTTCTGACTTTTTTTTTTTTGTATATTTGATCACAGTTATAATTTACTTAAGGATGGATTTAATATTTAAAAACACCTAAAGCCATTGAGGAGTAAATTTGATATACTGGGTATACCTTATAAGACTGATTTTCTTGTGTGATTCAGTAACATAAGGGTGGAATATTATCAAAGAAATTGAGATACAAAAATTCAGTACAACCTGAGGTGGAAGGTACTATGTGTTACAAGTAAAGATTGTAAAATTTGGCTATAAGACTAACGTCATCAACATGTTGGAGTAGGAAGTTTCAGGCCCTTATTCCTCCATGGAAACACCAAGTTAATTGCAATATAATGACAAGGACATGTTAGTGAGAATTATAGAGACCAGTTGAGAAGCTGCAGCACTCAGGCTAAAACATTAAAAAGAAGGGACTCCTTCAAAAGGAGTGGAAAAGTTTGTGGCATTTTGCATGTGTGTTCCCCTGCCGGTATAGCGCAGTGCAACCAGGAGGAAATTTCCTATTCCCTACCGTCTCCCTTGGGACAGAAACAAAATAATGGACTGCATGTTCAATATTTTGGCTTATCCAAAGTCTGCCCACAGGACTGGTCTGCATCTCACCTCACTCAGAGTGCTGAAGGGAATGGTAGCATAGTTTGGAAGCTGCAGGAAACAGAAGTGATTGCTGCAGCACGTAAGAGCTGCGGAGATCTGCACTTCTGCTGGAAGAGGTCTGAGGGACACAGCGATTATGGGTTTCTGAGAGGAAACAGCGATAAGTTGCTAGGGAAATTAAGACTGTCAGAAACACACATAGAAGCCCAGAGAAGACACATGTCTCAGAAGAATTTGGATGGTCCCAAAACCTCTAACTGGGCTGATTCATGAATGTGTTTCCCTGTATGAAGCCAGTTGTAAAGACTCAGAAAGGTATTTGTTTTCTGTTTTTTCAAATGCCCAAATACCCATTAAAAAAGGATCAGAAGGCATACAAAGGAACAGGGACATTGATCAAATCAAAGAAGAAAACAAAGCTTCAGAAACTCACCCTAAAGAAATGCAGATCTCTGAACTTTGTGATATATGATTTAAAAACTGTAACCGATAATTTAAAAATGGAAAGAGAACACAAAAAACTAAGCAAAGTCAGGAAAATGATGCAAGAACAAAGTGACAGTATAAACTAGAAGATACAAATTATAAGAAAGAACCAAATAAATTCTGGAGCTGAAAAATACAATATCTGAACTATAAAAGTCAACAGCAGACTTCATTACGCAGAAGACATCAACACACTTGAAGACAGATAATCTAAAATTGAGTCAGAGGCTGGGCACAGTGGCTTACACCTGTAATCTCAGTGCTTTGGGAGGCCAAGGCAGGAGGGTCACTTGAAGCCAGGTGTTCAAGACCAGCCTGGTCAACATGGTGCGACCCCGTGCCTACAAAAAGTTCTAACAAAATAATAAAATTATGTCAGAGGAGCAAAGAGAAAAAAACGAAGAAAAGTGACGACAGTCTGAGGGACTTATGGGAGATCATCAAGTGAACCACTATATGTGTAATGTAAGTCTTGGAATGAGAAGAGAGAAGGAGAAGGAGGAGAGAGCTTATTTGTAGAAATAATGGCTGAAAACATCCCAAACTTTCCTTTTTTTGAGGAAAGAAATAGGCATACAAGTTCAAGAAACTCAAGGAACTCCAGAGAGGACAATTCTAAAGACACCCCCTCTAACATACATTATAATCAAATTGTCAAAAGTAAAATACAAAGAGAATCTTTTAAATTGACAAGAGAAAAGCAGCTGGTCACGTTCAAGGGAGTTCTATAAGAATTTCAGCAGATTTCTCAGCAGAAACCTTGCAGGCCAACAGGCAGTGGGATGATACATTCAAAGTGCAAAAAAAAAAAAAAAACAAACAACAAAACTGTTAACCAAGAGTACTATATCCAGCTAAACCGTCCTTAAGACTTTCTCAGATAAACAGTAGTTGAGGGAGTTCAGTAACCATTACACCTGCCCTATAAAAATTACTAAAGAGAGTCCTTCAGGTTGAAATGAAAGCACACTACACAGCAACATGAAGCCATATAAAAGTATAACATTCTGTGTTAAAGGCAAATAAATGGACAAATATAGTAAGTAGCCTATATTATTGTAATCCTGGTATGTAAGTTGATTTTTAATTCTTGCATAGAATGTAACAGACAAAAGTATTAAAAAAAACTGTAAGTCTATGTTAGGGGTTAATACAACATATAAAGATATAATTTGTGGCCGGGTGCGGTGGCTCACGCCTGTAATCCTAGCACTTTAGGAGGCTAAGGTAGGTGGATCACCTGAGGTCAGGAGTTTGAGACCAGCCTGGCCAACATGGTGAAACCCCATCTCTACTAAAAGTATAAAAATTAGCCAGGCATGGTCATACGTGCCTGTAATCCCAGCTACTTTTGAGGCCGAGGCAGGAGAATTTCTTGAACCTGGGAGGCAGAGGTTGCAGTGAGCTGATATCATGCCATTGCACTCCAGCCTGGGCAACAGGGTGAGACTCCGTCTCAAAAAAAATAGAATTTGTGATATCAGTAACATAAAGTGGGAATGTGGAGCCATAATGATGCAGAGTTATTGTATTCAGTTGGCATTATTGATGTAAAATAGTTATAACTTTAAGATGTTTTATGTAATTGATTGCAAAGAAAATACTTACAGAATATACACAAAAGCAAATGAAAAGGGAATCTAAGTGTGTAACACACACAAAAATCAGTGAAACCCAAAGGCAGTAAGAAAGGAAAGGAGGGACAAAAAAGCTACAAAACATACAGAAAAAAATTAACAAAATGGTAATAGTATGTCCTTCCTGGCCGAGTGTGGTGCCTCATGCCTCCAATCCCAGTACTTTGGGAGGCTGAGACAGGTGGATTATCTGAGGTCAGAAGTTCAAGACCAGCCTGGTCAACATGGTGAAACCCCATCTCTACTAAAAATACAAAAATTAGCCGGGCGTAGTGGTGGGTGCCTATAATCCCAGCTACTCCAGAGGCTGAGGCGGGAGAATTGCTTGAACCCAGGAGGTGAGATTGTGCCACTGCGCTCCAGCATGGGCAACAAGAGCGAAACTTTGTCTCAAAAAAAAAAAAAAAAAGTATGTCCTTCCTTTATCAGTAATTACTTTAAATGCAAATAGATGAAATCAAAAAACTAACTAGAGTGGCTGATTGGATTTAAACAGCCAGCACCCAACTGTATGCTGTCTACAAGGGACTCATTTTAGATCTAAAGGCACGTATCAGCTGAAAATGAAAGGATGGAAAAAGACAATCCTTGTCAATGGTCTCCAGAAAAGACTAGTAGTAGTAATACTAATATAAGACAAAATATACTTTACGTCAAAAACTGTTACAAGAGACAAAGGACACTATATAAATGATAAAAAGGTAAATTCACCAAGAAGATATAAATGAGAAATATTTATGCCCTGAAACATCAGACTTCTAAAATATTATAAAGCAAACATTGACAGAATTGAAGAAATAGTAACATAATACTACTAGGAAACTTCAATACCCCACTTTCAGAAACAGATAGAATAACTAGACAGAATATAAGTAAGGAAATAGAGGGCTTGAACAACATAATAAATTAACTCGATCTGTCAGACATATACAGAACACTCTACCCAACAACAGCAGATGATACATTCTTCTCTTCTCAAGTGTACATGGAACATCCTCCAGATAAACTACGTGTTTGGCCACAAAACAAGTCTTAATAAATTTTCAAAGATTGACATCATTACAAAATTTCTGATCACAATGAAGTGAAACCTCAAACCAAGGAAGGATAACTATAAAATCCACAAATATGTGAAAATTTAAAAACTCACTCTACAGCAACCATTGGGTCAAAGAAGAAATCCCAAGGAAAATTGGCAAATACCTTGAAACAAAAAAATACATCATACCAAAATTTATAGGATGCAGTGTTAAGAGGGAAGTTTGTAGCTGTAGATGCTTACATTAAAAAGGAAGAGAGATCAAAATCAAAATCGACAGCCTGGCTGTGATTTGGTTCTTTGAAAGTATCAACAAAATTGACAAACCGCTAGCTAGATGAAGGGAGAAAGAAGACTGGAATAACTCAAATTAGAAAGGAAAGAAGGGATCTTGCAAGCAATGCCACAGAAATAAAAAGGTTTATAAGACAATGTTATCAACAATTGCATGCCAACAGATAGCATCACATAGAAGAAATGAATAAGTTCCTATAAAAACACAGCTTTCCAAGACTGAATCCTGATGAAATAGAAAATCTGAAAAGTCCAATGATTAGTATCACTAATTACAAAAAAACCCAAACCTCCCAACAATGAAAAGCCAGAGAGCTTCACTTTAGAATTCTACCAAACATTTGAAGAAGAATTAACACCCATCCTCCTCATATTCTTCGAAAAAATTGAAAGGGAGGTAACACTTCCACACTTACTCTGTGGGGCCTACATTACCCTGATACCAAAGCTAGACAAAGACGCAATAAAAAACTATTGACTAATACCTTGATAAATATTGATGCAAAAATCCTCAACAAAATAGTACCAAACTGAATTCAACAGTACAGTCATGTGTTGCTTAACAATAGGACCACATTCTGAGAAATGTATTGTTAGGTGACTTTTTGTGCAAACATTGTAGAGTGTATTTACATAACCCTAGGTGATATAGCCTACTACCAGCCTAGGCTATATTAGGTAGCCTGTTGTTCCTAGGCTGTGATCCTGTACAGCATTTGCTATGCAGAATATCTTAGGCAGTTGTAACACAATGTGAAGTATTTGGGTATCTAAACATAGAAAATGTTCAATAAAGATACAATATAACAGATAAAAAAGGGTGCACCTGGGCCAGGCTCAGTGGCTCATGCCTGTAATCCCAGCACTTTGGGAGGCCAAGGCAGGCGATTACCTGAGGTCAGGAGTTCGAGACCAGCCTGGCCAATGTGAAACTCCGTTTTTACTAAAAATACAGAAATTAGTTGGGCGTGGTGGCGGGCATCTGTAATCCCAGCTACTCGGGATGCTGAGGCAAGAGAATTGCTTTAACACGGGAGGCAGAGGTTGCAGTGAGCCAAGATCGCGCCACTGCACTCCAGCCTGGGCCACAGAGTGAGACTGTCTCAAAAGAAAAAAAAGGGAGGGGTGGGGGGTACACCTGAATAGAGCACTTAACCATGAATGGAGCTTGTACGACTAGAAGTTGCTCTGGGAGAGTCAGTGAGTGAGTAGTGAGTGAGTGTGAAAGTCTAAGACATGCAGGCTACAGTAAATTTTATAAACAGTATGCACTTAGACTACACTAAATTTAGAAAAAAAAATTTTTTCTTCATTAACAAATTAAGCTTAGCTTACTGTAATCTTTTTACTTTATAAACTTTTTAGTTTTTTTAACTTTTTGACTCTGTAATATTAACACTTCATTTAAAACATAAATACATTGTACAGGTATACAAAAATATGTATATTTTCTTTATATCCTGTAAGTTTTTTTCTATTTAAAAAATTTTTATTTTAGTTTTTACTTTCTCGACTATTCTGTTAAAAACTAAGACACAAACGCACATGTTAGCTTAGGCTTACACAGGGTCAGGATAATCAATATCAGTGTCTTCCACCTCTACATTTTGTTCCACTGGAAGGTCTTCGGGGCAATAACACACATATAGCTATCAGCTCCTATGATAACAATGCCTTTTCCTGGAAGACCTGCTGAAGGACCTGCCTGAGGCTGTTTTACATTTAACTTTTTTTTAAAAAAATAACTGTAAGGAGTACATCTAAAATAATGATAAAAAGTATAGTGTAGCAAATATGTAACCAGTAACATAGTCATTTATTATCTTTATCAAGTAGTATGTACTGTACATAACAAATGTATGTGTTATACTTTTATTCTACTGGCAGCACAGTAGTTTTTTTTTTACACCAGCATTGTCACAAACACATGAATAATTTACTGCCCTATGACATTATAACAGCTACAACATCACTAAGTGATAGGAATTTTTAGCTGCATTATAATCTCATGGGACCAGCATTGTTATATGTGGTCAGTTGACCGAAATGTTATGCAGTGCGTGACTGTGTAAGATTAAAAATTGGTAAAGAATGAAATTGAGTTGTTTCAGAGGGAACTCTTTCATATGGAACTAGACATATGTATGGAAGATACAGTACACAGAATTACCTGTAAAGTATTCCTGCCAGAAAACAAGTTACATAGCAACACAAGGAATCATGCAAAATAAATTAGGAATGTGAGATAGTTAACTGACCTAGACTCTTCAACAAGTTAATAGCGTAAATAATAGGGAGGTGGGAGGATGTAAAGTGTCCAAAACTTAGAGAGACTTAGGAGACACAAAAACCAAGAGCACCAAGCAGGCCTGATTATATCTTGTTTTTGTTCTGGTGGTGGGTTTTTTGTTTGTTTGTTTGTTTGGTAACAGCTTTATTGAGATATAATTCACATATACAAGTAGCATTTTAACTGTGCAATTCAGTGTTTTTTTTTCTTTATTCACAGAGTTGTGCAACCATCGCCTTAATCAGTTTTAGAACATTTTATCTCCTCTCTCCAAAAAAAAACCCAACCCATTAGCAGTTGCCCAAACCTTTATTCAGCACTTCCAGTCCTAGGCAACCACTAATCTGCTTTCTGTCTTTATAGATTTTCCTATCTGGACTTTTCATATAAACAGATTCGTACAATACGTAGTGTTCCGTGGCTGACTCATTTATTATGTTTTTGAAATTCACTCATGTTGTCACATGTGTCAATACTTCATTCCTTTTTATTACCAAATAATCTATAATATAGATATAACATTTTATTTACCCATATCACTTGATAGACTTTTGGGTTGTTTGCATTTGTTGGCTGTTATGAATGGTGTTGCTATGAACATTTATCCACAAATTTTTGTATGCACATATTTTTTCATTTTTCTTGACTACATACCTAAGAGTGGAACTGCTAAAGTGCCAGACTGTTTGTCAAAGTGGTTCAACAGTTGTTGAGTCCTGCCAGCAGTCTGCAGAAGTTTCGATTTCTTTATATCATGGTCAAAACATACGGATTTAAAATTTTTGTCATCTCAGTGAGTATGAAGTGGTCAATCATTATGGTTTTCATTCATGTTTCCCTGATGACTAATGTTGAACATCATTTCATGTGCTTGTTGGCCGTTTGGATATCTTTTATTGGTAAGTGTCTACTTAAATCCATTGAGCATTTTTAATTGAGTTATCTTTTTTATTACTGAGTTTTTTGTAGGAGGTTTTGTTTTTAAATATTCAAGATGGATGTACCTTATCCAATATGTGATTTGAAAATATTTTCTCCATTCAGTAGTTGTCTGTTGACTTTCTGGATAGTATCCTTTGAAGCATAAAGGTTTTAAATTTTTATAAAGTCCAATTTATGCTTTTTTCTTTGCTTGTATGTTTTGCATCATGTTTAAGAAAACTTTGCCAAATCCAGATCCACAAAGATTTATCTGTATGTTTTCTTTCAAGAGTTTAATACCTTTACCTCTTAACATGTTTAGGCCTTTGATGCATTTTGAGTTAGTTTTCATATATAGTGTTGGAGGAGTGTAACCTCATTTTTTACCTGTAGATACCCATTTGTTTCAGCATCATTAGTTGAAAAATCTATTCCTTCCCTATTGAATTGTTTCGGTACCATGTTGAAAATAAATACAGTGTAAATAAGAGGGTCCATATCTGGATTCTCAGTTCCATTCCATTGTTCTATTTGTCTATCCTTATGCCGGTGTCACACTCGATTCATTACTGTAGCTTTGTAGTAAATTTTGAAAACAAAGTGTGAATCTTCCAACTTTGTCCTTCTTTTCCATATATGTTCTGGGTCAATGGCATTTTCATATGAATTTCAGGGGCAGCCTTTCAATTTCTGCAAAGAAACCAGCTGGGATTTTGATTAAGGACTGCATTGAATCTGTGGATTAATTTGAGAAGTCTTGGCATCTTAACAACATTGTCTGCTAATCCATGAACAAGATGTCTTTCCATTTTATTTAGATCTTTTTAATTTCTTTCAGCTATATTTTCTCGTTTTCAGGGTATAAGTTTTGTACTTATTTTGAAAAGTTAGTTTCACAGTATTTTTATTCTTTTTGATGATGTCAAAAATAGAATCATGTTCTTAAATTCATTTTTGGATTGTACATTACTAATATATGGTTACACAATTAAAGGCAAGTCAAGACAGGGATACCACCTACTGTCACCTCTATTATTTAACATTATTCTAAAGCAAAATGATGAGAATTTGGAATGAAATGTTTAGCATTGAAAGGCAGACCTATTTTCATCACTTTAAAATAATAATGTAAAGGAAAGGAAACCAACCAAAAAATTATTAGAACTCATGATTTCAGTAAAGTATCCAGTTGCTAAAAAGCAAAAAATCTTCCAAATACATCAATATCTAATTTAAAGAAAAGAATGTATTTACAATACCAAATTTACAAAGCTAGTAAAATAAATAAAAGAGAAAATGTGCAAAACAAAATGTAGAAAACTACAAATTTTATTTAATGATATGAAAACTTAATTGGATAATCAAGGGATTTTGCATGTGCTGGATAGGAAGATTTATTATGACATCAGTTCTTACTAAATCAAAAAGTTAAATGTAACAATAAAAATGATTTTGGCTGGGCGCAGTGGCTCCCGCCTGTAATCCCAGCACTTTGGGAGGCCAAGGTGGGCGGATCACGAGGTCAGGAGACGGAGACTATCCTGGCTAACACAGTGAAACCCCGTCTCTACTAAAAATACAAAAAATTAGCCAGGCGTGGTGGCAGGAGCTTGTAGTCCCAGCTACTCGGGAGGCTGAGGCAGGAGAATGGCATGAACCCAGGAGGCGGAGCTTGCAGTGAGCTGAGATTGTCCCACTGCACTCCAGCCTGGGCGACAGAGAGAGAATATGTCTAAAAAAAAAAAAAAAAAATTAAAAAAATTTAAAGATTACATTACATACTTTTGGATCACTGTTCCTGAAAAAAATTCATCAGAGATTCCATTCCCATTCCCATATGTAAACATATATTAAAACCACAGTGATTAGAACATTGTGGTAGTAGTATAGGAGCACACAAATTGATGGAACAGAACGTGACCACAAAAACAGATCCAAACTTGTAAATAGATTTCACATATGATAAAGGTAGCATGTTAAATCAATGGAGGAAAATAGGAATTATTTCATAAATGTATCAAAACTACTGGTTTACCATTAAAAAAAAGAAGGTGGTTCTATACCATACTTCTTAACACCAAAATATATTGTAGATAAATATTTGGAGGTTATCGTGAAACCATAGAAAACCCAAAAATATAACATTAAATATTTATCAAATACGAGAACAAGGAAGGTTTTTAATGTTTACACAAATGGTAAAAATAACAAAATGAAGACTATAGATTTAATGACGTAAAAACATAAAACTTTTATATGTCAAAGAATACTACTTATCCTAAAATTGATATGGAATCTGAAGGCACAATGAAAAGCCAAAACAACCATAAAAAGAACAAAGTTAGAGAGAGCTCTCATACTTTCTGATTTCAAAACTTAGTACAAAGCTATAGTAATCTAAACTGTGATACTGACATAAGACATGTAGACCAATGGGATAGAATGGAGAGCCCAATATAAGCCCTCACATATAGTCCAATGATTTTTGACAAGCGTACGGAGACCACTCAGTGGAGGAAGGACAGTCTTTTCAACAAATGGTGTTGAAAAACTGGATACCCTCATGCAACAAAATGAGTATGAGCCTTACCTTATACGATATGTAAAATTTAACTCGGCTGGGCGTGGTGGTTCACATTTGTAATTCCAGCACTTTGGGAGGCTGAGGTGGACAGATCACCAGGTCAGGAGTTCGAGACCAGCCTGGCCAACATAGTGAAACCCTATCTGTACTAAAAATACCAAAAATTAGCCAGTCATGGTGGCAGGCACCTGTAATCCCAGGTACTCGAGATGCTGAGGCAGGAGAATTGCTTGAACCCAGGAGGTGGAGGTTGCAGTGAGCCGAGATCACGCCATTGCACTCCAGCCCAGGTGACAGTGTGAGACTCCCTCTCAAAAAGAAAAAAATTTAACTCAAAATGGGTCAAAGGCTTAAATGTAAGAATTAAAACTATAAAACTCTTAGAAGAAGACACAGGAAAATCTTCATGATATTAGATTTGGCAGTGATTATATGGCTAAGACATCAAAAGCACAAGCAATAAAAGCAAAAATAAACTGAACTTCATCAAAATTAAAAATGTTTGTGCATCAACAGATTGAAATGGTAATCTCCAGAATGGGAGGAAATATTAGCAAATTGTGTATCTGACAAGCGATTGCTACCCACAATATATAAGGAACTCCTTCAACTCAGCAAAAAACAAAACCAAAAAGACCCTATTTTTAAAAAAGCAAGCAAAGAACCTAAATAGCTATTTCTCCAAAGATAAAGAAATGGCCCCTAAGCTCATAAAAAGATGCTTAACATCACTACTCTCTAAGGAAATACAAAACCACAGTAAGATACCACTTAACACCTATTAGAATGTTTATTTAAAAAATAAACATGGTGGCCCATGCCTGTAATGCCAGCACTTTGGGAGGCCAAGGCAGGCGGGTCACTTGAGGTCAGGAGCTTGAGACCAGCCTGGCCAACATGGGGGAACCCCATCTTTACTAAAAATATAAAAATTAGCCCAGTGTGGTGATGCACACCTGTAGTCCCAGCTACTTGGGAGGCTGAGGCATGGGAATCGCTTGAACCTGGGAGGCAGAGGTTGCAGTGAGCCAAGATCGTGCCACCACACTACAGCCTGGGAGACAAATTGAGACTGTGTCAATACATACATATGTACATATATACATACGTACATACAAGTGTTGGCAAGGATGTCAGAAAGTGGAATCCTTGTTTACTGGTGATAGGAATGTAAAATGCAGCTGCTGTGGAAGACAGTATGGTGATTCTTCAAAAACTTAAAACATAGAATTACCTTATGCAGTTTTACTTCTGGATATATATTCAAAATAATTGAAAGCAGAGGCTTGAACAGATATTTAAACACCAAGTTTATAGCAAGATTATATATAATAAAAAGAAGGTGGACACAAGGTAAATGCTCATCCATGGATGAGTGGATAAACAAGATGTGGTATATACATACACAAGACTATTATTCAGGCATGAAATTGACACATGCTACAGCATGAATGAACCCTGAAGCTATTGTAAATGAAATAAGCTAGACACCAGATGACAAATATGAGATGATTCTGCTTCCGTGCATGCAGTACCTAGAATAGTCAAATTTATAGAGACAAAGTAGAATGGTGGTTACCAAGGGCTGGGGGAAGAGAATGGAGAGTTATTATTTAATGGATACAGAGTTTCATTTTGGCATTTTGCAAAAGTTTTGGGGATGGATAGTGATGATGGTTACACAACAGTGTGATTACACTTAATGCCATTGGTAAATTTTAAGTTATGTATATTTTACCATAATAAAGATTTTCCAACAAAGTGTCAATTAGGATACATTTTCACCAGGATTCTGCATTCTAAGACAGGCCACCCTAAATTTTAGTGTACTCACTTTGCAGAAGTTAGGCAATTTGACAGAAACCAAAGGCATGGCTCACGCCTGTAATCCCAGCACTTTGGGAGGCCGAGGCGGGCAGATCACCTGATGTCAGGAGTTCAAGTCCAACCTGGCCAATGTGGTGAAACTCTGTCTCTACTAAAAAATAGAAAAACTAGCTGGGTGTTGTGGTGGGCACATGTAATCCCAGCTACTTGGGAGGCTGAGGCAAGAGAGTCGCTTGAACCCAGGAGGCAGAGGTTGCAGTGATCTGAGATCACGCCATTGCACTCCAGCCTGGGCAACAAGAGCAAAACTCCGTCTCAAATAAAAAACAAAAAAAAAAACCAAAGCTTGGGAAGGAAGCCAGAAAGTGTTCTTCATTGTGACATTTTGGCCAGGACAACTTGGCCAGGTGCGGTGGCTCACGCCTGTAGTCCCAGCACTTTGGGATGCCGAGGCAGGCAGATCACTTGAGGCCAGGAGTTCAAGACCAGCCTGACCAACATGGAGAAACTCTGTCTCTACTGAAAATACAAAAATTAGCCAGGCATGGTGGTGCATAACTGTAATCCCAGCTACTCATGGGGCTGAGGCACCAGAATCGCTTAAACCCCGGAGGCAGAAGTTTCAGTGAGCCAAGATCATGCTGCTTACTGCACTCCAGCCTGAGTTATAGAGCGGGACTCTGTCTCAAAAAAAAAGAAAAAAAATCTGACAATGTCAGATCATCACTGTAAGAAAGCAAAAGGCAATGTATCTGATGTAAATACACCTGATGATCTTAAACGTTGAAAGGACAAATTGTAAAAAGTGATTTTGCAAAGAGTTCACAGTTCCCTACTACTGCCACCCTATGAATGAGGACCATTGTTACTTTTTTAGTAGGACAAAATATGCCAAATCTTTTGAAACATTCAAAAGATAAGAAAAAGTACTTTTTTATTATGTTTGGATTAAGAATATAAATACTGTCGGAAGAGGCTTGGTATTTAGAGGGGATAAAGATATAAATGAAGTGAAATTTTTTCATGAAAATATGAAATGGCTAGGAAAAGACAGTGTTTGCTGTGAAGAAACTGAAAGTCAGATATCTAAGAGAAACTTGACTTTCCAATTTTAGCACACATCAGAATCTCTTGCAGGACTTGTTAAAACTCAGGTTCCTAGGTTCTATCCCTGGAATCTGATTTAGTAGATCTGATGTGGCACAGAATCTTCCTTCCTTCCTTCCTTCCTTCCTTCCTTCCTTCCGTCCTTCCTGTTGAAACGAAGTTTCACTCTTGTTGCCCAGGCTGGAGCGCAATGGCATGATCTCGGCCCACTGCAACTACTGCCTCCTGGGTTCAAGCGATTCTCCTGCCTCAGCCTCCCGAGTAGCTGGGATTGCAGGCACTGGCCACCATGCCTGGCTAATTTTTGTATATTTAGTAGAGATGGGGTTTCACCATGTTGACCAGGCTGGTCTTGAACTTCTGACCTCAGGTGATCCACCCTCCTCGGCCTCCCGAAGTGCTGGGATTACAAGCGTGAGCCACCACGCACAGCTTTTTTTCTCTTTTTTGAAATGGAGTCTCACTCTGTCGCCCAGGCTGGAGTGCAGTGCTGCCATCTCAGCTCCCTTCAACCTCCGCCTCCTGGGTTCAAGCAGTTCTTCTGCCTCAGCCTCCCTAGTAGCTGGGATTACAGGTGTACGCCATCACACCTGGCTAATTTTTATATTAGTAGAGACGGGGTTTTACCATGTTGGCCTGGCTGGTCTCAAACTCCTGACCTCAAGTGATCTGCCTGCCTCAGCCTCCCAAAGTGCTGAGATTACAGGCGTGACCCACCACACCTGGCCAGAATTTGTATTTCTTTCTTTTTTTTTTTTTTTTTTTTGAGACAGAGTTTCACTCTTGTTGCCCAGGCTGGAGTGCAATGGTGTGATCTCGGCTCACCGCAACCTCTGCCTCCCAAGTTCAAGCGATTCTCCTGCCTCGGCCTCCCAAGTAGCTGGGATTACAGGCATGCGCCACCACACCCAGCTAATTTTGTATTTTTAGTAGAGACGGGGTTTCTCCTTGTTGGTCAGGCTGGTCTGGAACTCCTGACCCAGAATTTGTATTTCCAACATGTTCCCAAGTGATGCTCTTTCTGTAGTTTTAGGGACCACAATTTGAGAACCACTGGTATAGGTAAATTATATCCTAAGATAAGAAAATATATGGAAAAGCCTTGTAGAAGTGACTGCTAAAAGTTAAGCTTTGAAGGATGAGTAGGTTTTTGTGAGACAGACACCTAGTAGTTGAAGGAGGAGACACGAGCTGCCTTAGTCGTGACGTGTATCTATTACAGGGTATGGGTGAGGTATGATGTGAGGAAAGTTGCAGTGAGCTGGAAGTGGAGTCACCTGCTGTTCTAGAACTATACTGGCAAGTTTGAATGTCATCCCACAGATAAGAGGGAGACAGGAAATGGTTTTAAGCAAGGGATCTATATTTTACCATGGAGACACCTTAAATGCACATTGCTCAGTGAAAGAAGCCAGCCTGAAAAGGCTACATACTATATGATTCCAACTATAATGACATTTTGGAAAAAGCAAAAACTGGAGTAAAGAGATCAGTAGCTGCCAGGGGTTCTGAGAAAGAGGAGCAGAGCACAGGCAATGTTTAGGACAGTGAAATTATTTCCTGTGATACATGGTGGATACATGTCATTATATGTTGTCAAAATCTGTAGACTATACAACAGAGTGAATCCTAATGTAAACTATAGACTTTAGTTAATCATAGTATGTCAGTGTTAACAACTGTAACAAATGTACCACACTGGTAAAGATGTTAATAATGGAAGGTACTGGCAGGTGGGAGTAGGACATGGGGCATGTAAACATTCTCAACTTCCTGCTCAGTACACTCAGAAACCTAAAACTGCTCTTTAAAAACAAGATCTGTTAGTTTAAAAGTAAACAGGAAGTAGAGATAGAGTAGGCAGGTTTTCCAAGAGCTTGGCAGGAACCTCAAAGAAGACAATGCCAGATGAATTTAGTGAAGTCTGGTGTTTCTTAAGCTATGGGAATGTTTATAGTCCATGACAAAGGTCAGCAAACCCTTTTTTGTAAAAGGACAAATGGTAAATATTTTAGGTTTTGCAGGCCAAAAAGCAAAGTGAAAGATACCAGTACTTACATAATAAGAAACGAAACAAATTTTCACAAATTTTTTTGTTGACAAAATCAAAATTTAATGTGGAGTAAACTTTTTTTTTTTTTTTTTTTGAGACGGAGTCTTGCTTTGTCGCCCAGGCTGGAGTGCAGTGGCGTGATCTCGGCTCACTGCAAGCTCTGCCTCCAAGGTTCACGCCATTCTCCTGCCTCAGCCTCCCGAGTAGCTGGGACTACAGGCGCCCGCTACCACGCCCGGCTAATTTTTTTTTTTTTTTTTTTTTTTTGGTATTTTTAGTAGAGACAGGGTTTCACTGTGTTAGCCAGGATGGTCTCTATCTCCTGATCTCATGATCCGCCTGCCTCGGCCTCCCAAAGTGCTGGGATTACAGGCGTGAGCCACCGTGCCCAGCCAATGTGGAGTAAACTTTTTGCAGTAGATCGAATAATAAGGAAACTAGAATT
Source organism: Homo sapiens (assembly GCF_000001405.40). Taxonomy (NCBI): domain Eukaryota; kingdom Metazoa; phylum Chordata; class Mammalia; order Primates; family Hominidae; genus Homo; species Homo sapiens. The sequence continues at coordinate 108,834,097 of NC_000002.12, forward strand.
TGAGGGTATCATTTTACTTAATTGGGGTTCCAAGTGTTTCCTGTCATCAGAATCAATTGCATATTTTTATCTGTTAATGCTGATCTGTAATGAGAGTTTACATATTTCATCTTTGAAATTTTTTTTTTTTTTTTGAGACAGAGTCTCGCTCTGTCACACGAGCTGGAGTGCAGTGGCGCAATCTCGGCTCACTGCAACCTCTGCTTCCCAAGTTCAAGCAATTCTCTTGCCTCAGCCTCCCAAGTAGCTGGGATTGCAGGTGCCCACCACTCCCAGCTAATTTTTGCATTTTTAATAGAGACAGATGGGGGTTTCACCATGTTGGCCAGGCTGGTATTGAACAGCTGACCTTAGGTGATCCACACGCCTTGGCCTCCCAAAGTGCTGGGATTACAGGCATGAGCCACCATGCCTGGCCTGAAAATGTCTTTTTATACACTAAGTATTGTCAAATAGTTGACATCAATCCATGAGCATATGATTTTGTTTCATTGTGGTAAAATATGCATAGCTTAATATTTATCATTTTAGCCATTTATAAATGTACAATTTAGTGGCATTAAGTATATTCCCAATGCTGTACAACCATCATCGCTATCAATTTCAAGAATTTTTCATTATCTGAAACAATTCTGTACCCGTTTAACAATATCTTCCCATTCCTCCCTCCCCTGTAGACCTTGGTAGTCTCTCGTCTACTTTCTATCTCTATGAATTTGCATATTCTAAGTATCTCATGTAAGTGGCACCACAGACAGGCATATGACTTTGTCACTTGAAAAGCATTTACAGAATTCTATTTGATTCTTCTCTTGATATTTCTTTTTGTATATCACTATTGGAGATTAATCACTTCTAATTGAAGGTCAGTTGGCAGCTCTTCAATTGAAGTCAAATGGATCTTGAAATAAGCAGATTGTTTTGCACTTGCATTGAGATTCAAATAATGCTGCTAGAACTGTAGTTTGGAGTCAGAAAACATATCTGCTGCAAATCTGTGTTGGAATGGAGATCTCATCTCTTTTTAAAATATCTGACAACAAAGGAAGTTTATGCAGCTTAACATTATGATTCAAACATTAGTTGTTGAAATGACTACTGTAGTGTAAGTTTCATATATAGGCACTGTTTTGACTTGTAATTTCAGGTTGACTCTAGTAAGAAAAATGAACAATGTGCAGCAAAAGGTAATTTCCAAAACTGTTCAATGATTGAGTGCTGTTCTTATTCAGAAAATATTCATCTCAGCCGTGAGCTCAAAAATTAAAAAAAATTCATTGCCATGTGTTAGGGCCAGTAAGGATATTAATCCTCTATTTCTAATAAAAAAATTCATGGAACTGTTGATGGTTAAGTCCCCCAGAGCAAATGAAATTCACCACTGATAACAGCGATATGATAACACATGATATATTCAAATATTTTTCACAAAGTATTGGCTTACAGATGGTATAATGAATAACCATAGTTTAAATACCTTACATATCACAAGATTTGTAAATCTATTCAAGTAAGTCTTTTTCTGGTCCACCCATATAATTTCTCAAACTGTGACGAAAACATAAAAAATTTATTATCTTAATAATTTTTAAGTATACAGTTCATTAGTATATTCACATTGTCCTTCAACAGCTCTCCAGAAATATTTTATCTTGCAAAACTAAAACTCAGTACCAATTGTCTCTGTTTTGTGCTGTTACAACAGAATATCTGAGACTGCACAATCTGTAAACAACAGAAATTTATTTCTCACAGTCCTGGCAGCTGGATGTCCAAGCATCTGATAGGGGCTTTCTTGCTGCATCCTCACATGGCACAGGGCAGAAGAGCAAAAACAGGATGAACGTTGTGTGCCCACAGGGTGGAAGAGCAGGAGAAAGGGAGCCCAGTCCCACACGCCTTTATTATAATGCCGTTAATCCATTCATTAGGGCAGAGCTCTCCTGACGTAAACACTTCCCAGTAGATCCTCACCTCTCAACACTGATGTTTTGGGCATTAAGTTTCCAACACATAAATTTTGAGGAATATATTCAAACCATAGCGCTTATTAAATAACAACTCCCCATTTCACCTACCCCCGCCCCTGATGACCACCATTCAATTTTCTGCTTCAATGAATTTGACATTAGATTTCTCATATGGATGGAATCATAATAGTATTTGCCTTTTTGTGACTGGCTTATTTCACTTAGCATAATATCCATAAGGTTCGTCCATGTTGTAGCATGTGACAGGATTTCCTTCCTTTCTAAGGTGGAACAATATTTGTTTATGCATGAATACCACATATTGCTTATCCATTCATTGATAGATATTTGGGCAGCTACCATCTCATGGCTATTGTGAATAGTGCTGATATGAATATGGACTTGCAAATATCCTTTCAAGACCCTGTTTTCAATCCCTTTGGACATATACCCAGAAGTGGGATTGCTAGATCATTTGATAGTTCTATTTTCAATTTTTGAAGAATTGCTTTACTGTTCACCATAGTAAATTAATGCTTTAGGGATTTTGGTAGAGATGACATTGAATCTGTAGATCGCTTTGGGTAGCATGGACACCTTGATAATACCATGTTTTCTAACCCATGAACATGAAATTTCATTCTATTTATTTGTGTCTTTTAATTTTTTTCATCACTGTTTTGTGGTTTTTAGTGTATAAGTTTTTTACCTCCTTGCTTAGATTTATTCCTAAGTATTTTCATTCATTTTGATGCTATTTGTAAGTGGAACTGTTTTCCTAATTTCCTGTTTGGATTGTTCATTGTTAGTGTATGGAAACACAAGTGATTTTTAGTATTGATTTTGTATTCAGCAACTTTGCTGAATTTATGTATTCTTTTTTTTTTTAATTGTGGAATCTTTAGGACTTTCGACATATAAGGTCATGCCATCTGAGAAGAGAGATGATTTTACTTCTCCAATTTGGATACTTTTTATTTCTTTTTCTTGCCCAGTTTCACTGGCTGGTACTATAGTGAACAGAAGTGGTGAGGGTGTGCTTGTCTTGTTCCTGATTTTGGAGGAAAGGCTTTCATTCTTTTACCTTCAGAGTGTAATCTGTGGGCTTTTTATATATAGCCTTTATTATATCGAGGTGGTTTCCCTCTATTAAGTTTGTTGAGTATTTTTATCATGAAAGGGCGTTGAATCTTGTTCAGTGCTTTTTCTTTGTCAATTGAAATAATCGTGTGGGTTTTGTCCTTCATTTTGTTAAAATGGTATATTACACCAGTTTTTAAAAATGTTGAACCGTCCTTGCATTGCAAGAATTAATCTCACTTAGTCATGGCGTATAATCCCTTTTAATATACCGCCATGCACTGTATAATGATGTTTAAGACAATGGTAGACCGTATATATGATGGTGGTCCCATAATATTATAATGGAGCAAAGAAAAAAAGAATATAAAAAGAAAACAGATTATAATGGAGCTGAAAATTTCCTGTCACTTTGTGACATCATAGCTGTCATAATATTGTAGCAGAACACATTACTCACATGTTTGTGGTGATGCTGACGTAAACAAACCTGTGCTGCCAGTTACATAAAAGAATAGCACACACAGCTATGTAGAGTACATAATACTTGATCATAAACAACCATGTTACTGGTTTATGTATTTACTATTTATTGTTATTTTAGAGTGTATCTCTGTCATTAACTGATGCATGTCTTTATTAAAAAGTTGGGGGGAGAAGTTTATATAAAATTTTACTGAGATTATGACTGTAAGAGAGTATATGGCTAGTAAATTTTATTCCATAAAAATACTATTTAGAGATTTCTCAACTTATGAGGTGTCTATAATTTTTTCGATTTTTTTTTTTTTTAAAGACACCAGAGTGGTCAGATGGTAGGAAGACAGGAGTCAAGGGGAAAGCACTGGGCAGACCCTTTATTGTGGTTTCCACATGAAAGGCAATGCAGGGCAGGGTGAATAAATAGGATTGGTTAGTTTGAATAATTTTGGCAGTACTAAGCTCTAGGGGTGGTCCCTAGTGACTCTGGTAAGATTACGGCAGAGAATATTGCCTCCTGGGATACAAGGGCCAGATAGAAGGGGTCTGGCTCTGAATTGGTTAATTTGTCTATCAGAGGCATACTCTAGGCCGAGCACTTTGCTGTATCTAAGAATTGGCTGGTCCAGGGAGGGGCAATCTCTCCCCAACTGGAAAGGTTTTTTAAGACGTCCAAAACATCATAATATACAGAAAATTTTACAAAATACATATATGTATATACACACAATACACTCATAATCATTAGTCCGGAGAATCTTTATACAGTTGACATAACCATTTTCCTGATTGCTATACAATTATTTCCAGGTTTTACTCTTATAAACAGTGTAGCAATAAATATCTTTGTACATGGCTTTTGGAGGGATCTTCTTAAATCGATTTTCTTAGGCTGGTATCTCAGAAGTGGGAGTATTCTGTTAGAGCCTTAGAATATGTCTTTATGGTCCTGAAATCATTTAGCAAAATGATATACTTTTGAAGCAAAATTCATAGACATCCTTAAACAGTTAAATGTTTTTATAAATTAGCATATTAAGATATGCATGCAATGTAGACATATAAACAAGTAAATAGTACTCCAGTTTCTGAAATCCAGCATTTTAAAAAATCCTTTCATATATCTTTTTCAGTATAAATTTATATAGATATAGTTTATATAAATGAGATTTTTATTCCATTTGCTTCCTTGTAAACACCTTTTTTCACCCCAGAATATGCCATGGCAATAAATATAAATCTAGGTTATCATTTTTAATGGTTACATATATACTATAAACTTATTTAATCATTTAAGGTTCATAGAGTATCTTTGTGTAGGTTAATCTCCTTAAACTAGATGTGCTGTTATTGCTGGATGAAAGAAAATGCATATATAAGAACTAAAATACATATTGCCAAATTGTATTGCATATAGTTTTAAAGTGAAGGTTTTTTGTTGGAGAACTCTTTTGTTTTGTTTTGTTTTTAAAGATAATTTTGGAAAATTGTGGTAATTGATTTAAGACATTTAAAAATACTGTGCCTTTGTATTTATTTTCCATCATTTTATCTTTAGCTTTTGCCTCTAATGACAGAGCAGCTACAGTGGATGCCATTTGTGAATATCAAACTTCACGAGCCTTTTGTAAAATTTATATATTGGTCCCTAAGGCAGCTAGATGCTGGAGCACAGGTAATTGGTTAATAGGAATTTATCTATAAGTAATACTCCACCTAATATTACTTCTTGATCTTGTTTCACAATATCTGTTTTGAATATATTCTCTGTATTTCAGAATAATCTTCCCTATCTATGTCTTGCTGGGATTTTGATAGGAATTGTGTTAAACCTGTATATTAATTTGAGAATAATTGACATCTTTCCTTTGTTGAGTCTTACAATTTATGAACATAAAATGTCTGTCCACTTATTTAGAACTTTGATTTATCAGTGTTGCATAGTTTTCAGCATAAAATTGCTGCATTCTTGTTTACCTTTTTGGCTGAGTATTTAAATTTTTTGAGCAATTTTAGTTGGTATTGTCTTTTTACTGTTGATGTTTACATGTTCATTGATAATATATAGAAGTAAAATTGTTTTTTGTTTATTTTGTATCCTGTGACCCTGAGCTTACTAGTTTTAGGAGTTTTCTTGAAGATTCCTCAGGATTTTTACATAGAAAATCATGTTATCTGCAAATGAAAACAGTGTTGTGTTTTTTTTTTCTTTTTGATATGTATGCCTTTAATTTCCTTTTCCTACCTTATTGCATTAGCTAGAGTTTCCAGCAGTATGTCGAATATGATGGTGAGAGTAGTCATCCTTGCCTTGTTTCTCCTCTTAGGAGGAAAATTCATTCTGCCATTACTAAGTATAATATTAGCTGTAGTATTTTCATAGATACTTTCAATCAAGTTCCCCTGTATTCCTATTTTTCTGAGTTTTTTAAAAATCATGAATCGTGTTGAATTTTTTTAGATACTTTTTCTGCATTGATTGATACATGTTCTTTTTCATCTTTAACTTGTTAATATGAATTACATTGACTTTGAAATATTAAAGTCTCTGAAATAAAACCCACTTGGTTGTGGTGTTTAATTCTTTTTATATGTTTTTATATTAACAAATTCTATTTGCTAATATTTTGTTAAGGACTTTTGTTTCTATATTCATGAGAAATATTTGTCTATAGTTTTGAACTCTCTTTGGTTTTGTATCAGGGCAATATTAGGTTCATAAAATGAATTGGGAAGGGTCTTATCCTTTATATTTTCTGGGAGAAATTATGTAGACTAAGTGTTCATTCTTTAAACATTTGGTAGAATTCTCCAGTGAAACTATGTGGATGAGATTTCTTTTGGGGGAGGTTTTAAATTATGAATTTAAGTTCTTTAATAGTTACAGGGCTGTTCTAGTTATGTAATTCATATCGATGATTTGTAGTAGTTTGTGCTTTTTGAGGGACTGAACCATTCAAATGTATGCACATTTATGTGTGTAGAGTTTTTCATAGTATTCTCTTATCCTTTTGATGTTTTCAGTATCTGTAGTGGTAGCATTATTTCCTTCTTGATATGGATAATTTGTGTTTTCTTTCTTTAGTTCATCTCTTTTGCTAGAAGTTTCTCTGTTTCTCCATTTTATTGATCTTTCAAAGGATCATCTCTTTGTTTCATTTCTTTTTTTCTTTTTTTCTTTTTTTCTTTTTATTTTTTTGAGACAGAGCCTCACTCACTCTCTTACCTAGGCTGGAATTCACTGGCACAGTCTCGGCTCATTGCAACCTCCACCTCCCAGGCTCAAGTGATTCTCCTGCATCAGCCTCCCAAGTAGCTGGGATTACAGATGCCCACCACCACACCTGGCTAATTTTTGTGTTTTTTGTGTGTGTGTTTTTTGTTTGTTTGTTTGTTTGTTTGTTTGTTTTTTAGTAGGGATGGGGTTTCACCATGTTGACCTCAAGTGATCTGCCCACTTCGGCCTCCCAAAGTACTGGGATTACAGGTGTGAGCCACCGTGTCTGGCTCAACCCTTGAGTTCTTTAGAAGTTTGTTGTGTTTCTGTTACTCTGTTTTTCTAGTTTAGTTGTATTGTTGAGGTTGTTTTATGGCTGAGAATATGTATTCTGTTGTTTGGTAGAGTGTTGCATAAATGTCAATTTGATCCTGTTGGTTGATGGTGTTTGTGAGTTGTTCTATATCCTTGCTGATACTTTGTCCTGTTCTATCAAGTGTGGAGAGATAGATGGATGTTGAAGTCTCTGGCTATAATTGTAGATTTATATGTTATAACCTTCATCTGTTTTGCCTCACATATTTTGTAACTGTGTTCTTGTAAATTTATGATTATGTCTTGGTGGATTTGCCCTTTTTATCATTTTATAATGTCCTTCTCTATCTCTGAACATTTGCATTGCCTCTGAAATCTCTATCTGATACTAATATAGAGACTTCTGGCTTCATTTGATTCATGTTCTAAAAATATATCTTTTCCCAGTCTTTTTCTTTTGACCTGCTTATATCTAGAATGAGTTTTTTTAATTAAATAGCATACAGCTGCATTTAGAAAAAATAAACTTTGTCAAGCTCTGTTTTAATTGGTGTTTTAGGCCATTTACATGTAATGTACTTATTGATATGTTAGGGCTTAAGCTGTAACTTTATTTTTTTAACTACTGGGTGGTTCTTTTTGTTTCTCTTTTTCATTTCTTTGGTTCATTTTTCTGCTTTCTTATGGGTTACTTGAACATTTTTTAGAATTTTATTTTCCTTTATAGTGTATTGAGTGTATCTCTTTGTATAACTTTTCTAATAGTTCTTCTTGGTATTACATTTGTTTTAATTTAGGATCTTTAAGATGGAGAGTACCCCTCCAATGATTAGAAGTCATAGAAGTTGGAAGTAAAGGGTTTTTCTTGTTTGTTTGTTTGTTTGTTTTTGAGACAGAGTCTCACTCTGTTGCTCAGGCAGGAGTGCAGTGATGATCATAGATCACTGCAGCCTCCAGCTCCTGGGCTCAAGCAATCCTTCTGCCTCAGCCTCCTGTGTAGCTAGGATTACAGACGTTCGCCACCACACCTGGCTAATTAAAAAGTTTTTTTTTTTTTTTTGATAGAGGCATTGTCTTGCTTTGTTGCCCAGGCTGGTCTCTAACTCTTGGCCTCAAGTGATCCTCCTGCCTTGGCTTCCCAAATTGTTGGAATTACAGACGTGAGCCAACCCATCTGGCTGAAATAAAGAATTTATTACTTTTAGGTCCTGGGAGTTACATGGCAAACCTGGAGTCCACATACTTGGAAGTCAGGAAGCACAGGCAGGGAGAGAGAGCGAGAGAGAGAGAAAGGGACCTGTGGGCAAGTGCCCTTATTGGAGTCCAGGATGTTACCCATACAGGTTTTTCACAGGCTGTTTTGTTTGTTGAGTTTAAAGCAAGCAGACATGAGTTCTAGGAGGTAGTCACTGTGGCATGTTCACACAGTCCGTAGTGAGGTGTGAGGGTCTGTGAGACAAGTTGTGCGGGCTTCATCTAGCTATTCCATAGGGAAGTGGTCATTAGGGAGGAGTTGTCTAAGGCAGATATCTGAATCAAACATATTTAGGAACTGGGGGAGGGGATGGGGATTTAAAACTGGAAACAGTGTTAAAAGTGACTGATCCCTGCTTCTAGGGTGAAAAAGTCCAACTTACATTTAAAATGAATGCCAGGGCAACATCAAATTATAAGCATTCACTACAACATTATGTAGAACTTATTCAGTCTATTGGTATGGTCATTTTACCGGTTTGAATAAAGCACAGAAGCTTTACTTCCCTTTTTATCCCTTAACCTTTTCTGTATACGCTTAGAACCACATTAGAGAATGTTACCATTTTTGCTTCAACCGTCAAACAGAATTTATAGAACTCAAGAAGAGAAGGAAAGTTTATTGTATTTACCCATATTTTTGTTTACTATGTTCTTCTCTCCTTCCAGATGTGCCACAGTTCCCTCTTTCATTATATCCTATCTATCTGTTTAGAGGACTTCTTTATCTGTTCTTTAGAGTAGTTATTTTTCTTTTTCTTTTGAGGCAGGGTCTCACTCTGCTGCCCAGGCTAGAGTGCAGTGGCATGATCTTGGCTCACTGCAACCTCCGTCTGCTGGGTTCAAACCATGCTCCTGCCTCACCCTCCCAAGTAGCTGGGATTACAGGCGCCCACCACCATGCCTGTCTACTTTTTGTATTTTTAGTAGAGATGGGGTTTCGCCATGTTGGCCAGGCTGGTCTCGAACTCCTGACCTCAAGTGATCCACCTGCCGTGGCCTCCCAAAGTGCTGGGATTACAGGCATAAGCCACCGCACCTGGCCTAGAGTAGGTTTGCTGATGACACAAACTCTTAGTTTTTCTTAACATATTTTGATTTCCTTTCAATTACTGAAGGATATTTTCACTGGGTATCAGATTCTAGTGTGACAGTTCTTTACTTTCAGTACTTGAAAAATGTGCCAATTCTTTCTGCCCTCCATGGTTTCTGATAAGAAATCTGTCATTTGAGTTATTTTCCCCATATATGTAAGGTGTCATTTCTCTCACACACATTTGTCTTTAGTTTTTATAAGTTTGACTATGATGGGTCTTGGTGTTGATCTCTTTATTTTAGCCTGTTTGGTGTTTGTTTAGTTTCTTCAGTCTCTGGGCACGTTTTTTGCCAAGTCCAGGAAGTTTTCAGTCATTATTTCTTCAAGTTCATGTTTTGTGTGTGTGTGTGTGTGTGTGTGTGTGTGTGTGTTTCTTTCTTTTTTTTTTTTTTTTTTTTTTGAGACAGGGTCTTGCTCTGTTGCCCAGGCTGGAGTTCAGTGGCACAATCACGGCTCACTGCAGCCTCACCCTCCTGGGCTCAAGCTGGGACCACGGTCATGTACTACCTTACCTGGTTAATTTTTTTTTGTTTTGTAGAGATAGGGTCTCCCTATGTTGCCCAGGCTGGTCTTGAACTCCCAGGCTCAAGCGATCTTCCATCTTGGCCTCCCAAAGTGCCGGGAGTGCAACCGTGAGCCACCGCCCCCAGTTTCTTCAAGTGCTTTTTCAGCCCTACCTGATTTTTCCTTTCCTGGACTCTAATGACGTGATTTTAGATGTTTTGCTATTCCTTGAAGTTCTGGTGGTTGTTGTTATTTTTCCAGGTTGTTTGCAGTTGTTCAGGTTGGGTGTTTTCTGTTGTTTTATTTTCCAGTTATTCTTTCCTCCATCCTCTCCATTCTGTTATTGAGACTGTTATTGTATTTCCAGTTCTGAAATATTCACTTGGTTCTTTTTCTATGTCTTCTTTGGTAAGACTTTCTGTGTCTTCGATGAGATTTTCTAAAAGCGTATGCAGGTGTTCCTTTTGTCATGGCTACTTTAGAATCTTTGTCAGACAATTCTAACATTCTGTCCTGTCGGTGTTGGCAGCTGTTGATTGTCTTTTCTTCATTCAGTTTGAAATCTTTCTGGTCCTTGGAATGGTGGGTGATTTTAAATTGAAAACTAGACATTTTGGGTCTAGATTTGTTTCAGCAAAAGTTTTAACATCCTTAGGTGAAGCTTCAGCAACAACCCAGAGTGCTATTTTTGGAGTTTTTTCTCTTTTCCTTCAATTAAAGGCAAATACTATCCACATTTTTTTTTTTTTTTTTGAGACAGAGTCTTGCTCTGTCATCCAGGCTGGAGAGCAGTGGCACGATCTCGGCTCACTGCAACCTCCGACTCCCAGGTTCAAGCGATTCTCCTGCCTCACCCTCCTGAATAGCTGAGATTACAGGTGCACGCCACCAAGCCCAGTTAATTTTTGTATTTTTAGTAGAGACGGGGTTTCACCATGTTGGCCAGAATGGTCTTGATATCCTGACCTTGTGATCCGCCTGCCTTGGCTTCCCAAAGTGCTGGGATTACAGGCGTGAGCCACTGTGCCTGGCCCACATTTTTTTTTCAAGTTTATTTTTTCATTATAAAAGTGTAGTAGTAAAGCATTAGAGATAATTTTAAAAACAAAAAAAGTTTACCTTAATCCTGTCATTTAACACACTTATTGTAAGTAGAGTTTTGAACATTTTTTTCTATTTTTTACACAAAGGTTTAAAAACATGTATTTTTTTTCTAATAATATAAAAATTGTACTGACAATATATTTAAATTAGATTGCACTGCTTGTGTGTCTGACCACTCAACCATTTGGCCTTTGTCACCTGTAAAACCTCAATAGATTTGTTTTTAATTTTAGATGCAGAAATTTAAAAGCTAAAACTTATCCACATTGCAGGATCAATACTGAGTTAGGAACCAGTTGGTCACAAATTTTCATGCAGATAGGGGAAACTGCTATAAAAACTCAGTCACATGAGATTGGAGAATTGGGTCATAATAAAGGAAATTTTAAGTTTTTACCAAATCTGGTTTAAGCATTCTGATCTGCAACAGTTTGAAATGCTTTCCTTTCATTTGATTTTTTTTTTTTTTTTTTGAGATGGAGTCTCGCTCTGTCACCCAGGCTGGAGTGCAGTGGTGCGACCTCGGCTCACTGCAAGCTCCGCCTCCCGTGTTCACACCATTCTCCTGTCTCAGCCTCCCAAGTAGCTGGGACTATGGGCACCCGCCACCACGCCTGGCTATTTTTTTGTATTTTTAGTAGAGATGGGGTTTCACCATGTTAGCCAGGATGGTCTCGATCTCCTGACCTCATGATCTGCCTGCCTCGGCGTCCCAAAGTGTTGGGATTACAGGCGTGAGCCACCGCGCCCAGCCTCATTTTATTCTTAATAGATATATCAAATACCATTAGATCATATATTATTTTAGAGGTAGTTTCATGCTACTATTTCTATTTTGCCCATTTTTTTTTGTTTTATTCTCCATGAGAATTATCTATGATTCTAACCCAGTATTTTACTGTTTTGAAATTGCTAAAAGTTTTTGGAGTCACTATGACTTTTTAAATCAGAGTTAGCTGAAGGGACTGAGGCTCTAGATAATCATTTCTTAAGTGAACACAGAAGGATGTGCCTGATAAGCTGGTTTTCATTGATGGTGGAGCAATCAGCAACTGAGAGAGTAGGTAGTCCACCTCTGTTCCCTTGCTATTTCTCTGTGTCAGAAATATAGCATGATCTTATGTTCTTACATGTTTTAGAAAAATGTACAGTCACAAATAATTTTTTAAGTTGATAAAATTGTCACTTTCCAATTTTACATATTTTCAACTTTAAATTAGCCACAGATTTCACTTACTTTTAATACATATATTTGATTTAATATTTAAAATAGTTATTGGCCAGGCACAGTGGCTCATGATCCTGTAATCCCAGCATTTTGGGAGGTCAAGGTAGGAGGATCACTTGAGCCCAAGAGTTCGAGACCAGCCTCAGCAACTTAGTGAGACCCATCTCTACCGAAAAAAAAAAAAAACCTGAGTGTGGTAGTGAGTGCCTGTAGTCCCAGCTTCTTGGGAGGCTGAGGTAGGAGGATTGCTTGAGCCCAGGAGTTTGAGGCTGCAGTGAGCCATGATTGCGCTACTGCATTCCAACCTGGGCAACAGAGCAAGACTGTGTCTCAAAAAAAAAGATATATTCTGAACATGAATAAATATACTAAGATTGTACATATTTTTAACAGCACTCGACTATGACATCAACATTGAGGAGATTGGGTGAAGACATTTTTAAAGGAGTGGTAACTAAAGGAATTCAGGATAATTCTCCACAGCATTCTGTGGAGAATAAACCAAAGACAGCTGCTTTCTTTAAGAGCTCCAATTTGCCATTGAGATTTTTATCAACCTTAATTGTTCTCAAAACAGTCACTCAAGGTAAGCTTTCAATTGTACTTATGGTTAATTTTGAGAAACAATAGAGAATATCATATATTAAAGCAATTCTTTTATCAAATATGTTGTACATTTTCAGAATGAGGTTTTGAATTGTTTTATAATGGTTACACATTATAAAAAGCTACTTTTATTTGCTGAATTTGAGAAATTGAAGTCTTTAGTTGGATTCTTGCCTCCTCCCAAGAGGCCTTTGATTGTCTTAGGTCATATTCCCATAACAACCTTTGCCTACATCTATTTGTATTTGTCACATCAAATTGAAATTGCTAGTTAATTATTTTCCACTAGCGAATGTGTTGGTAAACTAGTCCATGGGCAAAATCTGGCCTACCACCTGTTTTGTAAATGAAGTTTTCTCCCACAACCATGCTCATTTGTTGTATATTGTCTATGACTCTTTGCCCTACAGTGACAGAGTTGAGTAGTTGGCAGCAGAGACTGTATGGCCCCCCAAAGCCTATAATACTGTCATCTGGCCCTTTACAGAAAATGTTTTTCAGTGCTTGCACTAGCTTGTAAGTTTCCCAAAGAAAAAACTTGTTTATAATGACCCTGCACCTAGTGTAGTGCTTCATATATAATAGTGAATAAGGAAATGGATGAATTAGAAATCCTTCAAAGTTGGCCCTAATTAATATGTGTTTAATATTTAGCTATAACAGGTTATATTATTAAATGTGATAATTTTTGTTAAAGTGAGTTATGCCAGTGTAGTCAGGCAATAAATATACCATCTTTCTGTCTTCCCTGTTTGTTAAATTTTTTGTTAAGCTCAGATTGTTGTTTTTATTAATGGGCAATGACAGTCATTTAATTTGACTTCTTTCTTTGAAGTATGTTTCATTTAGTTACTCCCGATGGTATGGAATTGATGAAAAAGTAAAAAACCATATAACTGCCTTCTTAATTATTTTGCCTCCTTATGGTTATGGTTCTCAAGATTACAATAGACTAGGTGGTTAGTGTGTGAAAGGTCACTTACGAGAAGCAGGGATTAGCTCAAAATAAAGTTCGCCACAGACCTATCTCCAAATCTTAAAAAAAAATACACACACGCTTACATACCCACAGGTAAATGGATTCTAAATAAGAATTTTAGCTGACACATCATAGCCACACATTAAAGCATAGATTCACTAAAGATCAAATAATATTAGTATCAAGAATTTGAAGCCAATTTAATATAAGAAAAATTATTAATCATTTATCATTTAACTAAGATGTTTGAAATAATATGTCAACATACATTATATCATTTAATAACATGTAATGTTCATTTCTGATAATATGCTAAGAAAAGCAAAAATGCAATAAGGGATATTTATGTGAAATAGAAGGGAATTAGGTGCTCTCTGTCACCACTTGTGTGCAGCAGTTTTGGACATCTGTAATGAGCCATGAAAAAATGAAGTATGAATATTGGGAAGGAGTAGAGAAGACCGTTAATTTGTGGAGACTCTGTATTAATCGAGGGCTTTCAAAGAAATATAACAGGGCATAAGAATATGGATAAATAATGGATGGATGAATAGGTTGATGAAGATTATTGCTGAAGTTAAATGTCAGAAATAAAGAACTTTTATTCTTCCTGCCTATGAAGACGAAGTGTTTTAAAAATAAGATGTCCCATATGGCTTAATGTATAATACCAGTTAAAATTCTAATATAGTTTGCGTAAGTTGAGGAAGTGTTAGGGAAATTTATGTGGAAAAATTTGCAACAAATGCGATGATTTATAACAAGTAAAACAGCAACACTGGGGCAGAGGCTTAGCCAACTTTAAAACAATCCTAATATGTAATGATACAAAATGAGTAATAATTTATTTAATAAATCAAAATAGGACAAAGGGAATAGGAAGTCCAGAAATGAATCAAAATTGGCACTTCATATTATGTATTGAATTAATGACTTTGCTTCCCTGTGCAAGTCATTTTTTTAAGAACATAGAATCTTAAATCATATGATACAGATGATAGAATTAGTAGACAAGTCTTTACTGCAGTTATTATAACTATATCCCTGTGTTCAAGAAGGTAAAGGAAAACATGAGCCTGGTAAGGGGATACATGGAAGATACGGGATAAAAAGACTTCAATCAGATTTCTGCAAATGAAAAACCCAGTGCCTGAAATTTAAAAATACACTGGAGAGAATTAGACACTGCAGACAAACGACTAGTGAACTGGGATACATAGCAATAGAAACTGTCCAAAATGAATTACACAGAGAAAAAAAATCTACAAAAAAGAAAACAGAACATCAGTGAGTTTTGAGACAAAATCATATATTCTAATATTATGTACTTAGAGTCTATGAAGAGGGGAGACAAAAACTATTTCAAGACATAATGGCTCCAAATTTTTGAAATATGGTGAAAACTATAAACACACAAATCCAAGGAGCATGTCCAGCTGAGCTCATGGTCACTCCTATTCCCTTTTCCTTAGCCTCCTCTAGATACATGTGTGCCATCCCTTTCCTCCACACCCTGGCCACTGGATTTCAGGAATACTGCCTCCCATGGTGACTCTCCATGACCTTTTCAGTGGCTTCATCACCTCTCCCTAGACCACAGACAGGCCCTGACACGTCTCCCTGCCTTCACTCTCTAGTCTCCCTTCACACTTGTTGTGAACGATTCTTTCTCACAAGGTTCCTGCCTAACAGATACCCTTTAAAGCTGCAGGCTCCTCAGCCTGGTGGCCTCAAAAAAGAAAAAGAAAAAAAAATCTGACACTAATCACTGTGGAACAAGGAAGAGATACAAGAGTTCTCCCTTTCCTTATAGTCTGGCCTCTCCCAGCCTAGGCACAAGGGTTTCTTATGAGCCCAAACCTGTGGGGTTCCAGTGTTCATCTACTACCTGGGGCCAAGGTACATGCTGCTGCCATCAAGAAAGAAGCCTGAATGCTGATGAGTCTCAGGGAGAAGAGCACTTTCTGACTGCAGGTGTTCTCTCCAGTAGCTGCAGGCAGGTGGGGTGTGCCTGCACACAAGACCTGGGGCTAGGAGGGTTCAACAGGATGCATGGGCCAGTGAATACAAGTGTAAAAGGGGCCTTTGTCCTGGCCAAATCCCAGCACATGCCAGCACCTAGGAAGAAATGTCAGAGCCAGATGGTCCTCGGAACTACTGTCAGACACTGTCATGATACAGCTATTTATCCTTTATCGTTAAATATACTGAAAAAAATTCTGGGAGAACTAAACATTTAAACATAAGAAAAACTCTTAAATCCTAAGAGTAGACTTAACTCTAGTAAGAAGATGTTTCCTATTTATAAAATAGGAACATCAGTTTCAAATTTGATAAATTTAGTAGAAAATGAGAAAGTAGGCAAATGTGTTGGGTAATAGGCAGATGCATTGGATACTACACATAATATTAACTGCTTAATCCAGATATATATAGATCTATGAAGATAATACCTAGTTATATTGAATAGACTGTTCATATAAGAATCAGCATATATAATACTTGGCGAGTTTTTTTTGTTTTGTTTTGTTTTGTTTTTGGAGACAGAGTTTCACCCTGTCGCCCAGGCTGGAGTGCAGTGGCACGATCTTGGCTCACTGCAGCCTCTGCTTCCCAGGTTCAAGCGATTCTCCTGCCTCAGCCTCCTGAGTAGCTGGGATTACAGGCACGCACCACCACACCCTGCTAATTTTTTCTATCTTTAGTAGACACGGGGTTTCACCATGTTCGCCAGGCTGGTCTCGAACTCCTGACCTCATGATCTGCCCGCCTCAACCTCCCAAAGTGCTGGGATTACAGGCGTGAGCCACTGCGCCTGGCCAGTTGGTGAGTTTTGACACCACAGTGCTGTCTAGGGAAAACTCTTTAACTGTGTTTTTTCTCTACTCCCACATGACAATAATCATCCACACAGAAGAAGACTTCTGTGACAAAATGTGTGGAGGTTTTTCCCCACATACCAAGCAGCAGACACAAGCTGCTCCAATTCACTTCTGACACGATCCACCTGGAGATAGTGTCAGATCCCACAAGTTGGGCACTCAAGTCTCCAAGGCTGCCTCGTGCCACACCAGTTGCAAGTCCGGCCCTCTGGAACTT
Source organism: Homo sapiens (assembly GCF_000001405.40). Lineage (NCBI taxonomy): Eukaryota > Metazoa > Chordata > Mammalia > Primates > Hominidae > Homo > Homo sapiens. The sequence continues at coordinate 108,851,029 of NC_000002.12, forward strand.
CTGACCAACTGGCTTCAAATTGGGGTTCCTACAACCCCCTCTTTGGGTTTAATTTGCTGGAGTAGCTCATAGAACTCAGCGAAACACTTAACCAGTTTATTATAAAGGATATTGCAAATGATGTAGATGAAGAGAGAGACAGAGCAAGGTATAGGGGAAGGGGCATGGAACTTCTGTCCCCTCCCTGGAGCACCACGCTCCAGAAATCTCCATATGTCCAGCCGTCTGGAAGCTCTCTGAACCCATTTCTCTGGGGTGTTTTGTTTTTTGTTGTTTGTTTGTTTGTTTTTGAGATGGAGTTTTGCTCTTGTTGCCCAGGCTGGAGTGCAATGGCGTGATCTTGGCTTGCTGCAACCTCTGCCTCCCAGGTTCAAGCAATTCTCCTGCCTCAGCCTCCCGAGTAGCTGGGCTTACAGGTGCCTGCCACCATGCCCAGCTAATTTTTGTACTTTTAGTAGAGATGGGGTTTCACCACATTGGCCAGGCTGGTGTTGAACTCCTGAATTCAGGTGATCCGCCCACCTCAGCCTCCCAAAAGTGCTGATATTACAGGCGTGAGCCACCGCGCCCGGCCTTTCTCTTGGGTTTTTATGGAGGCTTCCTGACATCACAATTCTGTCCACCAGGATATAGGGCTGGACTCTCTCTGGGGAGGATGTTAAGACCCACAATCAGAAAGTCCAGGAAAGATTAGAGTCCTGGCTTGGGCCAAGTGAAAGGAGGGCAGGAGAAGGTCAGAGACCTTCCCCTGAGGCCTAACACACCCAACATCATAACAAAGACTAATGAGACGAAAACCTATATATATATATCATAACACCACAGATACTAAGCTCTTTATACCTTATCTCTGAATACTATTATCCTCATATTAGTGATGAGGTTTACAAAGGTAGATAATTGTGCCAAAACGATACAATCTGCATTTGACAGAGCCTAATTTAGCCTCTATCAATTGCTGAAGCCTACCTTCTTAAGCCTATTTTATGACTACCTAAGAGCATGTACTTCCTGAGATAACCAAAGAAATAAACACCTACATAGCACTTACTATGTTATAGGCCGAGCACTTTATATATATTAACTCATTTAATCCTCACAACAGTTCATGAGATGTCAATATTATTATTGTAATTTTACAAATGAGGAAATTGAGGCATAAAAAAGTTTAGCTGCACACAATCAGTATGTGATGCTCAATCTCTGAAATAAAATTTAACTGTAAGATACAACTCTTCTTTATGGAAAGAAAGGAACACTTGTACACTGTTTGTGGGAGTGTAAATTAGTTCAGCCATTGTGGAAGACAGTGTGGCATTTCCTCAAAGACCTAAAGACAAATGCCATTCAACCCAACAATCCCATTACTGGGTATATACCCAAACTAATAGAAATTGTTCTATTATAAGGACACATGCATGTGTTGTGTTCATTGCAGCACTGTTCACAATAGCAAAGTCACGGAATCAACCCAAATGCCCATCGAAGATAACCTGGATAAAGAAAATGTGGTACATATACACTATGGAATACTATGCAGCCATTAAAAAGAATGAGATTATGTCCTTTGCAGGGACATGGATGGACTTGGAGGCCGTTATCCTTAACAGACTAATGCAGGAACAGAAAATCAAATAACACATGTTCTCATTTATAAGTGGGAGCTAAATGATGAGAACACATGGATACATAAGGGGAACAACACACACTGGGGCCTATCAGAGGGTGGGAGGAGGGACAGGATCAGGAAAAATAACTAATGGGTACTAGTCTTAATACCTGGGTGATGAAATAATCTGTACAACAAACTCCTATGACACAAGTGTACCTGTGTAACAAACCTGCACAGGTACCCCTGAACTAAAATAAAATAAAAAAACCCAACCATTACAGAAGTAAAATGAGCAAATATAATGTGTCACTGAGAGGATATAGGCACAATTTTGTTTGTATCAAAGTTAATATTTTTGAAATGCATTCTGCTCACAAACATCACCAAAATACATCATAACCTTTCGTGAGATCTACCTTAAGAAATAATTGCAAAAGTAAAAATGTTCCAAGGTGTTAATATGCTGTTTGTAATAATGAGAAAAGATAAATAGCTGATAGACCCACAATCGGAATAGTGAAGAAAATGAACATCAACCGAGTTCTTGGACTTTGCTGGCATTGTTTTAGTCATTGTACTTGATTGTTTCAGATTTATTCCCTGCAATAACTATGAGGTAGGTCATGGTGTCATTTTTACAGAAGAGCAAACTGAGGGTCAGTCTAATATAATTGACCCAGATTTTTCTAGAAATATTGGGCCCTTAACCATATCATGAGCATAGTACAATATTATATGTCATTAACAATAAGTATGGAGATACAGAAATCTATGTGTATTTTAATTAATAAAACCTTCAATATATGTGTACCAATTTAATCTAGAAATTGTTAAAAGAAGTTGTAGGAACTTTATCTGATAGAATTATTTGGTTTACTGATAGCTTTCTTTTTTTTTTTTTTGAGAGATGGGATCTCACGCTATCACTCAGGCTGGAATGCAGTGGTGCAAGCATAACTTACCACAACCTTGAACTCCTGGGCTCAAGCAGTCCTCTTGCCTCAGGCTTCCAAGTAGCTGGGACTACAGGCATGCACTACGATGACCATCTAATTTTTTATTTTTTGTAGAGATGAGCTCTTGCCATGTTGCCCAAGCTGGTCTCAAACTCCTGGGCTGAAGCTGTCTTCCCCTCTTGGCCCCTCAAAGCAGTGGAGTTACAGGCACCAGCCATCCCCAGCCAACTGTCTTCTATATGCAATATATATATACTATATATATAATATATATACTATATAATATATTATATAGTATATATATTATATATTATATAGTATATATATTATATATAATTTATATATAATATACAATAAATATATATAATAAAATATATATAATATATAATATATAATAAATTTATATTATATATAATATATAATAAATTTATATTATATATAATATATAATAAATTTATATTATATATATTTTATATATAATATAATAAATTTATATTATATATATAATAAATATATATAATATATACATATGTAGAAAATGTGTACATTAGGACTAGGACATTTGTCCTGTCCTACTTGGCACTTGGCTCTCAAAGCAGATTTATGTATTTTTAAATTGTGAGCTTATACTTTAGGTCTAGAGAAATGTAGGGAATTGTTGCTGTTCTCAGTTAATAGGAAGGTTTGATTTGGTAGGAAGCCAGTATAATGTAGTAGTTACTTCAACTCTATAGTCAGACAACTAAGGTTTGAATCTTAGCTTCACTACTAGCTGTGTGGTATTTGGAAGGTCTTTTTTGTTTGTTTGTTTTACTATTTCCACTACAATTATTTTTTAATGAGAGAATTGATGTAAAGTTTTAGCAAGTCTGGCATAAAGTCTTTAGCTACTATTGTTATCAGTAGACATTATTACTTATTATAAAACTTTAAGAGTTGGTTTTACCTGAGATCAGAATTGAGGTCTGTTAGACTACATTAGTTGTTTATTCCTGCTTAATAAACTTCCAGAGACTTAGTGGCTTAGCTCAACCACCATTTTATTTACCAGCTCACAATTCTTTGGGTTGGTAATTTGGGCTCAGCTCATCTGGATATTTGGCTGGGCTCGGCTGGGCTTGGTTCTGCTGTTCTTTCTTGGCCTCTCTCCAGGGGCCTGTTTATAGGTGAAGAGTATATAGCTGAGCCTCAGGCTTCTAATTCACACAGCATCATTTCTGCTACATTTTATTGGTTAAGTTACAAGTTTAGCCCAGATTCAAAGGGTGGGCAGTAGAGTTCACCTTTTGATGGCAGTTTCTGCAAAAGACTTTCTAATCATTTTTAAATTTATCATATAAACAAAATAATGGAAAACCATATTTCATACTGATTAAGATCAGTAGTTTGAAGTTTGACTTTTGTTAGGGAATAAAAAGGTTACATTTGATTGCCAGGACATTGTTAAAAGACTGAATAATATAGCATTTATAAAAAGAAACCAACTTTGATATAATTGATAACTAAAATTTTAAAAATACTCTTTTAGAAGTTAAATTGCTCTTGTATTTAGAAAATCTGAAATATTCAATAAATTAAAATGAAGACAAAATGAGGACATAATTTTGATTTATCCCTAAAAGATAAGGTCACTTGTGAAAAAGAAACCAAATACAGTTTTTCTAATCCTCAAGGACAATTTTTTAAAGTTTGCAAACTTAAAAGAATACCATATAGTAGTCAGCCTATTTTTAAAAACTGTATAGTATTCAACCTGTTTAATCTTGTCAAATTATATACTAAGAATAATGTGTGTCAAATACAGTAGGTGGCACTGTGATAAAACTTTTGTTCCTATAAAGAGTTGCGTTCAGGCTTCATCTGTGTATACTCTTCTACCTGTGGTGTTGCTAAAAAAAAAAAAAGGATGTTTCTAAATAAGGCAAGTCTGAACAGAATCACAGAATCTAGCAACTTTGTTTAACTTAATACACATTTATTTACAATGTTTTTTTAAACCACAAAATTAAGTACAGTAATGTTGGTGTTCCTTGAACTAAATTCTACCAATGGTAAAAATGGAGTGTACTATAATTGATCCAGAGGCACAGATCTTACTTTCTCAAAATAGTTTCATATGTATTTTCACTTCACACAAGTTATTCTAAACTTCTCATTCTTAATAACCAGGGTTTTAAATTACTTATTATGTAAGCTGAAACAGCAAAGAAGAAATGCAACATGAAGCTACAAAAGAGTAAATTTTAATACGGTGATTCTGTTGTACTTTCAGTATTTCATGGTGCTCTTGAGTCTTCTCCTTTAAACAGAAATCTCAGTATAAAAATTATTACTTGGATAGCATGAACGGTTTTTTTTCCCTCTGAATAGCATTTTGAAAGGAGAGTTTTAGAAAACTTGATTATTGTACATTAAAAGCACAAGGTAAGACTGCTGTAAGAGTAGGGACTTGGGTTGTGTAGTGTACTGAAGTGTAATGATGCAAGTATCTTACTACTTCATTTGCAATGATTCTGCTTAAATTAGTGCTTCCCAATCCTGGCCTTGCAGGTTTCTCAGTCATCTGTGGGACTTCTTTAAGAAAGTTTCAGGGTTTCTGATTCAGGAGTTGTCACAGCACTGGCCTGGGTAAAATCTTGCTGCCATTCTTAATGGCAGATGTATCATGAAAACTGACACACCAGAGCATATTCAATCTTCTGAAATTATCTTGTTTCAGCTTTACTAGGAAACAAATCCTTATTTAAAATCCATTTAGCACGTTTGTATAAATTACATTTTGAAGTAGGTAAACATTTAGGAAGCAGCAACAAAACATAATCTTAGAAAGCTATTATAGAGATAGAAATACTAAGTTTTTGGAAGCATGTAGTAGTTATCAAATATGGAAAAATAAACATTCGTGATACTAATAGGCATTGTTTTTCTTCCTTAGTATTAAAAAATGTGGCTTGTTATTTTGGTGTTAAAACATGAAAATTCTAAATGAAATTTACCACATCATAATGTCTCCTCTCTCCTTACCCATTTGAGTTCTGACAAATCAGTTAGAATCTAAATTTAGACTGTGATCTCTTATTTAATTTTTGTTTGTCTTTTGAGTTTGTTAAAGTAACGACATTGCTTTTTTACCTTCTGTTTCTGATTGACACCTAGACTAGCAAAACTGCAGTTGATTGTACATAACTATTTTCCAGCTGATTACCTGGCTCAGGCATTTGATTCTCTTTGTTTGGACTTGAAGACAGAAGAAGGAAAAACCTTGTTTTTGGAGTATCAGGCTGTTCCAGTAATATTAAGTCATCTAAGAATATCCAGTAAAGGACTCCTGTCTAATGTTATTGATAGTTTGCTCCAGATGACGGTGGAATCTAGTAAGTTTTTAAGTTCTATATGTGTAAAGAAAGCAGGATGATTTTTCTGTCTTTATCTTGTCTGCATGTATAACTCCACATATCAGATACTATTGCTTTTTTTTTTTTTTTTTTTTTTTTTTTTTTTGAGATGGAGTCTCGCTTTGTCGTCAAGCTGGAGTGCAGTGGCACGATCTCAGCTCACTGCAACCTCTGACTCCCTGGTTCAAGCAATTCTCCTGCCTCAGCCTCCCGAGTAGCTGGGATTACAGGCACACGCCACCACGCCCAGCTAATTTTTATATTTTTGGTAGAGACGGGGTTTCACCATGTTGGCCAGGATGGTCTGTATCTCCTGACCTGGCAGCCTCGGCCTCCCAAAGCACTGGGATTACAGGCGTGAGCCACTGCGCCCGGACTATTGCATTTTTAAATGCTTAAAAATATTTTTGATGCTATTTAATTGAGTCATTAATAACATCACTAAAAAATTAGGTAACTTCTCCAGGGATTCCCCAGCTAAACACAAGTAGAACTGAGACTTAAAGCCACATCTCTGACTCTAGACCTAAGGCTTGTTCTACCAAAGCACTGTAACTAGGTTTTCCAGGTTTATTTTCTTCTCCTGTCCCAAAATGTCCTATATTGTCTGATGTATTTTATCAACGTTTTTAGCTATTTGTAACTGTTAAAATATTGGACTTACAGTTGATGACTAGCTACCTAGATTAGTAATCTTGGAGTTGTGTATTTCAGTTTACTAATGTAAGGAGTAGAATGAAAAGTGAAAAGTTAGTGAACTGAGGGATCCAGTATTACTTAAGTGCCTAGATTCCCAACTTGTTTCACAGGGATTTTTCTTTTAATGAGAAAAACAAAAATCATACCAGATGCAAATGTGTATTCATTAGAAAGAAATCTTTCTGAATATGACAGAGATGGCATCTTTCTCGTTGTCAAAGGAAAACAAAATATAATTTTATGAAATAGTTGACCTGCTTGGGTGAAATAAATTGTGGTACTGCAAATGCAAATTTGAATAAAGTCTATTAGAGGAGATAGTCAACAGTCAGTCACATTTGTTTACCATTGTCCAGGTTACTCTCAAATTCAGCCAGGTGCAGTGGCTCATGCCTGTAATCCCAGCACTTTGGGAGGCCGAGGCGGGCAGATCACTGGAGATCAGGAGTTCAAGGCCAGCCTGGCCAACACGGTGAAACCCCGTCTGTACTAAAAATATAAAAATTAGCCGGGCATGGTGGTGTGCGCCTGTAATGCCAGCTACTCAGGACGCTGAGGCAGGAGAATCACTTGAACCCAGGAGGTGGAGGTTGCAGTGAGCCAAGATTGTGCCACTGTACTCCAGCCTGGGTGCCAGAGTAAGTCTCCGTCTCAAAAACAAACAAACAAACAAAAAAAACACCAACGCTGTGCCCTTGTTGTTCAAATCAAGTAAATAAGCAGTATCTAATGGTGATCACTACTAAAGCCGTATTGTGTTTAGTGATGCGAAAATTTTGGAAGTTTGGAAATGGGTGAATCTTTGATGATGTCTGACTGAAGAGCATTTACTTGCTTGAATTTTAATGTAAATTCAGTACTTGTTGGTCAGCCAGTACGATTTATTAGAGCGAGGAAAGATTGATCAAAGTGTAGCAAATACTTCTTTAGCTGTTGGTTTTTCATTTTTCTAGGTTTGAGATTGGAAACCCATTTTACCATATATTTAATTTTCTCATGCTATTTTTTTCTTTTTTTTTTTAATTTTAGATTTAGGGGGTACATGTGCAGGTGTGTTACATGGATTTATTGTGTGATGCTGAGGTTTGGGCTTCAACTGAACTCGTCATTTAGGATAATGGCATCCAGCTGCATCCATGTTGCTGCAAAGAACATTATTTCATTATTTTTTATGGTTGTATAGTATTCCATGGTGTATATGTATCACATTTTCTTTATCTGATCCACCACTGATGGGCACCTAGGTTGATTCCACATCTTTGCTATTTTGAATACAGCTGCTGCAATAAGCATGAGAGTGCAGGTATCTTTTTGGTAGAACAATTTCATTTCCTTTGGGTATATACCCAGTAATAGGATTGCTGAATCGAATGGCAGTTCTATTTGACTTTAGTAATAGCCGTTCTGACTAGTGTGAGATGGCATCTCATTGTGGTTTTGGTTTGCATTTCAAAGATGATTAGTGATGTTGAGCATTTTTAAATATATTTGTTGGCTACTTGTATGTCTTCTTTTGAGAAGTATCTGTTCATGTCCTTTGCCTACTTTTTAACGGGGTTGCTTTTTCTCATTGATTTGTTTGAGCTCCTTGTAGATTCTGGATATTAGTCCTTTGTTGGATGCAGAATTTGCAGATATTTTCTCCCATTCTATAGGTTGTCTGTTTACTCTGTTGATAGTTTCTTTTGCTATGCTGAAGCTCTTTAGTTTAAGTAGGTCCCAGTTGTCAATTTTTATTTTTATTGCATTTGCTTTTGATGAGTTTGTCATAAATTTTTTGCCTAGGCCAATGTCCAGAAGAGTATTTCCTAGATTTTCTTCTAGGATTTTTATAATTTGACATCTTTCATTTAAGTCTTTGTTCCATCTTGAGTTAATTTTTGTATATTGTGATTTTCTTTGTTGAAAATCAGTTGGTTGTAGGTATGTGGTTTTATTTCAGTTTCTCTATTCTGTTCCATTGGTCTGTGTGTCTTTTTATATACCAGTACCATGGTGTTTGGTTACTATAGCCTTGTAGTATAGTTTGAAGTCAGATAACATGATGCTTCCAGCTTTGTTCTTTTTACTTAAGTTTGTTTTGGCTGTTTGGGCTCATTCTTGGTTCCATATGAATTTTCAATTTTTTTTTTTTCTAATTCTGTGAAGAATAATGTTGGTAATTTGATAGGAATTGTGTTGAATCCATAGATTGCTTTAGGCAATATAACCATTTAAATGATCTTAATTCTTCCAATCCTTGAGCATGGAATGTTTTTCCATCTGTTTATGTCATCTGTGATTTCCTTTAGTAGTGTTTTATAGTTCTCCTTGTAGAGATATTTCACCTTCCTGGTTAGATGTATTCCTAAGTATCTTGTGTGTGTGTGGCTGTTGTAAATAGGATTGTGCCCTTGATTTGGTTTTCAGCTTGAATGTTATTGGTGTATAGAAATGCTTCTGATTTTTTTTTTTCTTAAATATGTTGTTTTGATGTAAGCTACTGATTTTTGTACGTTGAATTTGTATCTTCAGACTTCACTGAAGTCATGTTTCAGGTCTGGGAGTCTTTTGGCAAGATCTTTAGGGTTTTCTAGGTATAGAATCCTATTGTCAGTGAACAGAGATATTTGTCTTCCTCTTTGGATGCCTTTTATTTCTTTCTCTTGGCCAATTGCTCTTGCTAGGACTTTAGTACTTTGTTGAAGGAGTGGTGAAAGTGGACATACCTGTTGTGTTCCAGATTTTGGGGGAAACCCTTTCAACTTTTCCCCATTAAATATGATATTGACTGTAGTTTTGTCATAAATGACTCTTATTATTTCAATGCCTAGGTTGTTGAGGTTTTTTTTTTTTTATCCTAAAGAGATGTTGGATTTTATCTCATGTTTTTTCTGCATCTAGGGGTTTTTGTTTTTAATTCTCTTTTTACATTTACTGATTTGCGTATATTGAATCATCCTTGCATCTGAGGAATAAAGTCCACTTGATCGTGGTGGATTACCTTTTTGATGTGCTACTAGGTTCCGTTTGCCAGTATTTTGTTGAGGATTTTTGCTTCTGTGTTGATCAGGGATATTGGCCTATAGTTTTCTACTTTTGTTGTGTCTTTGCCAGATTTTGGCATCAGTATGATACTGGGTTTTGGAATGAGTTAGGGAGGAGTCCCTCCTCCTCGATATTTTGGAATAGTTTCAATAGAATTGGTATCAGCTCTTCTTTGTTCATCTGGTAGAATTTGGCTGTGAATCCATCTGGTCCAGGACTTTTTTTTTTTTTTTTTTTTTTTGGTTGGTAAGGTAAGGATTCAATTTTGATTCAGTTTTGGAGCTCAATACTGGTCTGTTCAGGGTTTCAATTTCTTCCTGATTCAATCTTGGGAGATTGTATATTTCTGGGTAATTATCCATTTCCTCTAGATTTTCTAGTTTGTGTGCATAGAGATGTTCATAGTAGTCTCTGAGGATTTTTTTTTAAATTTATTTCTGTGGGATTAGCTGTAATGTCACCTTTATCATTTCTGATTGTGTTTATTGGGATCATCTCTCTTTTTTTCTTTGTTGATCTAGCTAGTGGTTTATTGATCTTGTTTATCCTTTCAAAAAAACACTTTTTCATTTCGTCGATCCTTATATAGTTCTTTTAGTCTCAACTTCATTTAGTTCTGCTGTTTTTATTATTTCTTCAGCTAACTTTGGATTAATTTGTTCTTGTTTTTCTAGTTCCTGTAGGTGTGACATTAGGTTGTTAATTTGATATTTTTCTTTTTTTATGTAGACATTTAGCACTATAAACTTTCTTCCTTTTTTTTTTTTTTTTTTTTTTTTTTGAGATGGAGTCTCGCTCTGTCACCCAGGCTGGAGTGCAGTGGCATGATCTTGGCTCACTGCAACCTCCGCCTCCTGGGTTCAAGCGATTCTTCTGCCTCAGCCTCCTGAGTAGCTGGGACTACAGGTGCACACCGCCACACCTAGCTAATTTTTGCATTTTTAGTAGAGACAGGGTTTCACCATATTGGCCAGACTGGTCTCGAACTCCTGACCTCCAGTGATCCGCCCACCTCTTCCTCCCAAAGTGCTGGGATTACAGGCGTGAGCCACCGCGCCCGGCCTAAACCTCGGCCTCCCAAAGTGCTGGGATTACAGGCGTGAGCCACCGCGCCCAGCCTAAACTTTCTTCTTAGCACTGTTTTTACTGTATCCTACAGGTTTTGGTATGTTATATCTTGATTTTCACTGTTTCAAAGAATTTTTTTTTATTTCTGCCTTAATTTTGTTGTTTACCCAAAAGTCATTCGGGAGTAAATTCTTTAGTTTTCATGTGTTTATATGTTTTTGAGAGTTCTTCTTTGTATTGGTTTCTATTTTTATTCCACTATGGCCCAAGAGGATTCTTGGTATGATTTCAGTTTTTTTTTTTTTTATTTGTTGAGACTTTCCTGAGCATGTGGTCAGTCATAGAGTATGTTTCACATGCAGATGAGAAGAATATATATTCTGTGGTTGTGGGAATGACCCATGCCACTTAAAAAAAAAACAAAACAGGAAAAAGTTGCTGCAGAAGAAATCTCAATGGAATTTATTTACAAATGGGTTATCTTACCTTACTATATGGGCATTGGTGACCAGCTTTGTGAGGTTCCATGTTTCAAAGCATTGTGTTTACAGTGCTCTAGGGAATGCAGAGCTTCCTCAGGGATCTTCACAGGCTGGGAGGTAGTGTCAGTGGACCTAACTCCAAGTGCCTGTGACTGGTTCCCATTGCATATGATGGAGGATTTTGGATTTTCAGATTAGGGATGCTCAACCTGTATAATGTGGTGATTACAGTTAATAACAAGTATATTACATACTTGAAAATTGCTAACAGAGTACATTTTAAATGTTATCACCACAACAAAGCAAATATGTGAGGTAATGGATATGTTATTTGGTTTGATTTAGCCATTCCACAATGTTTACATACTACATGATATTGAAATATATTGTACATGGTAAAGATATATAATTTTCATTTAATTAAAAAACCAACAAATATCCCAGAAAAATATATCTTTGCTATCAAAAGATACATAACTATTTTGTATCTTTTTTCCACAAACGGTTTTCTTGATGTTGGCCACCTTTTGTTTTTTTTTACGTGGTTAGATACTAGTGCATATACAGTTGCATATTTGCAGGTAGGCTATGTTTATCTGTTTAAAATGCAAGAAAATCCTAGGAAATATTACAAGGACATACTTGAGTTGTTCTGTTTAAATTCTGTGTTTCAATTTGGGTAAAAAAATAATAAAGATAACAAAGAATCATCAAAAACTTTGGACTATACTCCAGGCATTAAACTTGTTCTACACATCTAGAACTTACTTCTGAATATATCCATATTGTTTAGTTGCAATATTAGGTTGTTAATTTGATATCTTTCTATCTGATGCAGGTACTATTTTTCATTGACAAGTTTTTCTTGATTTGAACAACATAATTTCTTCCCTTTTTGCTGTTTTAAATTTATTCAATCGTTCTATTATGTTTTTTATTATTTAGGAGATTAAAGGAAGGATAATTTCAATGAAATTATAGATGCAATATTTCTAACAAAGCACCAACCTAATCCTACATACATATCATCTGTTTTCTCAGTTACAAGCTTTCACATGGAAAAATTCCCTTTAGGAAATACAATGGGAAGGTTTATTTTTAATAACTGAAGAATATACAACTATAGCAAAGGGTGTGCTGTACTTTAGATGTGTGGTGTTTTCAAAAAACATCAGAGAAGCCAGTGTAGCTGAAGCAGAGTTAGTGAGGGCAGAGAAGTAGAAGAACCAGGAAACAAGCTGGGGTGCTCATTGGGAAGAGCTTTGTTGGGCATCATCAAGACTTGGGGTTTTTTATGTAGTAAAACTCCTAGATCTTTTTCTTTCTATTCTGGTTTGTTGACTTTAATGTTAGGAGCTTTTAAATATATTTCTACATAACCTTTGTTTTTAATTATTGCTTAATATTTTGTTATGTTTATCATCATTATTTATTAAGGCAATTGAGTTTTATGAAATTGGATAAGAAAAGTGATTCATTGGCATTCTTTCCCAGCACAAAAGAGCTTTGAAGTTGTTCTTGGTCAGCCACTTCAGGGATATGTGGCACAGGGACCTAATGAACTAACAGTTCCTTCTGTAACTTCTGAAGTCTACTTAATAGTCAATTAATGAGCGCTTTTAGCCATATATTTGCTACTGGTCTCTGAATGCTGCCAGATTTACAGCTCTATTAAAAGTTACATAATCACTTTAATGATTGGTTTGCATCCCCTTGTTTGACACTGTTAACAGAATCTCTGTTTCTAAGATGAAAGGCTGGTCTTTCTCATGTGTAACACTAGACAATAATAGATGATGTGTTACACTAGTGTGTAACACTAGTGAGCCCTTCTTGGTCAACTTTTAAGTTTGTGTTATATAGCATATTTTGAGGAAACCCATTCTCATATTTTGTGAAAAAAAAACAAAACATTGCATATGATGGGGGATAAAATCTAACCCACCAATTAGTGTGGTAGAAGAAGCTAAGAAAGCAAATAATTAAATATCCAGATGATGAACACGCTATTTTTATTTATTTATTAAAAAAAGATTAAAGTTCTCTAGCTATTTAACTTAAGGAATTATTTTTAACAAAATTGTATTTATTGTTTAAAAGGTAACACATTCAAGGCCAGTTGTGGTGGCCTATGCCTGTAATTTCAGCACTTTGGGAGGCTTAGGAGGGAGGACTGCTTGATCCCAGGAGTTTGAGACCAGCCTGGGCAACATAGTAAGGCCCATCTCTACAAAAAAATTAAAAAATTAGCCGGGCACGGTGGCTCACACCTGTAATCCCAGCACTTTGGGAGGCCAAGGCGGGCAGATCACGAGGTTAGGAGATCGAGAGCAGCCTGGCTAACATGGTGAAACCCTGTCTCTACTAAAAAAACAAAAAAGCCAGGCGTGGTGGCCCACGCCTGTAGTCCCAGCTACTCGGGAGGCTGAGGCAGGAGAATCACTTGCACCCAGGAGGCGGAGGTTGCAGTGAGTTGAGAGTGTGCCTCTGCACTCCAGCCTGGGCGACAGAGCGAGACTCCATCTCAAAAAAAAAAAAAAAAAATTAGCTTGGCATAATGGTGTGCACTTGTAGTCCCAGCTACTTGGGAGGCTTTGGTGGGAGAATCACTTGAGCCCTGGAGTTCAACGTTGTACTGAGCTATTAACATGCCACTGCACACCAGCCTGGGCAAGAGTGAGGCCCTGTTTTAAGAAAATAAATAAATAGTAACACATTCACATATCTCATAATTTCAAAAGTACAAAAGTGAAAAGTCTGCCTTCAGTTACTGTTTCCCTCCCTGGAGGGAACAACTGCAGACACACACACAAATACATACACATTTTTACTTTTTCCTTTTTATCACAGGAATGCTACTAAGTTTTATATATATTTTATATAGATATATATTATGATCAGCATTATATCTTGAAGATCTTATATAAATGCATAATTTCTTCAATTAAAATTCATTCATTTAAGCAGACCACGATTGATGGATATTTTGGCTGTTTCTAGTCTTTGGCTAATATAAACAGTGCTTCTGTGAATAACCGTATACAAAACTTAAGTGTGTACATGTGGGAGCTTATTTGGTAGTAGTGATTTCAAATTCTGTCAGTTAATTGATATATCTCCATTTCATTAGGATCAGTTTCTAGAGATTCATCTCTTTGTCTTTTGGGGAAAATATTTCCTTGTTTCTTCTTTTTCCTTGACATTCTCTGTTGATGTTTTTGTGCCATAGACAAAATAATTACCTCTCTAAGTCTTCATGGTCTGGACTCATTCTGGAGAAGACCCTCACCAATCAGCCCTGACAGAAATTCTGGGATCTTTCAAACCTTCATGCCAGTCCTATCCACTTTCTTTGTTCTTAATAGTCCCTAGGCATCTAGAATATTTCAGGTCCCTTCAGCTTCTGAGACCATGGAGACTGAAGCCATTTCCTCAGGCAGTCCCCATTTAAGGTGAGTGGTTGGACACACGGTACTCCCCTATCCATTCCCAGGTAGAAGCTAAAGAGCTGGGGTTTTTGCCTGCTTACTCCGTGATGAGCCAGAGGTAGAGGGCGGGGTGGCTATAGTGATCAACACCCCAAATTGCCATGAGTGGCCAGAGTTTGTTGGGTTCTGTCAGTGCTCCAAGACAGGGTAGACATAAACCAGTTTTCTGGGTAGTTCCTAGAAAACTTTGGACATTAGACACATAGGGTACCTCTTTCTCTTCCTGGGGAGAAGCTAGGAGCTGGGGGATTTTGTTCCTGTCTTATGGAGCTGTGCAAGAGGACTATGGTAGTAGGGTATCTGAATTGACTTACTGGCTTTGATGTGACTGGTTTCACACCTACTGGGATGCAGGAGCCTCTTAAAGTTTCTGGATTTCACAGAAAGGGAATTTGGCCATGGGGATTGTTGTGGAATCAGTTTGCTTGTTGGAAGAAGGAAGGTCCAGGAGTCCTCTTCTGCCATCTTGATGATGTCATCCCTTCTGCCTCCCTTTTATAAGGATACTTGTGATTGTAGTTAGACCCTGTGAAGTGATCCAGGATCATCACCTCCATCTCAGTATCTCTAATTTAATCACATCTGCAAAGCATTTGTCTTATAAGCTAACATTCACAGGTTCCCATGAAGGGGATGTGGACATCTTTTGGGGGAACCATCATTCAGCCTACCACACTAGTCTTTCATTTTTCTCTCCTCATCAATTTGAGAATTATCTTGGTACCAGTTTACATGTGTATCTGCTGCATTTAGGATATTCCATGTACAGGTACAAGCATTTGACCACTTCCTTATGTTTTACAGTGCAGTTATCCTCAAGTATTGACACATTGAAATGATTAAAATAGGCCAGGCATGGTGGCTCATGCCTGTAATCCCAGCACTTTGGGAGGCTGAGGCAGGTGGATCACGAGGTCAGGAGTTTGAGACCAGCCTAGCCAAGATAGTGAAACCCCGTCTCTACTAAAAATACAAACATTAGCTGGACGCGGTGACGGGTGCCTATAATCCCAGTTACTCGGGAGACTGAGGCAGGAGAATTGCTTGAACCCGGGAGGTGGAGTTTGCAGTGAGCCGAGATCACGCCACGGCACTCCAGCCTGGGCGACAGAGTAAGACTGTCTGAAAAAAAAAAAGGAAAGAAATGAGTAAAATATTACCTTATTATAAATTCCCTTTTCCTCCCCTGTATTATAAATAGTGCATTATATTGATTAAAAAGATACATGTAAACAGATTATATTGTTATATTGTTTATGGTTATTTTTAGGTTAATTAAAGGGGAATTATAAAATATTTATTATGAAAAGATTCTACTGAGTCACTGGGTTGAGAACTGTTCCACTAGCTTAGCTATGTTTTTATATATATGTATAATTTATATAAATAGGAAACCTGGGGCTCTGAGAAATTAAGTGACTTATTTAATGTCACAGGGCTAGGGCCAGGGCAGTGATAAGAGGAATAACTAAGTCTTTTAGAAGAAGAAGAGGTGGACACAAGAGAGAAGCTCCCCGCTGGAAGCTAGAACTCCAGAACTGAGAGATTCCAGAGTGGGAATTACTGGCAGCACTAATGTGTCTTTAGGAATTGAAAAAGCAAGCTAGAAGGAAAAAAATAAAAGTCTTGAAATTCTCTCAGGAATGAGAAGTAGAAGGAACAACATGGTTCAAAACTGGAAAAATGGCAGACTAGGAAGTTTACCTGGGGAGTTGTTAGTTACGAATATGGATTACCCTGCTCCAAGAGTGTCTTTGTCCTTGGACTAGCACTCCCCTCCCCAAGCCTTTGGCAAGTTCCTACTCATCTTTCAAGAAATAGCTCATCTTGAGTGCATTTCACACCATTCCTCCTTCCAAAAAGGAATGAGGGTGGACTTGAAAAAAAATACTGAAGAGGAAAATTCATTTGGGTGTTTTTCAAAGACTACCTAAGTCTATTCATACTATTGCTTTTTTTTGTTTGTTTTTAAATATTTCTTTAGCCTTATCCAGTTTGAGGGATGGGCAACTGAAGGTTTTTGGTTGGTA
The DNA here is from genome assembly GCF_000001405.40 of Homo sapiens. Classification (NCBI taxonomy): domain Eukaryota; kingdom Metazoa; phylum Chordata; class Mammalia; order Primates; family Hominidae; genus Homo; species Homo sapiens. The sequence continues at coordinate 108,867,786 of NC_000002.12, forward strand.
TTGAATGTTGCTGTGTTATGTTCCAGCCTTTGAGTCATCAGAACTGGAATAAAAGCCTTACTAACTAGACATCATACATTTTTGTCCCGTGTAATAAATAGCATGTTACTATCTGGGAGCTGAGGTGAGTTTTCTTTAAAAAATAATTTTATTCTGATTACCCTTGCCTTAGAATTCTGAAAAGATTAAAATAGCTCTTATCTGAGGAACTTGGATTCTGAGCATTTAAACTGGAAAAATGTTCTAGTCAGTTATCGACAGGCTGATGACTAACATGTGGACATAATCATTACCAAAGAGTGTGCTAACTTGTTGACAGCATGTACTTTTAAAAATGTATAACCGCTATAGGAAATGTTGGCAGATAAATAATTACCTTGAGAGATTTCAGTATTGACTTTTAAATTAATAAAAGTTACGTTTATTTTCTTAAGTTACTCGCGATAGATTTTTGTCAGATATCATATTAGTATAGTATTGGTGCAGGGAGTCCATGGTGCCCCTTTTTCCTTATTACTGAAAGTAACTTGTAGCTGAGATTGGTTATGTCTTCAGGTAATCTTTCTCAAATTGAAGATTTAAATACTTTCCACCAAGCTTATTAACTATAAATTTATGTAAAATATTGTGACTCAACAAAAGCACTGAAAAATTTGTTTCAAGAAATAACTTAGACCCTTGCAGCAGAGACTGTGGGTTGGCTCCCCCATCATCATTCTCACCTCTTTCTACCTCACCTGTCTCTCTTCTGGAGACTGTAACACCTAAAAACTTTCTCCTCCAGCCTTTCATTGCTGGCAGGGTAGCTACATGCTTGACACACATGAGGCCAGTAAGATGGAAACTAGAAATCTGCTGAGAGTTTCTGGGAAACCTTTTGCTTTTCTTCTGAAGAAGAACAGATATAATTGGCACTCATTCCCATACTGTCCTCCTTTTTTGCTTTGTTATGTAGAGCCTTTGACCATGACACATAAAAATAAATACTAAGAACATTTTCATGAGAAAACTTGAAGAAAAAAAAGCTAAGGGTTTTTGGGCAGAAACAAAGAATCTGGGTTTCTGATGACGTTGTCTTGCACCTGAATTGGTTCCATGAAGTGCCTACCTTTTGTGAAAGAAAAAAATGAAATTTTTTTCTATTTGATTAAGCTATAAGTTGGATTTTCTCTACGTTCCCAGCTGAATTAACACAGACTATACTTCATACTTGGAGTGGGTTTTATTTTACTTTATAAAAATTTTGTTTTGTTTCCTTGAAGAAAATTTTTTTTTCATAATATTGTACATGCTCAAGCAGAGCAAAATTCAAACATCAGCAAAATGGCTGACTAGGATGTTGCAGGTGCTTGTTTCCCCACAGAAACACCAAATAAATAGCTACAGACAGACTAAAATAACTTTGTAGGAACTATGGAAACCAGTCAAAGATCTGTAGCAACCCAGCAAATGCCCAATCAAGAAAAAGCCACATGCAAAATGATAGGACATTCTGTGATAATTTTACTCACCCTTACCCTACTCTATCTCTGGCACAGTGCAGCACAAAGAGAAGTAAATGGCCCAGTTCTCCATTCCCTTCCTCAGGAGAGAAGGATTCAAGCAGGACTAGTTTGAGGCATTCTTGCCTATCAATGGGTTGCCCAAGAGACTGGTTTCAGACTTGCCTCGTTCAGGGCACATACAGGGAATGCGGCATGGTTTGAATCTCAGGAAGAAGGCCAAGGAAGGCAGTGGTGGGCACCATAGCACATGAAAACTGCAGGGAGACTACAGACCTGTGGATGTGTAGGAGGAAGAGGTTATGCACAGAGGAATACCATACAAGATCTAAGGCCTTCAGAAGAAGCTTGGGTGAGATTCTGGGAAATTAAGACATTTACAGGCAGCCAGAGGAAACAAGAAAAAAAGAAAAAAACAGCATACACAGGCCCAGACAGGATGCATGCCCAGACAAGACCTGAGATGACCTTAAGCACACTCCCTACACCGTTCCCAAGGCTCAGGTGCTTGATAAGTAGTGAAGGCCTTTCATGTCAGTCTTCAAAGACTGGGAGGGGTGGTTTTTTCAAATGTCAGATTTTCAGCAAAAAAAATCGTAGAACACGCAAAGAAAGGATGAAACCTGGCTCATCCAAAGGAACAAAATAAATCTTCAGAAACTATCCTGTAAAGACACACAAATTAATTGGATTTGCTCAGAAAAGACTTTAAAACAACTATCTTAAATATGCTCAATGAGCTAATGAGAAATAATGAAATCAGGGAAGTGATACATGAGCAAAATTTCTCAGCTATCTTAAATATGCTCAATGAGTTAATGAGAAATAATGAAATCAGGGAAATGATACATGAACAAAATTTCTGTCAACAAAGAAACAAATTATTTAAAAGAACCAAATTCTGGAACTGGAAAATACAGTAGCTGAATTGAAAAATTTACTAGAAGAGTTCAACAGCAGACTTGAACAGGCAAAAGAAAGAATCAGTGAACTTGAAGGCAAGTTATTTGAAATGATCAAGTCCGAGGAACAAAATCAAAGAAAAAAGAAAAGTGAACAGAGTCTGAAGGACTTACGCAGTACCATCAGGCAGACCAGTTGATGCATTACTGGAGTCCAGAAGGAGAAAAAAGAGAAAGGGTGGAAAGATAATTTAGAGAAATAATAGCTGAAAACTTATCAAATTTGAGGAAAGACACGGCTCTACAAATCAAAGAAACTCAAGGAATCCACATTTGATAAACCCAGAGTCCGACATCAAGACACATTATCATGAAACTGTCAAAAGTAAAAGACAAAGAGTATCTGCAAAGCAACAAAAGTAAATGTGGTATGTACATACGGTAGACTATTATTCAGTCTAAGAAATGAAGTTCTGATACATGCTACAGAATGGATGAACCTGGAAGACATTATGCTAAATGAAATAAGCCAGGCACAAAAGGATATATCTTCTATGATTCCTCTTATATGAGGTGCCTGGAGTAGAGAAATAAGTAGATTGGTGATTGTCAGGTGTTGGGGAAGAGGGAAATGGGAAAATTAAAGTTATTGTTTAATGTGTGCAGTTTCAGAAGAAGATGGAAAAAACTCTGGAGATGGATGGTTGCACAGTAATGTGAATTTACTTAATACCACAGAACTGAAAACTTAAAAATGGTTAAAATGATAAGTGTTATGCATATTTAACACCAATTTAAAGAATGAATATAAATAAACTTCTAGAACTCAAAAAATTGAAATGAACCTCATTATTTAGAAATAGCCGTCATTAATGTTAGGTGAACATTATTTTAGACACGTTCCTATGGTTGTGTTCACATGAAAAGATGGATGAATGGATAGATAGAAGGAAATACTTTTACAGAAATGGCATGCATTATACATGTTATTTAATGAAATAGTATTCAACAGGAAAAATAAAATGGATTAGAGTCATAAATTTTTAAAATTATAAGTTCCTAGCCAGGTGTGGTGTCTCATGCCTGTAATCCCAGCACTTTGGGAGGCTGAGGTGGGCAGATCTCTTGAGGTCAGGAGTTCAAGCCCAGCCTGGCCAACATGATGAAACCCCAACTCTATTAAAAAAAAAAAAAAAAAAAAAAAAATAGAAAAATTAACTGGGCATGATGGTGTGTGCCTGTAATCCCAGTTACTCGGGAGGCAAGGCAGGAGAATCCCTTGAACCCAGAGGGAGGAGGCTTCAGTGAGCCGAGATCATGCCACTGCACTCCAGCCTGGGCAACAAAGCAAGACTTTAGCTCCAAAAAAAATAAAAGTTCCTTCTGTTAAAAAAGCAAGATAAAAAACATTGTCCCATTTTTTGTACATTGTTTATGTTGGTAAAATATTCATAACATAAAATTTACCATTTTAACCATTTTTTAATTGTATACCCTATTTAAATACTGTGTTCTACACAGAATTGATTGACTTCCAGCCTGAAAGATGAAATACATACTGCTAATGTATTGCACTTTTCATCTTCCCCGCCTCCATTTTCTGATTTTTAAAAGTGATATTGCTATTTTTTAGTCATAGTTTATCTTTTTACCTTTTGTTTTGTGACTACCATTTCCACATTTGCTACATAACTAGCTTTATTTTCTCTAGTTTTACAGTTAATTATATTCAGTGATCAAGACTAGTCCTTTTACTGTGGCTTCTCCAGGTCTTTTTTCTTAATTTTGAATGATCTTTTAATTCCCCTCTCTCACACGTACTTTGCCCTACTTCCTTCCACCAATTTAAAGAGGTACTTCATGTTTGAGAATGCCTGAGGCTTTTATACTTAACCAGATCTTGACTGAGTGGTTTTTAATCTCTTTTGCTTTTGTTCAGAACTTAGTAAATAAACATTGCTTTGTTGTCTTCAGACATTCATTGTTGCCTCGGAGAATTCAGAGAAGAGTCTGATCATTTTCTCTTCTTCCCTCCTTCTCCTCCTCCCCCCACCATAGCATCCTGCCATTGGTGCCCAAAATTTATGTCCTTCTCATACGCAGAATACATTCATTCCATCCCAGTACCCCAAAATTCTTAACTCGTTCCACCACCACATACACATACCTCGGTAAATTATGTTTAGACCATGCTTTTGTTGGACTATTACTGTGAAAGTAATGAGTTTGGTTACCCTACTTTTACTACATAGTTATATGCAAAAGGCACATAACCATTGTCTCCAGTGCTCCATTCCTAGCATATACCACTTAGTCTGTTTTATCCTACTATAGCAGAATACCTGAGACTGGGTAAGTTAAAATGAACAGAACTTTAATGGCGTATATTCTAGAGGCTGGGAAATCCAGTATCAAGATGCTGGCATCTTGCGAGGGCTTCTTGTTGCATCATCACCTGGCAGAGGACAAGAGGGCAAGAGAGAGCAAGAGGGGGCTGCACTCACACATGGCGGTGGAGCCTCATGGCCTTATCTTCTTAAAGGTCCCCACTCTTAATACTATTACAATGGCAGTTAAATTTCAACATGAGTTCTACAGAGGACAAGCATTCAAACTACAGCATTCTGCCTGCAGGCCCCCCACATCTCATGTCCTCATAAACAAAATAATTTATTTCATCTAAATAGCCCCACAAGTCTTAACTTGTAATAGCTTCAACATAAAAGTCCAGAGTCTCATCTAAATTAAATGTGAGAGTAGTCTTTTTTTAAATGAATCTTTTCCCTTTTTGCTTTTATGCTCCAAAGGTTCTTCCTTATCTAGTGACTGTGTAAACTGTCATTAATAGTCAAGTGAAATTCACAAATTTGGAGGCTCTTTGATTTGTTTTTTGTTTTTTTAATTTACTACTTAAGCAGAATTTCTTGTTGCTAATTATAGTATTTAAACTGAACTTATTGTTACGAACTTACTGAAGAAATAGCTTTCCTCCTTTCTTTCAAACATGGGATTTCTTCTAGATTTTGCCTAATAGGAATTTAATATTAGGGTAAATAATCTTTTGTTTGCCTTGTTGAATAAGAGCCAGTGGATGTTTTAATTTTTCAAATGATGATATTTTCACTCAAAAATTTAAGTATGAAAAGAATGAAAATCTAAATGAATATTTATAAATGCCTCACATAGTTCTGATTTTAATTTGTTTTTAATTTCCTTTTTCGCTACTCCCTAATAGTAAAGCACTGTTGATTTGTTTTGCAGAATCCTTGCAGCCTTTCCTGGAAGCCTGTAGCAACTCTTTATTTTTTCGTACTTGCTCTGTGCTGCTTCGAGCCCCTAAGCTTGATCTTCAAATACTAGAAAAACTCAGTATTATTTTACAGAAACTTTCCAAAATCAAGTAAGAATTTCTTATTTCTAACATTTTTTATTGAAAAATACCTTACTGTGATCATTTAAACCAGGGGTTTTAATCTTTTGGCTTCCCTGGGCCACACTGGATGAAGAAGAATTGCCTTGTGCCACACATAAAATACGCTAACACTAACGATAGCTGATGTGCTAAAAACAAAACAAAACCTCATAGTGTTTTCAGAAAGCTTACAAATTTGTGTTGGGCCACATTCAAAGCCATCCTGGGCCGCATGCAGCCCATGGGCTGCAGGTTGGACAAGCTTGATTTAGACCTTTCTGAATCCCATGCTACTTAAGCTTTGATTATTAAAAAAAAATTTCCATTATACAGATGTAGAAAATTAAGATTCATAAATACTAACGCTGATCTAAGACCACATATTTAGTGACAGACTAGAATTAGAGTTCTGATCTCAGAACATCTAGTTGTTTCTATAGCTCATTTCAGATAAATGAACTTTAAATGCTTCATATAAAAGTAAGAGCAGTTTTTAGCAACCAAGTAATAATATCAGAATAAATTCTTGCATACTGGTATTCTGTAATACCACAGGTGAAAATAAAAAGATAAAAGTATTTTGCAAATCCTTATTGATGTACTAAAGTGAATTTAGGGAATGAGAATGAAGCAAGCAGAAGAGATTTGAAATTACTTTGGTAACGGGATTTATTTTAGTAAACTCTTATGGACTGCCTACTGCCACTAATTTGGATTTTTTTATGAGAATCATGGGCTTTGTTTCCTCATCTTTCTCCTGACTCAGAAACTTGTATAACCAGTTACTAAACTATAAATAAGGACATCGATTTTAAGTTGTATTTTCCGTGATTCTTGGTATGCTGTAGTGTTTCCTTTGAGGCAAATCTGGACACCTTCTATCTCAACTCATTTGTATAACAGTAACATTTTTATTTTGATTTAGGTTCAGCTCTTCTCCTCCTGGCCTCATCCCCTCATCCATGATTCCCGTGGTAGAGAATTTAGATTTTACCAGGCTTCCATATGCTTGAGTAGTAAATGCAATGCATCTTGAAATTATTTGTAGATAGGGATTAAGAGATCCATATGTTCTATTTGGTAACATGCCTAGTAGAGGATTGTAATAAATTATTGTCAAATTATAACCTTATAATTTGACTGACCAAGTTACTAGCGCTGAATTTATCAATTTACTGTCTTCCTTTTCTTGCAGACTATACCGTGATTCTCTTGATTTCAGTAAATTCCTAGTAAGGCCTATTGCAGTTACCTTATGGTGCCATGAAGCTGCAATAACATTACTTAGATTTAATTCTTTTTTACTTCTTAATTCATGGGATTTTTTTTTTTTAAAGGTAGTCCCAAAGTGCAAGTATAACCTTGGGCCAAAATGTTTTACTATTCATGATGTGTTTGTAGCTTAGGTTCATTTTAGACTTAGATAAAAAAACAAAGCTTGAACAAGAAGACTGGGAATAGTTGATGCTCAAGCAGATCTTAAAATAAATCTTTAAGACCACAAAAGATGTAAATCCTTTTGTATTAGGATAGTACATAAGAGTTTGTATTAGGACAAACTCTCTCAAGAGAGTTTGTCAAATAACTAGACAAGGAAATAAGAAACAAAGCTAGACAAGGAAATAAGAAACAAAGCTAGACAAGGAAATAAGAAACACGTATACATATGTAACTAACCTGCACAATGTGCACATGTACCCTAAAACTTAAAGTATAATAAAAAAAAAAAAAAAAAGAAACAAATTCTTAATGATTGAAATGAAATTACTGACAGGTTATTAGAAAGAGGATGGTTGAACAAGTATTCTATAGCCAAGTCAAAAGATAAACCAATATTCTGCCACTTTAAAAAGGCCTGCTTACTCAAAATAGGATGATCAAATGTTTGTCTGTTTTGCTAGCTGTGAAAAAAAAAATTCTCACGCTCTCTAATAGTGAATAGGGTGCAATTTTCAGGGTTGTAAAATGGTTCCAGGCTGGGCACAGTGGTTCACATCTGTAGTCTCAGCACTTTGGGAGGCCAAGGAAGGAGGATCGCCTGAGCCCAGAAGTTCAAGACCAGCCTTAGCAACATAGTGACACCCTGTCTCTACAAAAAATAAACAAAATTAGCCAGGTTTGGTGATGTGCGCCTGTAGTCCTAGCTACTTGGGAGGCTGAGATGGGAGGATTGCTTGAGCTGGGGAGGTTGAGGCTGCAGTAAGCTGTGTTCATGCCACTGCACTCCACCTGGGTGCCAGAATAAGACCTTATCTCAAAAGAAAAAAAAGTTTTCTTTTTTCCCCAGTGGTTTTCTGCTTCAGGTTTATCTCATAAAACCTATTTTGTTTGTTTCAGCATTCTAATCTTTTAGTTGCCTATTTTCTCCACTGTTTTTAAAAACAGATGCCATTTCCTCATGTTTACACATAAATTATCTGTCAGTGTCATTGCAGATAAACTCTCTAAGTATGTGTAATTAAATAATGTATTCATTTTTTTTACAGGAGTAATAAGAAGCTCTTTGAACTTTTTACGATTCATCTGATGCTTCAAGAAATACAAAGGACAACAAACCCAGAGCATGCATTTCTCTGTATTAATCTAAATTCAACTCTGTTCAATCTGGGTTTAACAAAATGTAACTCCCTGGTCTCCAGTGCAAGCCCTTAGACTGGCTAATTTTTTAATATAGTATATGTGGTGCTTATTTATAAACATGTAGAAATTACCAAAGTAACTACAATTCTACCAAGTAAAGTTATCAGTAGCATCATTTATCATGAAAAATAAATAATTTTTTTGAACTGTAAAAATGAAATCTGTAGAAGGTATTGGAACTTTTGGAATGTTTCAGTTCAGGTAAGGTAATACTAATATACAAGATGGCGTTTCTAGAATGTATGACACTGAAGTGACTTTTTGTAAAAATATATTAGGAAAATTATTTCTTAAAATTATGTGATTATTTGGAATAAAATTGGTGCTTATGTGAGAACAGGGTTAAATAATACTGTCTTTCTATTTTCCTAATATATTAGAATCCTTGCTTTTGAAAGCAAAAATGTATATCTTTAAACTATCATCTTGATACCATAACTTTTCTATATACTGTATCCTAGATTAACAGATGTTGATTTTTTTTTTATTGTGCTCTTTGTGGGATAGAAAAAGTTTTTTATTATGCTGTTCACAGGTTTAAAAACTTTTGTTTTCAAAATAATTATTACTGGAGCATGTATATACAAGGCAAGACATTTTTTAAACATTGAAAGGTAAACAAAAATAATCGTCCTGTTACCAGAGATATCTCTTGGTATAGCCAAAGATGAGTAAAGTGGCCACAGGTCTGGGTGAAGTAAAGGTGGTAAAACTTGGGACTTAGGACAGGATACTGAGAAACATTGTTTTAAAGAGTCATAAAATCATATATGATCAGTGTATAATCTCAGTTTCAGGAGTTAGAAGAAATTTTCAAGAAACTATTGGGCCTCTTCAAAAAAATACCAGAAAATGTGCCATTTTTGAAGTAGAAACAGAAAGCCATAATGAAAGAACAGGCCAAGGTGAGAATGGTGGAACCATAGAAACTTAAAAATGCAGAAGGCCAGGCGCGGTGGCTTACGCCTGTAATCCCAGCACTCTAGGAGGCTGAGGTGGGCGGATCACCTAAGGTCAGGAGTTCAAGACCAGCCTTGCCAACATGGTGAAACCCCGTCTCTACAAAAAAAAACAGAATTAGCCAGGCGGTGATGGGCACCTGTGATCCTAGCTACTCGGGAGGCTGAGGCAGGAGAACCACTTCAACCTGGGAGGCAGAGGTTCCAGTGAGCCAAGATCACGCCATTGCACTCCAGCCTGGGCAACAAAGTGAGATTCTGTCTCAAAAAAATAAAAATAAATAAATAAAATAAAAACGCAGAAGCCAAAGTGCACATTAGAAACAAAAAATAACTTCATAAAATAGGATTAGCATGACAAGAACAAACCAAAAGGTGTCTCGGAACTCAGAGTATATAGAGATAGTACTCATGAGAGTGGATGGCAGATACTAGGACAGAGCCTGGCACTTCTGCATGGCAGCATTTGGTGTCTCTGAAGAAAAGAACAGAACAAGTGGAGCGGAAGCAATATTCAGAAATATAGTTGAATAAAGATTCTGGTGGCCAAAGAAAGAACTGCATGTACAGATTGAAAGGGCTCATCATGTTCCAGAAAAACCTATGAGAAAAGGGTTCTATAATTAGATGCATCCTGGCCAAATGGTAAGTTACAAGGATAAAAGCACAAACAAAAGCCAGTTACTTAGAAGAAAGGAAAAACCAGACTAGCCTTATAGAATGCTGGAAGGTAATAGGGAGCTCTACAGGAGAAGATTTTTAATCCAAGAATTTCTCCCTAGTGAAGATGCCTTTCATAAGTGAAGACAATGGAATGACAGCTTCAGACATTCAGGCGTTGAGAAATTATACCACTTACGTACTATTCTGGAGAAAGAAATGACTTAAAGATTAATCAACTAAGAGATGAAAGAAAACAGTTTATTAAATCAACCTCATATCAAAAGCACTGAACACTGAAACAACTTAAACATTAAATAATTATAACTGTTTATAAGATGGATTGAGATGTTAAATTCCTGAAAAGGATAAATAATGGAAAAAGCAGCCCCCTCGCTCTTCCTTCCTCCATCATCATGATGTGTACAGTTGACTCCATTTCTCACCCTGTCTTCTCACAAGTCTTTCAGGGTCAAGTGATTTCAGGCCAAGAAACAAAAGCAAAATTGTCTCATTCCCCAGTGCATTCAGATGAAAACTGATAATAAAATCAGGTACAGTTCCAAGAGGAGACACTGGAGAGGAACCACGCTGGGTCTGTAAGGAATTGCAAATGAGATGGCACACATATTTATGCTGTATCAAGGTCACTGTCATCTTACCATATCAGACTGAAAATGTCACCACCATCTGGACAGTCAGATATGTTTTATCGGGAAAATGGTTTTTCTCTTTGTGTATATGCTCTGCAGTAGTAGGGTGGTTTAGTAACAAATATGTGAGACCTTTTATTTGAAAAAAATTGTTTTTAAATAATGGGAAAAGCAATATGTTAGTAGTAAGTATCTGGGTAAGTCTATCTTAGCCTTTGTTAACAAAAACTAAGAATTGATGGGGCCTTGAGATTGAGGTAGAGATGAAAGAGGAGCTGTTAACTACAATCTTCTACATTATCAGAAAGAGTTGAAGTGTTAATTTCACTATTAGAAAAATGTAAGATAAAGAATCCTTTTGGAAAATATCAAGGAAACTATTAAAAATAGCATAAATATTCTCAAAACACTGAAAAAGAAATGAAATATATAGATATAGCAAAAAATAGAATGACAGGAATGTGAACAAAAATATTTAGGATAAAGAAGTTTAAAAATTATAAGTTCTTTATGGTCATGTTCTAAATAAATTTGAAAATCTGAATGAAATGGACTGTTCTCTAGGAAAAGATCAAAATTGGCTTAAGAAATCTGCACTAGCAAACCGTTGCAGTCTTTTATTTATTTATTTAATTTTCTGTAGAGACAGGGTTTTGCCATGTTGCCTGGACTGGTCTTGAACTCCTGAGCTCGAGCAGTCTTCCTGCCTCAGCCTTCCAGAATGCTGGGATTACAAGCATGAACCAATGTGCCTAGCCTACAGTCTTTTATAAAATTATCAAAGAATTCTTTTTTAAAATGGCTGCAAGTCCAGGTGTTTTACAAGTGGATTGTTTTAAAATTTCAACATGAAATATTTAAAGTTATTTAAACTGTCCCAGAAGGTAGAAAAATCATCCAAATTCATTTTATGCAGTTAGCATGAATCTGGTATCAAACAGTTGGCAAAATGAGAAAGAATAAGATTTAAAAGTCTCAAAGAATTATGGAGAAATTAATACCAACTGCATATGACAGAAACATTAATCCATGATTAAGTAGGGTAACATACATTCCAGAAATACAAGATTAACTTTCTAATAGAAAAATATATTTTGGCCAGGCTAAGTTTTTAGTATATTATTATTATTTAATCCTCATAATAACTTTGTGAGATGGGTCTTTTAATTGTTACCATTTTATAGATCAAAAAAGAAATGGGGTTAGGGAGATCTGAGTGACTAAGCCGCTATCATTGTTGTGACTAGAGCTCTGTTAGTTGAAGGGGAGTGAGAGGGAATTTGCAATACTAGATTTTTACCCATATTAGAGTTGTGACTAGAGTCCTTGAGTTTACCTCCTCTCTTCCAACCTTCAAATTTATTGGAATAACAGAAGAAATTTTCTAGAGTAAACAATGTAAAATAGAAGATTTTTATTTTCAGCAGGGTGGTGGACTATATCTATTCTCCAGGTGCAGTGCAACTAAAAATGTTAAGAGAACATAAGCATGTGGTTGAGCTGGTGGCAAAGTAAAACAGTTCCTTGGAGGCCAGACATGATAAGAAACAAATCCAAAGCAAAAGAAAACATTTTAAAAAACAGAAATCAATGAAATTGAAAACAGGAAGTCAACACAACCAAAAGCTATTTCTTTGAAAAGATAATAAAATTAATAAGCTTCCAGACAGGGTAACTTAAAAAAAAAAAACAACAACAAACAAAAACAAACAAAAAAAAAAACGAGAGAAGGCACAGATTGCTAATACCAAAAATGATAGAGGGGACAGTACTGTAGATTCCATGTTCATAGATAGGAAGACTCAATATTGTTAAGATGTCTGTTCTTCCCAACTTGATCTATAGATACAATGGAAATCCTATTCAAAATCCTAACAAGTTATTTTGTGAGTACCAACTAACTTTCTCCCATGAATTATGAACTTTCTTAATGGCATCCAGAAGGCTAAACTTCCTAGGTTTTCATAGCTAGAGAGGAGCCAGGGAGGAGACATCAAGGCCTGGCTTCAAAGCTTCAAAGGACAGGCTGACTCTCTTGTTAGAGTTTAATGGAGCTGGTGACTTTGAAGGCAATGCTCATTTGCCATTCTGTAAATCCTAGGGCCCTTAAGAATTATGCTAAATCTCCCCTGCCTGTACTCTATAAATGGAAGAACAAAGCCTGGATGACAGCACATCTGTTTACAGCATCATTTCCTGAATACTTTAAGCCTGCTGTTGAGACCTACTGCTCAGATAAAAAAAAGACTCCTCTGAAAACATTACCACTTACTAACAGTGCACCCAGTGACCAAAGAGCTCTACCATGGACATGTACAAGATTAATGTTTCCATGCCTGATAACATAACATCCATTCTGCAGCCTGTGAACCAAAACGTAATTTCAACTTTCAAGTCGATTTGCTTCTCCATATATACTTTATAATTCATGAGAGAAGTTCAAAATATCAACATTAACAGGAATTTGGAAAGAGTTGATTCCAATACTCACGAATGACTTTGAGGGGTTTAAGACTTCAGTGGAGGAAGTAACTGCCGATGTGGTGGGAATTGCAAATGAACTAGAATCAGATGTGGAGCCTAAGATGGCATGGTCTTCCAATAGAAGGCTGTTTCATCTACATTGAAAATCTGTTGTGTAGTGTAGCCACTTCATCAGTGGTCTTACCTCAGTCTTGTGGAGAACTTGCTGCAGCTTCTACACCAGCACTTGTTGCTTCAACTTGCACTTTTATGTTATGGAGATGATTTCTTTCCTAAAACCTCATGAACCAACCTCTGCTAGCTTCAACCTTTCCTTCTGCAGCTTCCTCAGCCTTCATAGAATTGAAGAGAGTTAGGGCCTTGCTATGGATTAGGCTTTGGCTTAAAGGAATATTGTGGCCGATTTGTATCAAGACCACTAAAACTTTCTCCTTATCAGCAATAAGGCTGCTGTGTTTTCTTATCATTTGTGTGTTGTCTGGAGTAGCACTTTTAATTTCCTTTAAGAACTTTTCCTTTGCTTTCACAACTTCGTAGTTTGGCACAAGAGGCCTAGCTTTCAGCTTTTCTTGGCTTTGGACATGCTAAACCCAACCATTTCTAGCTTTTCATTTAAAGTGAGAGATGTGAGACTCTTCCTTTCACTTGGACACTTAGAGGGCATTTTAAGGTTATTAATTGGCCTAATTTCAGTATTGTTATGTCTCAGGAAATGAAGAGAGATCCAAGGAGAGGGAGAGATGGGGGATCAGCCAGTCAGTGGAGCAGTCATAACACACAAATTCATCAATTAAGTTTGCTGTCTTACATGGGTGTGGTTCTTGGCATCCTGAAACAATTACAATAGTAACATCAGAGATTATTGGCCAGGCACGATGGCTCACTCTTGTAACCCCAGCACTTTGGGAAGCTGAGGCTAGAGGATTGCTTGAGGCCAGGAGTTTGAGACCAGCCTGGGCAACATAGCAAGACCCTGTTTCTACAAAAAGAGCAAAAACAGAAATAAACCAGCCAGTCATAGTGGCAGGCGCTTGTAGTCCTAGCAACTCGAGAAGCTGAGGCAGGAGGGTCACATGAGCCCAGGAGTTGGAGGCTGCAGTGAGCTATGATCACACCAATGCACTCCGGTCTGGGCAACAGAGTGAGACCCTGTCTCAAAAAAAAAAAAAAGAAAAAATAGATTACTGATTACAGATCACCATGACAGATATAATAACATAATAGTAACAGAAAAGTTTGAAAAATGCAAATTACCAAAATGTGAGCTCATGGTTTTGGAGAAAATGGTTCCAATAGACTCACCAGATGCAGGGTTGCCACAAATCTTCAATTTGTAAAAAACGCAATATCTCTGAACCACAGTAAAGTTGAAGTGCAACAAAATTAGGTATGCCTGTATGGAAACGCAGAGCTCACACCCTTCTGATGAACAGACAGAAGTGTCAGATCCTTTTCTATGCTAGCAAAGGATTTTAAGGGTTTGGAATTCTCTAAAAGTGTAAAGCTCTTAGGAGGGCGTTACTTGGCAAAGCAGTGCTTTATCTCATTCTCTTGTTTGCCTGTTCAAACTTCCCACCCATTGTAGACCCACTTGCTGTGTTATTGCAGGTTAAGCCCCCAAGACCCTTTTCTCTCACCTTTTTTGTTCACTTCCCATCCCCTTTCCTTTTCAGGTCATCCTCCATGCCCTTCTGATGTCCACATGTCTCTTCATTTTCTTCTCAGGCCTCCTCTTTCTCTCACCATCTAAGTTATTGAAATTCTTGAAATCCTAAGCAGGCCTGGCACTGAGAGGTAAGCACCTGAGAGTGTCAGTCTTCCCTAGATAAATGGAACTGTGTGCAGATCTGGGACTGCTGGAAGGGTGTGAGGTAGGGATTTAAGGATGGCGCAAGTAGGGTGGGGCTAAAAAAGACCTTGTCTTCTTTATATAGGAGCATCGAGATTAAAGGGTGTGAGGTAGGGGTTTAAGGATGGCGCAAGTCAGGTGGGGCTAAAAAAGACCTTGTCTTCTTTATATAGGAGCATCGAGATTAAACACTGAATTCAGCAGTGTTCAATTCATTTCTTATTTTCCACTGTATTTCATTTCAACCCATCCTCTATATTTTGTGAGCCCAAAGCCTTTAGATATGTGTAGAGGAAGGTGTGATACAGCTTTCAACTTCTTGAAATTTGCCCAAGAAATACTTTGTATCATGAGGTCTGCAGTTATTTATACAAATCCCTGAAAATATTTCATGGCAAATCTGTAGCACCCAGTTGAGATGAGACCAAACTGGAAAAATCTCTGTGGCTGTGGTTATTGTCAGTTCTGTAAGATGAAGATGGGACCAGTGACAAGAATGTGCACTATTTACTGAGCACTCACCTGCACGGGGCCATGTGCTTTTCAGACATTGCCTCTTTCAGTCTTGAGCACAATGCCAGTTGTGCCATCCCCTGACATATAGATGAGATGAAGATCCAGACATAACCAGCAAGGGCAGGGCTGGGATGCGATCCATGTGTGCCTGGTTCCCAGGGTTGGCATGTTTGCAGTGTTCTCTCCATAATGGTTTGCCTTAATGAAGAGAGGATTCAGGATGTCCAGTTTCAGCCTCACTGGCTGGGCTGGAATCTTCCATTGACCCTTCCACTCTACATTCCTCCCTGGCCTGGGATGCTCACTCGAGTGGGCTTCTTGCTGGGCTTGGCCAGTGGGGGTTGCCATCAGGAGACAACAGGGCATCTGCTTCTCCAGGGCATCCCCCAGGGCACAGTGCTTTGTGACTCAAGGGTCTGCCCCTCTTGGTTTCCCTAAACCTCACTCCTCTCTTTGTAAACAGCCCCTTTATAAATTACGCACCTTGAGGGTGTCATCTGCTTTCTTTCAGGAGCAGGACTGACTCACTAGCATCACTCCTAAATAATGTGAACTTGTTTTGATTTTTTGTTTGAGGCAGAGTCTCTCACAGGTTCCTAGGCTGGAGTGCAGTGGCATGGTCTTGGCTCATTCTGGGCTCAAGCAATCCTTTCACCTTAGCCATCTCAGTAGCTGGGACTATAGGCATGCGCCACCATGCTCGGCTAATTTTTAAAATATTTGTAGAGATGGGGTCTTGCTATGTTGCCAGGCTGGTCTTGAACTCCAGGGCTCAAGTGATCCTTCTGCCTCGGCTTCCTAAAGTGTTGGGATTACAGGTATGAGCCACTGCACCTGCCCAATGATGTGAACTTTTAGTAAGTCACTTCAGTTATCTGGGCCCAACTTGCTTTACCTGTCAAGCAGGGACCATGGTGCCTGGTCTCCCAGATTGTGAATGTCAAAGAAAACAGGTAGAGAGGCACTTTGGAAGATAAACACTCCTCAGAATGGGAGCTAGCAGTGTAATTCCACAAGGCACAGAATGGGCATTCACTGCATAGCCTGACTGGAAGTGGAGCATCCTTTGTGAGAAAAGGAAACCTCTGAGACAGTGAATATGTTCCCATTCTGAAAAGCTTGATGCAATCAAAATAGAAGAAAGAGCACCGCTGAAGAGAATAAGAGAAGAGATCTTTGTTTTGTTTTTGCTTGTTTCTTTGTGGTAGTGACAGCGTATTTCATGTAGGAACCTGTGACAAAGCTCCACATAATAAACATCAGAAAGTCAAGGATGATGGTTTTGGCCAAGGAGCAAATGACACATGCCACAGCTCTCCTGGCAGGTCCCCTTTTCGAGATTGTGTCCTCCCGGATAGGACTCTCAAGCAGCTGCAACAGGCATCTTCCAGCTGGGAAAGGCCACTTGACCTCTTTTTCTCTTTCGAAAGCCGGGCAGCTGTGAGTCCAGGCTTGTCACTCCTGGGTGCAGGCTCAGGAATTGAAGGCGGGTCTGCCAAGCCACACACCCTCGTTGAAACACCTCTGCTCTGTGGCCAGGCTTTTCAGCCCCTCCCCACTCCCCATCAGCAGTGGCTTCTGGAATTTCCCTGTCTGTAGAATGAGAATAGTTACATCAAAATTTCTTCCCAAGGAGCTAATTGGAATATTGTAATACAAATATTTGCAGAGAATTAATACTGAGAGATGCTAAAGGAGAATTTAGCTCATGTAATTACTAATCAGTGTCTTTTTTCCAGGTACTCTGTAAGGGAGCTGAAACTTCCAGCCTTTCTTCCTATTCACAAACCCACCTTTACCCGCCCCCAATGCTGGACTTTGGTTTTTCATATTGCTTTTGCAGAACTTTAAAACATTTGAATCTTTCCTTGATGAGTTTTTGTCCTGAGGGGCCAGTGCAGTTTTCTTGCCACTTTGTTTTCCTCTCATATAACTTTTCCCTGTCAATAAGGCATTTAGGCTGAGAGAAAAAGTTATTGAGCATGTGCATCCAAATTTGAGATGATTGTTATTTCATTACCTAATGACTTTAACTTCTTTGATACTGTGTTTGTCTTATGAATATAATGGCTTTCTCACTTTAATGAAAAGTTATACAATAAAATTGAAAAGTAAGTACTGTATCTGTAAAAATTAATTCCTTTCTAAATGTAAAGAATTAATGAGACCAGACTTTTTATTTTTTATTTGTACAAATCTATGGGATACATGAGAAATTTTGTTACATGTGTATAATGTGTGGTGATCAAGTCACCACACGGGTATTTGGGGTGTCCACCCGAGTACAATACATCTTTGTTAAGTATAGTCACCCCAGTCAGCTGTTGAACATTGAATTTTTTCCTTCTAACTTACTGTATGTTTGTACACTTTAACCCAGTTCTCCTTATCCTCTTCCTCCCACCACTCATGATTCCCAGTCTCTGGTATCTGTCTTTCCCTCTCTACCACTATGTGATCAAATTTTTTAGCTTCCACATATAAGTGGAAACATGTGACATTTGTCTGTTTTGCTTGGCTGTTTTCACTTAAAATAATGACCTCTGGTTTTATCCATGTTGCTGCAAATGACATGACTTCATTCTTTTTGTGGCTGAATAGTGTTTCATTGTGTATATGTACCACATTTCCTTTATCCATTCGTCCGCTGATGGGCACTTAGTTTGATTCCATATCTTTGCTATTGTGAATAGTGCTGCAATAAACATGGGGGTGATATATATCAGTATATCATATTGATTTCTTTTCCTTTGGGTAGATACCCAGTAGAGGGATTGCAGGATCCAGTGGTAATTCTAATTTTAGTTTTTTGAGAAATCTTACTTTTCCATAGTGGCTGTTTAAATTCTCACCAACAGTGGGTAAGAATTCTTTTTATCTACATCCTTGCCAACATCTGTTATTTTTGTCTTTAATAATAGCTCTTCTGACTGGGGTAAGATGATATCTAATTGTGATTTTGATTTTCATTCTGATGTTGGGCATTTTTTCATGTATCTGTTGGTTACCTGTATGTCTTCTTTTGAACAATGTCTATTCATGTCCTTTGCCCACTTTATTTATTTTTTTTGAGACGGAGTCTCTCTCTGTCACCCAGGCTGGAGTGCAGTGGTGCAATCTCAGCTCCCTGCACGCTCCGCCTCTTGGGTTCACGCCGTTCTCCTGCCTCAGCCTCCCGAGTAGCTGGGACTACAGGCGCCCGCCACCATGCCCGGCTAATTTTTGTATTTTTAATAGAGACGGCTTTCACTGCATTAGCCAGGATGGTCTCCATCTCCTGACCTCATGGTCCATCTGCCTCGGCCTCCCAAAGTGCTGGGATTACAGGTGTGAGCCACCATGCCCGGCCCCCTTTGCCCACTTTTTAATGGGATTTAAAAAAAAAATTTAACTGTGGAGCTGTTTGAGTTCCTTGTGTATTCAGAAAATTAGTCCCCTGTTGGATGAATAGTTTGCAGATATTTTCTACTATTCATTAGGTTGTCTCTTCACTCTGTTGATCATTTCCTTTTCTGTGTCAAGTATTTTTAGTTTATTATAATCCTATTTGTCTATTTTTGTTTTGTTGCCTGTGCTTTTGAGGTCTCAGTCATAAATTCTTTCCCTGAGAGTTTTCCCTAGGCTTTCTTATGCTGTTTTTTATAGTTTCATGTCCTATGTGTAAATCTCTAATCTATTTTTAGTTTATTTTTGTATATGATGAGAGATAGGGGTCCATTTTCATTCCTCTGCATCTGGTTAACCAATTTTCTCAGTACCATTTATTGAAGAGGGTGAACTTTCCACAGTGTTTAGTTCTTTTTGGCTTTGTCAAAGATCACTTGGCCATAAATATGTGTCTTATTTCTGGTTTCTTTATTTTGTTCCATTGGTCTACGTGTCCGTTTTTATAACAGTACCATGCTGTTTTGGTTACTATATCCTTGTAATATGTTTTGAAGTGAGTCATTGTGATGCCTACAGCTTTTGTCTTTTCGTTCAGGATGACTTTGAGCTCTTTTTCTGTTTCCATATGAATTTTAGGATTGCTTTTTTGATTCTGTGAAAAGTGATGTTGGTATTTTGATGGGGATTGCATTGAATCTGTAGATTGCTTTGGGCAACGTGGTTATTTTAATGATACTAATTTCTCTTATCCATGAGCATGGGACCTTTTTCCATTTTATTTGTGTCCTCTTCAATTTCTTTCATCAGTGTTTTATAGTTTTCCTTATAGAGATTTTCCACTTCCTTGGTTAAATTTATTCCTAGGTATTTTATTTTATTTTTGTAGCTATTGTAAATGGAATTGCCTTCTTGATTTCTTTCTCAGCTAGATCACTATGGGTATAGAAATGCTACTGATTTTTATATGTTGGTTTTGTATCCTGCAACTTTACTCAATTTATTTATTAGATAAAAGAGATTTTGGTGGAGTATTAAGGTAGATACAAGGCCATAGCATCAGCAAGGAGGGCCAATTTAATTTCCTCTTTTCCATTCTGGATGCTTTTTATTTCTTTCTCTTGCCTGAGTGCTCTAGCTAGGATTTCCAGTACTACATTGAATAGCAGTGGTAAACTGGGGCATCCTTGTCTTATTTCAGTTCTTAGAGGAAAGGCTTTTAGCTTTTCTTCATTCAGTATGATGTTAGCTGTGGGCTTGTCATAGCCTTTCTTATTTTGAGGTAAGTTTCTTCTATGCCTAGTTTGTTGAGAGTTTTTATCCTGGAGTGATGTTGAATTTTTTAAAATGCTTTTTCTGCATCTGTTGAGATGATCATATGGTTTTTTTCCTTCATTTTGTTGATGTGATATGTCACATTTATTGATTTGTATATGTTGAACTATCCTTGCATCCCTGGCATAAATCCCATTTGATAATGGTGTATTATGTTTTTAATGTGCTGTTGGATTTGGTTTGCTTGTATTTTGTGGAGGACTTTTGCATATATGTTCATTCACCAGGGATATTGGCCTGTAGTTTTCTTTTCTTGTTATGTCTTTGTCTGGTTTTGGTATTAGGGTAATGCTGGCTTCATAGAATAAGTTAAGGAGAATTCTCTTCTCTTCAATTTTTTGGAATAGTTTCAGGAGGGTTGGTGTTATTTCTTTGTATGTTTGGTAGGATTCAGTTTGAATCCATTTAGTCCTGGGCTTTTTTTGTTGGGTAATTTTTTTATTACTGATTCAATCTTGGTAGGTTTTATGTTTCTGGGAATTTATCCATTTTCTCTGTGTTTTCTAATTTGTGAGCAAATAGTTGTCCATAGTAGTCTCTGATGATATTTTTGTAATTCTGTGGTATCGCTTGTAATATCTTCTTTTTCATTTCTGATTTTATTTGGGTCTTCTTTCCTTGATTAATTTAGCTAACCGTGTATCAATTTTTTTTATCTTTTGGGAGAATCAATTTTTCATGTTGTTGAGTCTTTGTATTTTTTTAAGTCCCTACTTTATTTAGTCCTGCTCTGATCTTTATTATTTCTTTTTGTCTATTTTTGGGCTTGGTTTGTTCTTGCTTTTCTATTTCTTTGAGGTATATTGTTTGATTGTTACTTTGTACTCTTTCTGCTTTTTTTGATGTAGGCGTTTATTGCTGTAAACTTCCCCCTTTGCACTGCTTTTGTTGTACCCCATCAGTTTTGCTTTATTGTTTCTTCATTTTTATTTCTTTCAGTTTTTTTAAATTTTCATATTAATTTCTTTTTTATCCAGTGGTTATTCAGAAGCATGCTGTTTAATTTCCATGTTTTTGTATAGTTTCCAAAGTTCCTCATGGTATTGATTTCTAGTTTTATCCATTGTGGTCTGAGAAAATACTTGATATGATTGTGGTTTGTTAAGTTTTGTTGAGACTTGTTTTGTGGCCTAACATATGGTCTATCCTGGAGAATGTTCCATGTGCTGATGAAAGAATGTATATTCTGTAGTCAGATAGAATGTTCTGTAAAGATCTGTTAGGACCAATTGCTCTAAAGTTTAGTTTAAATCCAATGCTTTTTGATTTTCTGTCGAGGTGATCTATCTAATGCTGAGTGGGAGAGATGAAGTCTCTGACTGTTATTGTATTGCATCTATCTCTCCTTAGATCTAATAATATTTGCTTTATTAATATGAGTGCTCCAATATTCTAGACATATATATTTAGAATAATTATATCCTCTTGCTGGATTGATCCCTTTATCATTATATAATAACCTTTTTTTCTTTTCTTTTTTTTTTTTCACTGTTTTTGACTTAAAGTCTATTTTATCTCATCAGTACAGCTACACCTGCTTAATTTTGGTTTTCATTTGTATGAAATATGTACATCACTTTACTTTCAGATGTGTCTTTACTGGTAAGGTGAGTTTCTTGTAAGAGGCGTATAGTTAGATCATGTTTCTTAATCCATTCAGCTATTCTATATCTTTTAAGTGGAGAATTAAATCTGTTTGTGTTCACAGTTATTGATATGTGAGGTTTTGTTGTCTTTTCTGGTTGTTTCATATATTCTTTGTTCCTTTCTTTTTCTCTTATTGATTGTTGTTGTGGTTGGTGGGTTTCTATAGTGGTACCATTTCTCTTCCTATTTTATGTGATTGCTTTACCAGTGAGTTTTATACTTTCATTTGTTTCCATGATGGTAAATGTTATTTTGCTTCCAGGCTTAAAATTCCCTTGAGCATTTATTGTGGGAGTCGTCTAGTGGTAATGAATTCCCTCAGCATTTGCTTGTCTAGGAAAGACTAGTTCTCTTTCATTTATGAAGGATAATTTTGCTGGATATAGTATTCTTGGCTGACATTTTTTTTTTTTTTCTTCTCAGCACTTTGAGTATATCATACCATTCTCTTCTGGCCTATAAAGTTTCTGCTGAGAAACTCACTCTTAGGCTGATGGGGTTTTCTTTTTTTTTTTTTTTTTTTTTTTTTGTAATGGGGTCTCACTCTGTCACCTAGTCCAGAGTGCAGTGCAGTGGCATGATATGGGCTTACTGCAGCCTCTGCCTCCCAGGCTTAAGCAATCCTCCAACCTCAGCCTCCTTAGTAGCTGGGACCACAGGCACAAGCCCCATGCCTGGCTAATGTTTTGTGTTTTTGGTAGAGAAGCGGTTTTGCCATGTTGCCCAGGCTGGTCTTGTACTCCTGAGTACGAGTGATCTACCCATCTCAGCCTCCCAAAGTGCTGGGATTACAGGCATGAGCCACTGCACCTGGTCAGGGGTTTTCTTGATAGGTAACTGTATGCTTTTCTCTTGCTCTTTTTAGGATTCACCCTTTATCTTTGACTTCAGACAGCTGGACTATAATGTGTCATGGCGAAAACGCTTGCAGAATGTATCTTCCTGGAGATCACTGAGTCTCCTGTATTTGAATGTCTAAATCTCTAGACTTAGGAAGTTTTCATCTATTATTTTATTAATTAAATTTTCTAACCTTTTCTCTGTCTCTTTACTCTCAGGGATACTAATAACTCGAATATTTGATCACTTTGTGTTTTCCCAAGTGTCATGAAGGCTTTACTCATTCTGTTTTATTCTTTTTCTTTTTGTCTGACTGGATTATTTCAAAAATGCTATCTTCAAGTTCTGAGATTCTTTATTCTCCCTTATGCAATCTATTTTTGAAGCTTTCAAATGTATTATATATTTCCTTCAATGAATTCTTCAGTTCTGGAATTTCTGTTTGGTTCTTTAAAAAAAATCTATCTCTTTGATAAATTTTTCATTCATATCCCATATTGTTTTTCTGATTTCTTTGTATTGTTTTTCAGAGTTCTCTTGTATATCACTGAGCTCCTTTAAAATCAATATTTCAAATTTTTTATCTGGGATTTCAGAAATTTATTTTTGATTAAGATCTATTGCTTGAGAATTCTGATGTTCCTTTAGAGGCGTCACATTTCCTTAATTTTTCATGTTTCATTTGTCCTTAAGTGGATCTCTGCACATCTGGTGTAACTGTTGCTTCTTCTTGTTTTTGAAATTTCTTTCATAGAAGAAGACTTTTTCCTAAAGATATATCTATGGTTTTGGTTGAGTAGGGTACTTTGGCTTTGATTCTGGATGCACGTAGTAATGTAGTCTCTGTATGATTTTTTAGGCTGTAAGTAGTGTTGGTGGCATCCATGATTTCCCCACTGGGTTAGGGTGAAGTTATTAGTGGAGGCTGTGGTGAAGTTGTACTAGGGATTGGGATGCCAAATGGGCCAGTCTTCAGGCCCTAGTGATGACAGCAATGGGCTAAGTGTGCCTGTTTGTGCCCAGGGCTGTATAGCTGGCATCTCTGTTGGCAGTTATTTGGCAGGCTGATTTCTGGGCCTCCAGGTGGCTTGTTCAGTTGCTGGTAGTGGCAGCAATGGATTGGGTGTGTAGGTGGGTTTTTGGGCCTTTGGGCAGCTGGCATAGCATGAGCAATGGCAGTAGCAGTAGCAGGACGATTCTCTGGGTCCCAAGTGGTGTGCATTGATGTTGGTGGTTGCTGTGATGGACTGGGTAAGACAACCTCTTGGCCTTCAGGTGACACTTGCAAGGAGGTACCAGGTGATGTGATGGTGGCTGGGAGTTTAGGCCCAACCATAGGCCCCAGAAAGATGCTCAGGTACCCAAGGTGGTGGATTGAATTGCACAGTTCCCAGGACCCCAGAATATGTGCCCTGTCTGAAAGAGGGGGCAAAGCTGGGCTGTGCAGGTTTGTGCTCAGGCCCCTTGGTGAGAGCAGGCACCACCATTGGTGGCCAGGATAAGGTGATCCTCAGGCCCCAGGCAGAGTGCTCAGGTAAGGGATGATGGCAGCTGTGCTAAAGTGCTACCACTGGACAGAGTGTGGCTGTGCTCTGTGGCCACAGCCTGGGCTGGTAGGTGAGAATGTATGTCCTTCCCAC
The DNA here is from genome assembly GCF_000001405.40 of Homo sapiens. Lineage (NCBI taxonomy): Eukaryota > Metazoa > Chordata > Mammalia > Primates > Hominidae > Homo > Homo sapiens. The sequence continues at coordinate 108,892,209 of NC_000002.12, forward strand.
AGTCCCAGTGGGGCTTGCTTTCCAGCCTTGACAATGTTAGCCCATGCCTGTCTCACCCTCCCACCCTGGCTGCAGGAGGCCCCATTTCAGCTGGTGAGCAAGTCCCAGTGGCAACTTACACCCTTTCAGCATCCTAATTTCTGTCCCAGCAGCACTCACTTCCTGGCATCAGCAACTGCAACCCTTTCCTTGTTTGTTTCTTAGCCCTGGCTGTGGAAGTGCTTGCAGCTCACTCCCCATTCCCAGCAGCAACAATCTGGGTTTCTGTAACACCTCAGTCCCAGTGCCTCTGGGCCCCAGGACAGCATGCAATCTACCCAAGGCTAGGTTTGAAAATGGTGTCTTGCTGTAGTTGCTTAGGTCTCAGAAAGGTGTGGGATCCAGTGCAAACTCCATCTCTGGAGCAGTTCCATCCCATGGTCTCCCAGCAGCTCCCTATGTTAGCTTCAGTGGTTGGGAGGGTTGAGGGGTCTCTCATGGCCAGGATTACATGAGTTCATGCTGGGGATCTGGGCCACTGGAAGTCTCTTATTCACCCTTTCCCTGAATTGGGAAGTCACTCCCAGCTCCTAGTTGATCCTGGCTAGGCAGGCTGCTTGTCTCCCTTCTCCTTCCCTGCTTTTGGTGTTTCCTGCCACTTCTCTGTTGAATTCCAGTGTTCTCTCTTGGATAATGTATTCAAAGTGTGACTGTCTACACACTGTTTTTGTTCTAAGTGGAAGAGGCTGGCATGAAATGCTTCTAGTAGCCATCTTTGTCTGTGCTATTTCTAATACTACATTGCTGTACCTAGGTAAATTCCTCTGGGAAAGTTGAGACCCATGTTCACAAAATAAAGAAAGAGGCCACAAGGATAAAAGAAGGGTCACCTAATTCCTCATGGTTATTTCATTTATTCATTTGGTTGCCTTTAAACCTACATTCATGGCTCAAAATCATCATGCAAACTGGGATTCTCATATTACTATTGATTTTAATTTTCCTTTATATTTTCCTTTTTTAAACTTCCTGTTACTTGTCAAATCTCAGTAGAAGTACACCTTCTAACAGAATAATACTGGCCCTGCATTTTGAGATGATGATAGCAAATGTTTACAGAACAGACAAAATCAAATTTAACAGTAGACTTCAAGTAGACCTAGCCTGAGAGCCACTCTCTCCAAACTTCCCATTTGTTCAAACATGGCTAAAGGGTTTTGACACTGACTCCTAGTCACCATCAAATCCCTCCAATGTGAGACCAGACCAGCCACCTAGGACAGGTCTATCCTGGCACGAAGGAATAATATGGGATGACTCACTGGGGATGCTTTCTGATAAAGATCTTGATCAAATGGGGGAAATGTGGAAGTTGTCAGAATTATAAAGGAGTCACTTGTGCTTAAAAAACAAAACAAAACTGACAAATAGAGTCATGGAAGGCCAGGAAAGAAGGGTTCTCCCTGCATAAATCACTGATAACAAGAGCCATCACAAGACTGAAAAAACGAAAACCTTGCACAAAGGCCATGACAATCTTAAACACACACAAAGACTCCTGCAAGGACCTCTGCCCAGCAACTCCCTGTCCAACCCTGGACTGGCACCACCCTTATTATCCTTGTAGCCAAGGATAATTGTCTCAAAATAATTATGTAATCCTCCTTATTTTCCTCTAAGAACCATTGTCTTCCTTTACCTCTTCAAAAACACGCATAGTTTACTATGGCACATGTATTCCCATTGCAATGCCCTATTCCCCAATACATATCATTTTCTTTCTTTTAGAGAGCCTCTCTCTGTTATCTATCTAGGTTGACAGAGATGATGGAGTAGAGCTGCCCCAGTTAAGGTATTCCAACAGACAGAGGCCCCAGTTGACCCACATTCAACTGAGCCCAACCTAAGTCAGCTGACTGACCCCCTACTAACCCCCGAGCTATGATAATAAATGACTGTTGCTTTAAGCCATTGAATTTTAAGACAAGACAGTTTGTTACACAGAAATAGATAAGTGATACAATGCCTTATGAGCTAATGATGGCAACTTGGAAAGCAATGCTCCAGGTGGTTTTTACATGATCTCTTTGTAATGTTTGCTTCTGCCTAGTGAATGTCCCAGGCCATAACATTTTAGGCACTTTGTTTATAGCTGGTTGCAATCCTACAGTCTCATCATACATAGGGCAATAACCAGGAACAGAGCAATCAGAACCTTCCCCACTCACCCCCCGACCCACCACCCCAAATACAAAGAGAGCTCACATTACGGTAGTCTATAAATCTTATTAATGTGTTTATTGAGATTATAAAATATAATAAGTTATATATATACAGAATTAGACAAAAATAATATTGACAATTAAGACTTCACTGTCTAAGGGCCACAGACCTACCCTGGGGTGTTTTCTAAATGTTTTAAAGTATTGCAGAATTATGAATATCTCCACACAAAAATGGCAGGATGGAGTCCCAGCTTTGGTCAGTGAGAATTATTATGATCTCATTGTTCTGAATCCCATAACATAGGCTAAAGCTTGTCAGAGTAAATCCCATGTTTCCAAATAAGTAAATGACAAGGGAATTTGTAACTATATAAGGAATAGCTCCCTAAAAATGGCAGGTGGAGAGCCAATGGAACATGAGCTGACACTGGCTGGCCTTACAGCCCCAGAATTCTAATAGTGTGAAATGAGGCCAAAGCACCAGGAGCAGAGAACAGCCACCCCACTCTTTCGCTGAAAACATTCTGAGGAGGGTGCAAGCTGTTATCCTGGAATGGCACACTCATCACAAGTGACATTTGCAGTCTAATTAAGGGGAGACTCACTCATCATCATCACAAGGCAGGGGGAAGGGGGCACCACAGGATTTCAAAGAGGAATTAAAAGGATAATTAAGCTCTGCCGTGGAGTATTTAGCTTGCAGGGTAAACCAAATAGGTTCGAAAAACAGCAGCAAACAGACACAGTAAATGATGATATTAAATATTCAGGACCTCATTATGATCCTCTCACAGTATGTACTACATTCGTTGGTGGGAAATTGCTTGTTGGTGTTAAAGATATGACTGATTTTCCCCCTAAAGCATTTTTTCAGTCATGCAACTTGTAATTTTTACAACCTCGCTTTATAAGTCAGAGACTTTGTTTTAATGTAGTAATAAACACAGACCTGCCATCAGGGAGTTCAGCAGTGAACTCTAACCCCTGGTGTGATCACTAGCCTGGCTCCTGAGCTCTTGGCAGTTACAGGGATAGTACAATAATATGCCAAGAACAATGCCAGTTTATTAACTTTCTGCCTATAAATGTTATGTCAAACCATTGCAGTTATTGTGAAAATGCCAAGTCTGAGTTTTTCTGTTTTTATTCCCATTTAAATGGACAAACCACACTGTGTTGACTTCCATAGAGCACCTCAAAGGCCTGGCATTTCCTATAGCTCCACTTTCTTTTTGCTCACCTGAACCCTACCTGCCCCAATTATAGAATCACTAACTAACATCTCATTGGCAGACGAGAAACTGAGGCAGAGAGAGGAAAAGACAAGGCCCAAGGTGGCACAACTAGAAGCCAGCTCCCTCGACATCAAGCCCAGGCTCTCATTTGCGCTGCAGAACTCCACTTTCCCTGACTGGCTCAGAAGGCTGAGTCTGAAACTCTCATGCCATGAGGCTAATCCACAAGTCTTAGATGCTCTTGAAATCTAGAATTATGCGTGGCTGAACTCTTAGGAAGTCATCATTTCTCTAATTACAGCTGACTACTCATACATGTTTGAAGTGAAAACACAGCCTGACACATTATAATTTAAATTGCTGTGTCCTTCAGCATTGCTGCCCCTAAAAGGTCAAATCTGCCTAAGACTGAAGTGGAAGGCCATTCACATGTAGTGCAGACCACAGGGTTCCCAGGCCAAAGAGTAATGCAGTAAATGAAATTGGCTACTGCACACATCCAATTGCTTGGACAAACACATGCCTTGCATATTGGTTTTGTATAGAGTGAGCTCTTCCATTATTGACTGGAAGGCCTGTAAGAATATGGATGACCTCAAGGATAGGTAAAAAGTTATCCTAATGAAACCACATAGGGTATTAACAGACTTGTACTAAACCTGAAATAATACCTGGAGCAGGGTGTCTGCATTTTGTTGCCATTTTATCAAAATGTTTGAGCTGCTTCTTCACTAGGATGCCATCCTTCATCATCCCAGTAGGGAGTCATCTCCCGCTTAGAACTTCTATTAACGTTTTCTAAGCGCCCCTTCATTCAGCTTGTTTGACGTCTTCCAGTGAAGTGGTTTGTAAACATACGTTCCTTCTGTCTTCTACTGGAGTGCAAACTCCTTAAAGACAGGGACCAGATTCTTCACTTCTGTCATTCCCACGGGGTTTGATTCATTTGAGTCCTCAACATTGTCTCATTGTTCAGTGAGTTAATGGTGGGCTGGTGGGCTGGCTGTATGAGTGAGTAGATATTTACTCTGCCTGGTGAGGTACAGGCGAGCATCTGAAAGTATCCCGGCTCTAGTCCTTTATCTTTGGTTAAATTGGAAGACAGGCCTTATTTCGTCTGGCTCCTTGAACATCCTAAGGCATACGGTGACATATCACAAAAGCCTTGATTCTTGGCAGTCTTTTGGCACCACTCACAGCTCCAGAGCCCTCGTTGGCTCCTTGGCTTGTCCTGGGAGGACAGCCCACAGGCATGCTTTTCAGGATGCAGCATGTGGCTGGGAGGCAGGTGGCACAACCCCCGCCCACTCCAGTATGTCTGCACACAAGGACTCCACAGCATCCAGCCGCTCAATCTGCACCAGTTTTGTGAGTAGCTCAGGGATGCTGTAGCCTGCCGTGCTGATGCGGTCAAAGAGTTGCATGCCGTCTGTCATGCCCCCAATCTCATCCCTCTTCAGGCCGAAGCTCTCGGCGAGGTGGCGCCACGTTTTCACAACAGCCTTCTCAGAGTTGTACGTGGAGCTGAGCATTCGGCTAGTCTTCTCGAGGCAATCAAATGGCAGCTCCGTGGGGCTAAGACCTACAGACACCAATGGCCACAGTTAGATGTTGCAAGTCACAGTCAATAGAAGGTCAACACTGAAAAATTATTTAAATGAAATAAAAATTATTTGAAAAAAATTTTTTTAAAATTATAAAACATGCAGAAAGCCACCTAAAACAAATGCATAACTTAAGGCAAACGACACCTAGAACGCTGCCAGCCACAAGAGAGGGCTGTGCATGTACCCTGACCCCGGTAATAGCCCCTTCCCCACTAGGAAAATGACTGCTATATTGACAATGATAATAATTCCCTCATGACCATTTTTAGCAGTTCTCAAAGACTTCAAGACAAGTTATCCTTAGTTGGGTAACCCTGTCTCCCATGGGGCTGGGCTGAGGAGGGGTTCAAAGGGACAGTGTCATGTCTCTTTAGGGAACAGTAGTCAACTTTGTGATGGCTGCTCTCAATGATAGCCCCAGATTGGGGTTATCTGAACCAAGTCACTGCCAACTCAGTGGTCTGATGGTTCTTGGGCTTCACTGTACATTAGACTCACCTAGGAGCATTTAAAAACTTGATATTGCTGTTTCTGGAAGATAAGAGTAGATATAATTTTCCCTAATCCTCCCACTAAGTACAGCTAAAAGCCCTGGACATTCTGTGTAAAACAAATACAAGAAGTCTGAAAAGTGGAGAAAAGAAGACAGACCAACTAGGGACCTCGATACCTTAGGATGGTGATGGTGGTAAGTTCCCTGGGTTTTCTTTTGCCTCATAAATTCCAGACATGGGGCAGAAAAGTCCAAAAATCTGGAAATAATAGCAACCACAGACAAAAACAGCCCCAACAAAAGTCTTCTGTCTCTAGTCAGAGCACTAGGAAAAGAGCAGCCTAGCAAGCATAAAACATTTAGACAATAATTGCTCTATTCCAGCCAAACATCACAGAAAAACTGTGTCCCCACTCTATCCAGGGTAGCAAAGGCTGAGTGGGGAGCCTAGAATTCCACCCTCACCAGGCTGTAACACTGTGCCAGGTGGTGTCAGGAAAGGCCATGTAGGGAGCTGGGGCTTTCTCATCAACCAGCTGGTAAAAACTCCTCTGCCCCCGTGGTGACCATGTCAGTAGCCATACTCCCAAACCCCAAGTAGCAGTAAAAAGGAATCCCCCTTGAGTGTTAGTGAAGGTTGAGTGGGGAATTTGGATGTCTACCTTCACCCAACAGTAGCAAGACAGCACCCTCATTCTCCTGCCACAGAGCTATCAAAAGGAGCCAGCTAAAATAGAAGGCTTAAATAAGACCCAGAGTTTCATATCAGGACATAAAACTACACAGGTCTCAAAGTGAATTCACTCATCATACCAAGAACCAAGAAGATGTCAAATGAGTAAAAAAAGAAAATCAATAGATGCTAACACTGAGATGACAGATGTTAGATAATCTGAAAAAGGTTTTAAAGAATTCATAATAAAAGTGCTTCAACAAGCAATTATGAACATGCTTAAATGCAAAAATAGAAATCCTCAGGAAAAATAATAGAAAATGTAAAAAAGAAATGAAAATATTAGAACTACAAAAGTACAATAACCACAATAAAAAGCTCAGTAGATGTGCTCAATGACAGAGTAAGACAGAGGAAAGAATCAGTGAGATGGATAATGGAAACTAGAAGTGGAAATTACTCAATCAGAGAAAATAAACTGAAAAACACAGAGCCTTAGGGAACTGTGGAGTTATAACAGAAGAGCTAACATTTGTGTCAAGAAGTTTCAGAAGGAGAGGAGAAGAGAGTGGGACTAAATAAATACTCAAATAAATGATGGTTTAGAACTCTCCAAATTTGTAAAGAGACGTAAGTCTACAGATTCAAGAAGATAAGCAAATCCCAAACAGGATAAACCCAAATATATTCATGTCAAGATACATCATAAATGAACTTCTGAAAACTAAAGACAAAGTCTTAGAAACAGCCAAAGAAAAACAACGCCTGACCTAGAGAGGGAAAAGAATTAGAATGACAGTAGACTTATAATCAGAAACCTGGAGACCAGAGAGAAGTAGCACAGTATTTCCAAGTACTGAAAGAAAAGAACTTTCAACCCAGAGTTGCATACCAGGTTGCAGTGAGCTGAGTGAAAATATCCTTCAGGAAAGCATGAGAATATCAAGACATTCCAAGCCAAAGAAAAGTTAAGAATTTTTCACCAGCAGACCTATCCTAAAAGAAGCAAAAGGAAATTCTATAAACAGAAAGGAAATAGTAAAAGAATGAAACTTGAGACATCAGAAAAGAACATAGTGAGCAAAAATATGGGCACATACAATAGACTTTCCTTCTCTTTTTAAGTTTTCTGAATTACATTAGGCAGTTGAAGCAATTTATGTGGTTCTAAATATATGTAGAGGAAATATTTACAACTACTGTAAACAGAGAAGGTAAAGGGACATAGAGAAAGGTAAGGTTTTTATACTTCATTCAAACTGGCAAAATAATAACACCAGTAAGGCTGGGCACGGTGGCTCACACCTATAATCCAAGCACTTCGGGAGGCCAAGGTGGGCAGATCACCTGAGGTCAGGAGTTCAAGACTAGCCTGGCCAACATGGTGAAACCCCGTCTCTACTAAAAACACAAAAAACACATTGGCGTGGTAGTGCACACCTGTAATCCCAGCTACTCGGGAGGCTGAGGCAGGAGAATCGCTTGAACCTGGGAGGCGGAGGTTGCAGTGAGCCGAGATCGTGTCACTGCTCTCCAACCTGGGTGGCAGAGTAAAACTCCATGTCAAAAATAATAATAATAATAACACCAGTAGACTGATAAGTTATATGTGTCAATGCAATGTCTAGAGAAACTACTAAAATAACTATGGAAAGAGATAAAATCAAAATGTATCACTCAAAAAACACCAAAATCGAATTCTGAAATATGTTCAAGTGACCCACAGTAAAGCAGGAATAAAAAAACACAGAAATGAAAAACAGAGACAACAAACAGTAAACAAAATATAAAATAGCAGACTTAAGCCCTAACAATGACTACATTTAATGTAAATGGTTTAAATACCAACTAAAGGCTGGGCCTGGTGGCTCATGCCTGTAATCCCAGCACTTTGGGAGGCCAAGGCAGATGGATTAGCTGAGGTCAGGAGTTCTAGACCAGCCTGGTCAACACGGTGAAACCCTGTTTCTACTAAATATACAAAATTAGCTGGTGTGGTGGCACATGCCTGTGATCCCAACTACTTGGGAGGCTGAGGCAGGAGAACCACTTGAACCTGGGAGGCAGAGGTTGCAGTGAGCCAAGATCATGCCATTGCACTCCAGCCTGGGCAACAGGAGTGGAAACTCCAAAAAAAAAGAAAAAAAAAAAAACAAAAAACCCAAACCAAACCAAAACAAAAAAACTAAAAGGTAGAGCTTGGTAGAGTAGACTTAAAAATTTTCCCAGTTATATGCTGCCTAGAAGAAACTCACTTCAATATAATGAGAGAGGCGTTGGAAGTAAAGGATGGAAAAATACATATCATGCAAACTTCAATAACAAGAAGGCAGAGTGGCTATAACATCAGTTAAAGTAGACTTCAGAGGAAAAAATTACCAGAAAGTGACATTTAATAATGATTAAAGGGTCAATCCAAGAAGACATAGCAATCCTAAATGAATATGCACCAAACAACAGAGCTCCAAAATATGTGAAACAAAAACTGATAGACCTGAAAGAAGAGATAAGTCCACAATTATAGTTGAAGACTTTAACATTCCTCCCTCAGTAAATGATAGAACAATTAGAAAAAAAATCAAGAATATAGAACTTACCAACATCATCAACCAACACGATCTAATCAACATTTATAGAACACTCCATTCAACAACAGCAGAATACACATTGTTCATAATTATTGGCCTTAAACCTCAACAAATTAAAAGAATTGAAATTATACAAAGGATATTCCCCTACCACAATAGAATCAGAATATAAATATATAACAGAAAAATCTTCACACACTTGAAAACCAGACAACAGTCTTCTAAATAATCCACAGGTCAAAGAGGAAGTCTCAAAGACAATTTAAAAATGAATGAAAATAAAAATACAAGATGTCAATATTTGTGAGACACAGCTAAAGTAGTACTGAGAGTGAAATTTATAGGACAGATACATACAAAGGAGGAAAACTCAAGTTAACAATCTAAGCTCCCATTTCAAGCACTTAGAAAAAGATTAACAAAATAAACCAAATGTACATAGAAGGAAATAAGTAATTTAGAAATAAGAGCAGTAATCAATGAAATTGAAAACTATAAAGTAAAAGAGATCAATATGAAAAGAGACAGTTATTTGAAAAGATCAATATAACTGACAAGGAAAAAATAGAGAAGACACAAATTACCAATATCAAGAATGAAGCAGGAGATATCACTATACACACCATAGATATCAAACAGATAATAAGATAAAACTTGCAACTTTAACTCTACACATATAAATTTGATAACTTAGATGAAAATAAACAATTCCTCAAAAAACATAAACTATCACAACTTACCCAATATAAAATAGATCATTTGAACAGACTTATAACTATTAAGGAAGCTGAATTTGTAACTGTAAAAATATCTAGCCAAACGCGGTGGCTCACGCCTGTAATCCCAGCACTTTGGGAGGCCGAGGTGGGTATATTGCTTGAGGTCAGGAGTTCAAGACCAGTCTGGCCAAGATGGTGAAACCTCATTTCTACTAAAATACAAAAATTAGGGCTGGGCATGGTGGCTCAAGCCTGTAATCCCAGCACTTTGGGAGGCCAAAGCAGGTGGACCACAAGGTCAGGAGTTCAAGACCAGCCTGGCCAACATGGTGAAACCCCATATCTACTAAAAATACAAAAATTAGCTGGGCATGGTGGCATGCACATGTAATCCCAGCTACCCAGGAGGCTGAGAAAGGAGAATCGCTTAAACCTGGGAGGTGGAGGTTGCCAGCCTGGGACAGAGTGAGACTCCGTCTCAAAAAAAAAAAAAAAAAATTAGCTGGGCCATGGTGGCATGTGCCTATAATCCCAGCTACTTGGGAGGCTGAGGCAAGAGAATCACTTGAACTGGAGAGGCAGAGGTTGCAGTGAGCGAGGATTGTGCCACTGCACTCCAGCCTGGGTGACATAGCGAGACTCCATCTCAAAAACAAAACAAAACAAAACAAAAAAACCTCCCCAAAAGAAATCTCTAGGTCCTCACGATTTCACTGAAGAATTCTACAAAATGTTTAAGAAAGAATAGCAATTCTACACGATCTTTTCTAGACATAGAAAAGGAAGAAACACTTCCTAACTTATTCTATGAGGGTAGTATAAACTGGATACCAAAACCAGACAAAGACAAAAAACAAACCACAAACCAAAGACCAAGATCTCTCATGAATATAAATGCAAAATCCTTAACAAAATATTAGCAAATAGAATGCAACCATAAAAAAGAATTGTACCACATCAGGTATGGCTTATTCCAGGGAGGCAAGGCTGGTTCAATATTTAAAAATTATTGTAATCCACTCAAAAAATTAATGTCAACAATTTATAAAAAGCCTAGAGCTAATATTATACTTAATGGTGAAAAATGGAATGCTTTTAAGATCAGAAATAAGGCAAGGATTTCTGCTTCTGCTTCATCATTTATATTCACTGTAGTGCTGGAAGGTATAGCCAGTGCAATAAAATGAGAAAAGGAAAGAAACGGTACACAGATTGGAAAGGAAGAAATAAAACGGTCCCATTTGCAGATGTGATTATCTATGTAGAAAATCCCAAGGCATCTACAAGAAAACTCCCAGATCTTATAAGTGAATTCAGCAAGGTCACAGGATACAGGATAAACATACAAAAATCAATTGTATTTCTATATAACTAACAATGAATGTATGGCTACTGAATTTAAATTGTCGTTTACAGTGGCTCAAAAAATAAATGATATGGTGTAAATCTAACAAAATATGCACAGAACTTGTATTTCGGAAGCTACACAATGCAGATGAAAAAAAATTAAAGTTGTGCTAAATAAATGAAGAGATATACCATGCCCATGGCTCAGAAGACTCGACATAATAAAGATGTCAAATCTTCCCAGATTGATATACAGTTTTGTTGCAACTCATTAAAATCCCAGCAAGGCATTTTGTACATATAGGGAAGATTATTATAAAACTTATATGGAAAGGCAAAGGAACTAGAATAGCTAAAAGATTTTTGAAAAAAAAATAAAGGAAAATGGGAGCAGTCCATTTGATTTCAGGACTTATATGTTATTACATAATTTATACAAGAATCAAGACCTTGTGGTATTATCAGAGGGACAGACATGTAGATAAATGCAACAGAACAGCAACCCCAGAAAATAGACCTATACAAATATGCCAAACTGATTTTTGACAAAGTTTGAAAAGCAATTCAATGGAGGAAAGATAATTTTTCAAAAAAATGGTGCTGGAGCAATTGGACATCCATAGACAAAAAAATGAACTTTGACCCAAGTTTCATATCTTCTATAAAAATCAACTCAAACTTAAATGCAAAATATAAAACTATGTGAACTTAAATGTAAAACATAAAAACTATGTGGACTTAGAATGTAAAACATTAAGCTATAAAACTTCTAGAAAAAATTGTGGGAGCAAATCTCTGGGATCTAGGACTAGGCAAGAGAGATCTTAGATTTGACACAAAAGCATCATCCATAAAAAGAAAACTTTATAATTAGTTTCATAAATTTGACTCATAAAAATTTAAAACATCATTCTATGAAAGACCCTGTTAAGAGACTGAAAAGATAAGCTAAACTATAGAATGGAGAAAACATTTATAAAACCACATATCCATCATAGGACTAGTGTCTAGAATATATTTTTAAAAACCCTCAAAACTCAACAGCAAAAAAATCATACGATACCATTGAAAAATGGGCAAAAGACATGAAGAAACATTCATTTTACTGAAGAGGACACACAGATGAAAAAAACACAAGAAAACATATTTAAACAATAGGAACATGCAAATTGAGACCACAATAAGATATCATAACACACTTCTCAGAATAGCTAAAACAAAACATAGTAACACCACCAAATGCTGGCAAGCATATGGAGAAACTAGACCGTTCCCACACTGCTAGTAGGAATGTAAAATGGTACAATAACTTTAGAAAACGGTTTGGCAGTTTTTTAAAATAATCAACCATGCAACTATCATACAACCCAACAAATGTACTCCTGGGTCTTTATCCCAGATAAATCACGACTGATGTCCACACAAAAACCTATACACAAATATTTATAGCACCTTTATTCATAATAGCCGTTAAGTGGAAATAACCCTGATGTCCTTCAACAAGTGAATGGTTAAACCAACTCTGGTCCATTTATGCCACAGACTACTACTCAGCAAGAGAGAGGAATGGACTATTGATACATGCAACAACCTGGATGGACCTCCAGTGAATTATGCTGAGTGAAAAAAGCCATTCACCACGGTTACATACCTTGTGATTCCACTTTTATAACACTCTTGAAATGACAAAATTATAGGAATGGAGAACAGATTACTGGTTTCCAGGGGCCTAGGTGAGGGTGGGGTGGGTGGAAATTGGCTGTGGCTATAAAAGGCAACAGGAGGAGTTTTTGTATGGGAGCTGAGTCGATATCACTGTGTCAATATCAGTGTCCTGGTTGTGACTTCTGTGTATAGTTTTGCAAGATGTTATCGTTAGGAGAAACTGGGTAAAGGGCATGTAGGATCTCTCTGTATTATCTCTTACCACTGCATGGTAAGAAGTATCTCAAAATAAAAAGTTTAATTAAAGACAAAACAAAACAAAAAACAAAGAGACACAGATGCCTGGGATTCACCCCTGACTAATTACATCAGGGTGTTTGGGCAGATTGGGTGGGCTGGATGGGCAGAGAGGGTGTTAAGACCTGCAGGTGACTCTAATGTTCATCAGAGCTGGGCATGGAGCACAGGTTCTCAGCCCTGGCTGAGGTTTGAAAACCTCTGTCCCAGGGGTGTGAACTCAACATTTTTTGGAACAGAGAAGAGCTTCCTGGTGGATGGAAGGTGAGTCCTAGACCATCCTCCCCTGGGCAGCTGACAGCCCCAGGCCATGCCAGGTGAGATCAGGCAGGCTGACCTGGGGCATGCGTTTATGGAGAGATGCCACATTTCAGCGGCAGCCAAGAATTCTTGGCCCTGGAACTCACCCACAGTATAGTTATTTCTGGCCAACAAAGCACTGGATCAGAAAGCCTGCCAGGGCACAGGGGGCTGCATTTGGCCTACGGTGGGGTGTGGGGGTGGGAGGAGGGGTAATGGGGGCATTGGTGAGCTGCCCAGCATGCACCAGGCTCCACTCCCGCTGCCCGGCCAGATCAAGGAGTCCACGGAGGGAGGCCAGCGAGTCCAGCAGCAGGAAAACCCCTGACCTCAGCCATGAGGGATTTATCTTTGGGGTTAATAAGAAGGTAATTTAGAAAGTGGATTTTGCAGGAACTGGAAGCTGAGGATTATGATTTCAGATTGCAGCACTGACGGTCCTATCCTGTTGCCTCTTAACCTGCCCACACTCAAGCCCAGGTTATGGGGAGACAGCCTGACTTAGCTCAGAAGGCCGCTGGGAGGGGAGGCTGGAGGCTCCCAGGGCTATCAGACATCGGGGATGCTCGAGGGCAGGGAGAGGGCAGCTAAGTCTAGGATAAATGACTGATCACGTTTCCCAGATGATGATGCCAGTGTGGACACGGTCTCTGGGGACACGGGAGGTCTGAGGCTCCGTGGCTGCTGCTCACCGACCCTGCGTTTCCCTACAGTGGGTGCCTGCACCAGGCTGTCTCCCGCCCCATGAGGGGAAGGCCCATGGAAGCACTGGGAGATGCCTTCCGATATCTGGGAACAAGATTCTGTTTCCCCACACCTGAAATAGTTTCCAGCGGCCATTCTGACCAAAGTGCGGCAACTGGATGGGCGGCTTCCCTCAGTTCCCCTCACAGGAGCCTCAGGGCTCCGGGCCCAGCCCTTCATGTCGGTGGGGTGGGCACCACCTCTCCCAGGCTTTTTTTTCAGCTTACCTTCCACGACTCCACACACGTTGGCATACACATCGAGGATCTTTTTCCTCCGGCTTTGAATCTGTGAAAAAGAGTCGAGAATTTTCATCTCCAGAAAGGGGCAACAGTAGAAAGGAGGCAAATCCTCCATGTCAGCAGGGGCAGGCAGCAGCTACGCCCAACACCAGAGACGCTGCACACAGCCCCCGTGTCAGCAGCCCAGCCCTGACACACAGGGAGGAGGGCCTTCTTCAGGTTTTCCTATTCAAACATTTTTGGGGTCTACCACGGGTGCGTCTTAGGCTCAGCTGGGTGGTCAGACTCGTAAGATACTTGGGGACACCCCTGGCATCAGTCTGTTTGAAAAGATGACCATGGGGACCCCCACTTGCCCTCAGGACATCTGTGCTGCAGCAGAGCCGTGCGGGGCTCCCATCCCGGATCACGTGGCTGGTGCCAGGAGACCAGGCCCACGGTGCACAGCTGCTCAGTGGCCCTGGCTGAAGAGTCCCGGGGCCATGGCCACCTATCTCCCTTGTAACAACCCCACAGGCTTCCAGGGTCTCTGCAAGTGGCAGCCCCATTACAGAGGTCACTGAACTCGGGGCAGGCAGAGCTTGGCATCCTATCAGGACCAGGCTGGAGCCAGGATCCCAACTGGGCATTTTTGCCATCAGTGATGTTGCCTAGCAACACAGCTGTCCTGCGGCTGGGGCCTGCAGCCAGGGGCACAGGCTAGAGGGACGACCACAGGCCAGGTCTACAGGGAGCCCAAGAGGGCTCTGGCCACCTTTGCCCTCACCCCTGCCCTGCTCCTGGCCACAGCACATTACAGGGCGGTAGGTGATAAAACCCTGGGGACAGTTTCTACATGTGAACCTGTTTTTATATTTTTAAAAATGCATAGAAGAAAAACGTTGTGTGTGTGTGTGTCTAGAAAATTGTCTGGTTAGATAAAACCCCGTATATTTACAAGGGTCTTTTTCTGCCCTCTGGCATTCCAAGTGATTTTACCTTTTTTCTCCTTGCTTATTATTTTTCGTTTTTGTGTATGAAGCTATATAATAAAAACAAAGTGGCTGGGCGTGGTAGCTCACACCTGTAATCCTAGTGCTTTGGAAGGCCGAGGCGGGTGGATTGCCTGAACTCAGGAGTTTGAGAGCAGCCTGGGCAACACAGTGAAACCTCGTCTCTACTAAAATATAAAAAAAATTAGCTGGGTGTGGCAGCGTGCACCTGTAGTCCTAGCTACTTGGGAGGCTGAGACAGGAGAATTGCTTGAACCCAGGAGGCGGAGGTTGTAGTGAGCCGAGATCGCACCACTGCACTCCAGGCTGGGTGACAGAGCAAGACTCTCATCTCCAAAAAAAAAAAACAAAACTCAAAAACGAAAGGGTTTTTTTCCCTTTTGACTATCTTGCTGTGAACTTGTCACTGTCCAGGTCTCCTATCTTGGACTTCTGGGAGAAACACCCCGTCTTGCAGGAGAGCTGATTCAATAAGAAAGTTTTAGTCTTGCGGCTGTGAGGGAGCCACATCTCACAGCTCATCATGGCACCTGCAGGAGCCTCACCCCGGCTGACTTGTTGCTGGTGGCAGACTTCTCCCTGGCCAGGTGAACCAGCGACAGCAGGCACAGCTCCGGGGAGCCCTGCTTGTCAGGGGCGGGCTCCTCATCACTGTCGACGCTCCGGCTCAGCAGCTGCTCATTCTCGGATGAGGCATCGTTCTCGCTGCAAAAACAAGAGCGATGGTCATTAGCAGTGCCTGGGGGGGCTGCAGCCCTGACAAGTTCTCCTGTGGTGAACTTGTCCATTGCCCAGCTGTGGACAGTGGGGGGCAATGACTTGTTTTTCAGGTGTTTACTGGGCACCTTGTGGGCACGGGACCAGGGGACATGAGACGAGACATACACCGGTGGCTTCCTGCTTCTTTCCAAACAAACAAGTCCGTGGTGGGTGACCTGCAGGCGTCTAAGGGGCTGGGGCTGCCACTGCGTGTGGGAGGCATCCACGGGCCTCTCCTTCCCTGCTACCTGACACACAATGGATGCTCCGTGAAGGTTCATTGAATATGTCCTAGATCTCTGTATTTAATCCCAGTAAGCACCAAGTTCAACTGGTGTCTTCATGTTAAGCAAACAGATTGATGCAGCTGGCGCTGAATCCATGCTGGCTCTCTGGAGTCATTGAAAAGGGAGCTGAATGGAGCCTTGTGCCTGGAAAGCCCCCTCTTGACTAGGGGGGTGACCTGGCTGACCTGTGTGCATTGCAGGGGGTGGCACAGCAAGCCCCAGCGGGTGAGCTGGGTGGGCGGTCGGACCCACCAAGCCCAGGTTCATGCCGCCCTGTGGCTCACAGCCCACAAAGAACCCAGGGTCTGCCCTAGGCACATGTGGGTTGGAGCTTAAACTCTCTTAAAACCATTCCAAGTATATGAAAAACAATATTCTTTTTTAGAGGCATCCTGCTTGCTTCCTGTGGTTTGGCTGAAGACCTTTTTTTCTTAAAAAAAGGATTATATTTGTTAGTAACTAGGTTACAGCAGTGAAGCCCATATGCAAACACAACCCTAGAGACAGGGTAATACAAAGACAATGAGAACCATCATGAAGCCCCAGTGGGACCCACTTCCTCATCAGGCTTCAGGGCCTCACAAGGAGGTGGTAGGACCCATCCCTGTCCCCACTCGAGAGAAGGTGAGGTGGAGCAGGTGAGGTGGCACCCCAGGTCCTGTCTCTGAGACCTAAGGACAAACAGCAGGGACAAAAGCTCAGTGCCTTGCTGTCTTTTAACGTACAAGTGTCAGGGTTCAATTTGTATTTAATATTCGTGTATGAAAGCAGTATATATTTTTTCCTAATAGGGCCTCCAAATTTTCCCTGTCTTCAACTGCAACTCAAGTCATGGGGCACGTCTCTGCCTTTTTGATTTCTGGGAATAAGAAAAGCCTGAATATCAGAAGGGAGAGGCTGAGACAGAATGAGATAAGGCTGGGCTGGAGGCTGAGGAGCAAATTCAGTCTCTAGGGAGGCCCTATTTAAGAGTTCCATGCAGGGTGACCAGGTCCTGCCCTTGGTCCTGGGAGCAGCAGCTTGGATCTGGCACACAGGATCTCCACACAGATGCTGGATCGATTGGAATGGCTTTGCAAGGTGAATCATAGGAAGATCATGGGGTGGGGGCAGGAGAGGAGGGCTTAACCTCTGCTCTTCCTGTAACCAGTTTGGTGACCTTCTGGTGGCCTCTGTGCCCCATCTGCCAAGGGAGGCACTGTTGCGGGGGTGTCCTTCCAGGCGCAGCCTGCAGTGGCTGTCGGGCAGAGGCCTGGCAGGGGGGTCCGAGCACATTGCCTGGCTGGGAGCTGATGCTGTGGGGTTGATTTTTGGAAGCTACGCAGGACCAAGTCCAAATGACCATCCCACTGGATGAATAAAATATTGACTTCCCTCTACCCTCGATTTTAGAGCAGGGGCTGGTTCCACACCTTCATGTGTGGTAAACGCGGGAAAGGCTTCACCTGCCAAATCTCCTCCTCCAGAGGCCTCTTTACACCATGTGGCTCCTTGGGAGCCTGGACTCGGACCCCAGCCCTGCTGTTCACTAGTGTGTGACCTTGGGCGAGTGACAACTTCCATACCTCAGTGTGGTATCCTATAAACAGGGATGATACAAGCACCTTGCTCCTGGGCTGTGGAGGGAGGATGTGTTCACAGCCCTAGCCCAGCACTTGGTGGGCAGTAGGCACCAAATGCTGTTAGCCGTCATCACCACGGTTGTTACCAGCATTACGGTGGCAGCAGTACTGGCACCGGCACGGGTGGTACTGGTGTGTTGGCCGCAACAGGCATGCATCCTTGGCTTTATGTTCTGCCCTCCCAGTCTGGAGAAGGGGCATGAGGAATTCGGATGTTAAGGAGGAAGGCCCAGGGAATTTGGCAGGATGCAGGGACAGGGGCCTGACCCGAGAGCAGCAGGCAGCTGTTTCCACAGGCTCCTCACACCACCTGACCCCTGCCAGTCAGCAAAGAGGTGGTGGGGACTGTCTGTCGCCGAACGTCCCCATAGTGTCCCAGGCTAGCCTGTCAGTTCACTCGGCTGCACCCTGGTTCCCCTCCCTGCTCAGGATCCACAGGACCCCAGCTTCAGCTTGGTGCTGGGGGCTTCCACATACCTCTTGGTGGGCTTTGCTGGAGTTGCTGTCAGCTTCTCAAATTCATCCTTCTCGGAGAACATCACCACGTTGTCTGCAGGGAAATGGGGAGGTTGGGGAGATAGGAGTTAGAATTGGCTCATGGCTCTGCGCTCAGCCCAACCCTGCTCTTCCTGTTGGGCAGAGCTGCCCGGTGTCTGTGTGGCACCACCCCACGGTAAGCACAGTATGGTTCAGCATGTGAGAGCAGAAGCAGCGAGGAGGCTGCTTCTGGGAACGCCCTCCACCCAGAGATGGGCACCGTGCACATGGTGTGTGGAAGCCCTGGTTCACAGACCTGGGGCCTCTTTCTTCTCCTCGTCCTTGCTCACTTGGGCCTCCACGCTCTTCCCCGGGTGGCTGGTGCAACAGGCTGGGGAGAGAGGAGGGAGTGAGCAGCCAGGCTCTCCGACAGGGGGAGTTGACGGAGAGTCCAGGAAGCAGGGCACCGGCGCATGGGGGCCGTCACCTGGGGCAGAGGGCTTTGTCTTCAGGATGTAGAACATGATGATGAGGACGATGGCGATGGCCATGATGAAGATGGTGGACATTGCAATGATCAGGGCAGTGGCCAGGTGTCCTTGGCCTGAGAGTTCTGTGGGTGGAGAGAAGGCATGAATGACCCAGAGCTCAGGATCCCTGCTGGTCTTCCCTCCAGGACTCCGGCCCCTGGAAGCAATGGCCCTGCCCCTGGGATGCTTTCAGGGAACCCTGAAATCTGAGGTGCTTGCTTAGACTGAGAACCAAATCCTCCGCGCTGGTTTTGGCTGCCAGACCAGGACTGCCCACAGCCCTGCTCGCTGCCCTCAGACTGGCCTCTCCAGACTTCTCTGGGGTCACCTGATTGTTCCTAGGGAGTTTGCTCTTGCTTCTACTGCTTTGGCAACCTGAGGGCAGGGTTTGGTGTGGAGAGGAAGAAAGGCCAGTGAACAAGAGTGGCTGGAAGGCAGCACAATTCAAGTTTGGGCATTTCCAAACAAAAGTCAGGATGCGAAAGTCAGCTCTGGATTCCAGGTTTGGCTCCATCTTGCACCTCATGCAATTTCAACCTAAGTGTCATTGTAAGAGCCCCAGGGCACAGGGGGTGCCTCGGCTGGGCCACCTATTCCACCTGCACTGCCGCCTCCACCAGGCAGTCCCTCAGTCACCCCGGGGGATTTTGCTCAGTTCCCAGGTTAATGTCGACCCTGGATGCATAAAATGCCCTGAAGCTCATTCTCATTCTCTAAAATAACCAAACAGGACTCTGATTGTCTTGAACTAAGATCCAGATTTGCCACCACCCAAATAGACAGGAGACCAGCATCTGAAGCTCCCAAATCATCTCGGGGGAGGTAGTGCCAGAGCTGAGAACCCCGCATGTGGGCGCTGAGCCTCCCCTGTGGGTGCATCTGCAGGAAAACCAGCCTCCCAGCATCATCTGGGGAATACCTGTAATAGCGTTAGCATGCCAGGTCTGGATGACATAAGTGTTTTAATATTCTCCGTGTTTTGAGCTACTCCCCCCGGGGCCTGTGCAAATGAGATTCATATATCCTCGCCCAGCAGTCCTGCCTTTTGCTCTGCGTTAGCGCGTGGGAGGCCCAGAGATGAAGCTGACGAGCTGGGTGCTCTGAGGGCTCTGGAGGGTACCTCACGGCTCGCTGAGACCTGGGCCCGAAACATGCTTCAATAATGGGCTGGCACTAAACCAGTGAGAGAGAAAGGCCAAGCCAGCTGGAGGGCTGACTCTGAGAGACATATTAAACTTTGGGGTCCTCCTCAATCCCTTCTTCCCTGGTTAGGGAGAATGAAATGTACATTCTGCAAGTTAATATTAAAGTGCTATGGTCAGCATGTTTATATGAAAACCAGTGATAGAATTGCTGTTAACTCCCGGCCAAACCAAAGCCCAGGACGCCTGGTCTCTCCTCCTGGCCGGGCTTGCAGCTGCCTGTGCTGTCCACCTGCCGCTATGCCCCCGCCTTCACCACCAGCACCTCCCAGCGGTCCCAGGACACCCATAGAGGGATCAACTCTGATTGCAGATATAATGACTTCCTGCACGGGGGGCAACATGTCATTCAATTACATTAGGGAGGTGAGGCCAGGTGGGGAAGCGCACCATAATCATCACTCATGATCATTTCCTCTCCTCTTCTGAGCTTTCATCCGAGTACCACCTAACTCCAGGTGATCGATACCTGAGCACCCTCCTCACCTTTGTGGGCGTGCTGGAAGGGAGACAGGGTGCTGCTGCCCGAGGTGCCAGGGAAGTTGGCAGAAGCTCCTGAAGTGGCTCCCACACCTGCAAGGAAAATAGAGTCCCTCAAATGATCCAGAGAAGCTCCACCTTCAAAGACGCTGCCACAGAGCTCATGGATCTGGATTCATGATCATGAATGGGCCTGAGGCAGTGATGGCTGAGGGGAGCTAAATATTTGTATTTCTTAGACTGTTTAATGAACCCTAAAGAGTCATCGTTATTGTTCTTTTTTTTTTTTTTTGGTGAGACGGAGTCTTGCTCTGTTGCCCAGGCTACAGTGCAGTGGCGTGATCTCGGCTCACTGCAAGCTCTGCCTCCCTGGTTGACGCCATTCTCCTGTCTCAGCCTCCCAAGTAACTGGGACTACAGGCACCCACCACCACACCTGGCTAATTTTTTTGTATTTTTAGTAGAGACGGGGTTTCACCATGTTAGCCAGGATGGGCTCGATCTCCTGACCTTGTGATCTGCCCGCCTCGGCCTCCCAAAGTGCTGGGATTACAGGCATGAGCCACCGCGCCCGGCTGGTTATTGTTCTTTAAATGAAAACACTCATGTGATAAGTCTGCTAAAACTAAACAGTGTGGGTTGGGGAGTTTTGCAAGCCTCACCAACTCAATTTTCCTATGCGTGGAGACAAAGTATATGAAATCCATAAAAATAAGCAACATAGAGTGTGTACATGAAAGTACTATTAGGGTGATACAATACTTGACTAATTCCTTCAATTACATAGAGTAGGAATGTGTTAATACTTTTTCCAGTCATAAAAGTAATATATGCTCACTATTAAAAATCTGGAAAAGGGGGCCAGGCATGGTGGCTCACGCCTGTAATCCCAGCACTTTGGGATTGTTGTTCAGCATCAGTTTGAAATAATAGCTTCTTGATTTATACATATAAATATTGTTGTGGGAAGGAGGCTGGTGATAAAAGTGTATGCGATAGCTATCTTTACGTAGTATGGGTATGAGTTCTTCTTGTTAGAAGGACAAGAGGTGGCGGATCACGAGGTCAGGAGATCAAGATCATCCTGGCTAACACAGGGAAACCCCGTCTCTACTAAAAATACAAAAAATTAGCCGGGCGTGGTGGCAGGCGCCTGTAGTCCCAGCTACTCGGGAGGCTGAGGCAGGAGAATGGCGTGAACCCAGGAGGCGGAGCTTGCAGTGAGCTGAGATTGCGCCACTGCACTCCAGCCTGGGTGACACAGTGCGATTCCGTCTCAAAAAAAAAAAAAAAAAATCTAGAAAAGGGGCCGGGCGCGGTAGCTCATGCCTATAATCCCAGCACTTTGGGAGGCCAAGGTGGGTGGATCACTTGAGGTCAGGAGTTCAAGACTAGCCTGGCCAACCTGGTGAAACCGCATCTCTACTGAATACAAAAAATTAGCCAGGCATGATGGCGCATGCCTGTAATCCCAGCTACTTAGGAGGCTGAGGTAGGAGAATCGCTTGAACCCGGGAGGTGGAGGTTGCAGTGAGCCGAGA
This sequence comes from Homo sapiens, assembly GCF_000001405.40. Taxonomy (NCBI): domain Eukaryota; kingdom Metazoa; phylum Chordata; class Mammalia; order Primates; family Hominidae; genus Homo; species Homo sapiens. Next base: position 108,914,213 of record NC_000002.12, read on the forward strand.
TCACACCACTGCACTCTAGCCTGGGCAACAAACGTGAAACTTTGTCTCAAAAAAAAATAAAATAAAAATAAAATAAAAATAAAAATCTGGAAAAATAAGAACACAAGAAAGGAGGAAAAGAACTACCCATGGCCTCCTTGGCTAAGTGGACTTTTGCTGTATTTCTGCCTAGGATTTTTCCTCAGACATGTTTTTACATGGTTGTGACCAAAGAGTTTCAGAGCAAGGTGTGCTTTGCCTTCCCTTAAAGCTATGCTTCCCACAACTCCCCTTCTATGGAAAAAGTGTGACTTAGCGGGGATAAAATGGAAGCTGATTTTGCTCTCAGTCAAATCACTAAGACGCAACCATTCAGCCAAAACAAAAACATTCCACCACAGAAGAGACCACGTCCTGTTCCAGACCTCCTAAAAGAAGATCAACCTTCTTTTGGGCCAGACTTCAGTTTTGCAAATAATAAAGCCAACATGCTTCAAATGCATCTCCCACTCTCTCACTTTTGTCTCTACCAGTTCTGGAGAAATCCGTGAAGTGCACTTGGTCTACAGAAAAGCAGCCCCTGAGTCAAGGACAAGGCCAGCTGCCATCCCCAAATCAAGGTACCTCCCCAGCCTGGCCCAGCCCAGTGGAATGGCCCAGCACTGTGCCTGGTCAGCCCATGCAGCAAGGCTTCCGGGAGAAGCAAGCTTCCTAGTTGGACTGTTTTTCTGTTTTGTTTGAGACAAGGTCTCACTCTGTCACCCAGGCTGGAGTGCAGTGGCACGATCTTGGCTCACTGCAACCTCTGCCTCCTGGGCTCAAGTGATCCTCCCACCTCAGCCTCCTGAGATGCTGGGAGTACAGGTGTGTGCCACCACACCTACTTTTTGTATTTTTTATAGAGAAAAATGCACGTTGGCCAGGCTGGTCTTGAACTCCTGACCTCAAGTGATCCACCTGCCTTGGCCTCCCAAAGTGCTGGGATTACAGGTGTGAGCCTGTAATCCATGCCTGGGCTGGCTGTTTTCTTTAGTAGGAAGTTCTCAGGAGAAACGCACACTCTTGTTCTGTGAGTGGGGGCAGCCCAGGAGCTAGTGACCAGCTGAGCTATCCACTCGTGTCTGCTCTAAATGGAGCAGGGCCACAGGAGAATGGGCTGGATGCTTCTCTGTCCTCACACCTTGTAAAGCAAATTGGAAGCTTGGCCAATGAAACATTGGGCTTGGGAGGGACCAGGGCAGCTATGTCATAGGGTATGTAAGAAACATCACCTGTCCACTGAGGGGCAAATGATGTTTCCTTGTGTTTCTGGATGATGAATGGAGGCTTTTTTCCTCGTGGGCCTCAAACTTATGATAAATCTTTGCTTTCTTAATTTAGCCTCTTACTTGGCCTCAGAACCAGTGTTCTTATTAGGGAAAGAGCTGCCCAGGCACGGTGGCTCATGCCTATAATCCCAGCACTTTGGGAGGCCGAGGCGGGAGGATCACCTAAGAGGAGTTTGAGACCACCCTGGCCAACATGGTGAAACCCCAACTCTACTAAAAGTACAAAAATTAGCTGGGCCTGGTGGCAGGTGCCTGTAATCCCAGCTACTGGGGAGGCTGAGGCAAGAGAATCGCTGGAACCCGGGAGGCGGAGGTTGCAGTGAGTCGAGACCACGCCATTGCACTCCATGCTGGGCAACAAGAGCGAAACTCCATCTCAAAAAAAAAATAAAAAATAAATAAAAATAAAAAAAGAGCTGGTGGAGAAGTGCGTGCCCCTAGCTGAAAGCCACAAGCCCATGTCAAACAACAGAGCGTTCCCCCTCACAGACCTTACTGAAGTTGCTCTGGAAGTCTCCAGTGTGATAAGGAGGCTTCAGATTGTGTGCCCATTTCTGTTTGCTGGGGGGTAGCCTCCCACACTTCATCAGGTGAGTGAGCATAGGGGCATCATGGCATAGTTTCCAGCATGACCTAATTTCCTTTATAAGAGCAAACAAGAGATTGAAAAGAAGCTGATCTATCTGTTCAGTAAGGCGCTCAAGGGAGCTTAAGATACACTGTCAGAGCAAAAGAACAGCCGTGGGCTGTCTGTGAATGTTTGTCATCTTCGCCTCTTCTTGTCCCTTCCTGTCGGGGCTCGCAGGCTGCTTCAGGTGACAGGGTTGGGGATGGGGACACAAATATGCCCAGGCCTGTGGTCTAGAGTGGGGCAATAAACGCAGCCTAGAGAGCACACAGACTTGTGGGATGCCTCTGCAGCCCTGCAGGGCTGGTTACACAATGACGTCCCCAAACAATGCCTGCAGATGTGACATCTTCCTGCACCCACAGGCGCCCACCTGCCCTCGGCCAGCTGTGCCTCTATCCTGATCACCGGATGGTTCCCTCCAAACACCTCCAGCTGGCACCAACTAAACGGTCCCCAACTGTGCCAGGCTGCAGGTGTAGGCTGGGTGCTCCCTGGTGTGCAGGGATCCCTGAGTTGGTGAGAGAAATGCTTGCTCTGAGCACGTGTGCGCAGCCGAGGAGGTGGGGGCAAGATGGGTGGGATGGTGGACCCTGACATTTCTCCAGAGCTCAGCCTCTCGTGTCAGGACTGAAGCTGAAAGCCAGCACCCAATCAGCCAGACCCCACAAGCCCCCTCACGTTCCAAAGTTCCCAGGGCCACTAGAGCATCTGCAGGGAGACACTTCTCACAAGACTGGTCAGGAGAATCACAGTCACTAGATCATTGCCCAAGGAGCAGGAGGACATGGGGATTCAGACTTGCCCACAGGCCACCCAGGCCACCAAAGGGCAGCAGCTCACTTCCTGACAATGGGCCTCTTCCCTGCGCTCGGAGCTCGGCAATAAGGAATGGAGCTGCCTTTTCAGCAGAAGGGAGAGGAGCAAAGACCCTCAAACCACAGATAAAGGCAAGGGTGTGCCAGAATTTTCAGAGTCACAGCTCCGTGGCCGACAGGCGAGGGAAGGTGCTTGTGGCAAAAAAGGAAATGGATCTGCCCCAAGCACAGCTGTTTCATAAAAGCAACGCGCGGCTCGTGTGGAAGCCAAAGGAGTGGATCTCATAGAAGTGGAGCAGAACAGAGGTGGGGAAGGAGGGGCTGGTTAACAAATACAAAAGTCCAGCCGGGCAGGAGGAGTTGTTCTGAGCTCTGGCACGCTGCAGGGTGACTACAGCGGACAATAATGCATTGTATATTTCTCACAGCTACAAGAGAGGATTTGCAGTGTTCCCAACACAAAGAAGTGATAAACGTTTGAGGTCATGGATATCATAATTACCCTGATCAGATCATGACACTTTGTATACATGTATGGAAATTTCACTCTGTACCCCATAAACATGTGCAATTATTATGTATCAATTGAAAGAAGAACAAGCATCTAGCTTACTTGGTCTTTTTTGTCCACAATTCAGTGCCTCTGCCCCCGGGCAAGACAGAAGGTATGCTAAGACTAGAGGGGGGTCAAACGGGAGGCGGTGGGCCTTGCCATCCCTGGCTGCAGGGCTGACCTCATGAGGGTGAGGTCAGCCCCCCACACAAGTGTCTCACCTCTGCTTGCTGCCACTGTCACTACACATATAACCCACAAGAACAGGTGAGCAGATCCGGTCCCAAAGTGCCAACCTTGGGCAGCAATGGGTGTGGTTTGAGGGCAGCTAATGAAGGCACCTGCAGAGCCTGAAGCAGAGGTTGGATAATCAGCCCTGGGTGGGTCTGCTGTTTTCCAGGCGAGTCAGAAAAATTGCCATGGAAAACAAGCACCTACTCTGCATTACCCCTAAATGCTTGAAAAAAATCCATCCCAGAATCATACAAGTATGCATTTTTATATTATTAGCGCACCAGCATCATGTTGAATGCACGTGATGTCTAAAAGAGGTTTGGGCAAAACCCAGAATATTAAAAGGAAAAGAGAGCGGTCTGGGCTGATCCTCTTCCCACCATGTCCACTCCTTCCACTGTCACCAGCTGGGGGTCCACAGACAAACCAGGGTGGGGCGCGAGCCCTGGTGGAGATGCAGCCCTGTGCAGCCCCCAGGATAGGCACCGGCACCCCCTGCACCTGCACCCAAGTTCTCCTGGGCCAGGGTCTATGCCTGTCTACTGAGGATTAACTCTGCACTAACCAAATATACAGTGTCTGGAGGTTTCACCCCGGTCCACTGTGTGCTGTGTGTTTCGGTTCATCTGCCTCTTGGGATGCTTGTTAAGTGCAAGGTGCTCCAGGTGGGTTTCTGTTGGGTGGCCAACTGCGGGTCCATCTCCCCTTGTACACTTCCGTGTGCACCTGAGTTTCGAATAAGCAAGGCTGGGGTGTTTGATAAAAGCTGGTATGAACTGCAGTTCCACAAAACAGGCAAAAATGTCCTCACAAGGCCTATTTTAAAGTGAAAATGAGCGGGGACTGGTTCTGCCTACCTCGCGTGGAGTTCGAGGCAGTGGTGACTCCGGGGAGGGTCCTGCCGGGCACTGTGTTCCCCTTCCCCAGGAATGCTCAGTGAGCCAGAAGCACATGGCTGGAGGGAGCTACGCCTCCATTTACAGCCACAATAGCTCATATGGGGGTCTTTGAGGTCTGTTAATCCACACAATTTAGAATCTCACCAGTATGCATTAGAGGCTGGCTGGGATTCTCTGCAGAGGGTAAAAGATTGCATTTTTAGGAATGATCTGTTTGTTGATTCTTAGAGCTGTCAACAAGGGGTCCCAGACTGTGGCACTGGCTGTGTACCCCCAGTGGCAGATTCTGAACTGTGGGCAGACTCGCAGAGACTCTCTAGCTGCTCAAAGTGGGGTCCCCTGGGAACCTGCTAGAAATGCTGAGTCTCGGGCCCACTGGGACCCGCTGTGTCAGAATCCATTGCTCAGCGGGTCCCTGGAGATGTGTGTGCAGTCAGGTCTGAGAGGCTCTGAGCCAGGAGCAACTGAGCGCCGGTGTCTGGGAGGCTGGGAGGCCCGCTTCACACCTGAGGGGCAGTGCTTGCTGTTTAGTGTCACGGAAGAGCATCCGGGCACAAGAGACGGAAACCACGGGAGTACGCAGAGTAGCAGAGATTTCTCCAAAAGGCCAGCCTGCTCTGGATTTGCCTGAGGGGACTTCGTCACTGATGATAAGAAAACAGCTGCCAGGCTATTGCGTTCTTTCATTAACCCTCTGACCGCTTTTTATTTATTTATTTATTTAGAGGCGGAGTTTCGCTCTTGTTGCCCAGGCTGGAGTGCAATGGCGCAATCTCAGTTCACCGCAACCTCCATCTCCCAGGTTCCAGTGATTCTCCTGCCTCAGCCTCCCGAGTAGCTGGGATTACAGGCAGGCACCACCACGCCCAGCTAATTTTGTATTTTTAGTAGAGACGGGTTTTCTCCATGTTGGCCAGGCTGATCTTGAACTCCCAACCTTAGATGATCTGCCTGCTTAGGCCTCCCAGAGTGCTGAGATTTCAGGTGTGAGCCACTGCGCCTGGCCCTGACTGCTTTTCTAGGGAAGGATTTCTGCTGCCCAGTGTCCCAGGCTCTGGGGTGCCTTCTCGGGTTTGAACTGTAGCCGGGCCAGAGCCGGCAGTGTAGGTCAGCGAGGCTCCGTGGGGCACCTGCCCTCTCCCCGCACTACGAAGCTGCCTCATGGGGAGCCCTTCTGCCCAGTGGCTCCCGGCACCCTGAGTGCGTAGCTGACTTCCCAGCCCTGGATCTCTCCGCCTGGAGCTTCAGGCCATCTCTGGGTTAGCTATCTTGGTCTGGATGTCCCACAGTCCCCTCAAATTCCACACACACAGCCTTCATCCTCCCTCTACCTCCCCACCAAGCACCCTCTTGCCTCTGCCTTCTGCAGCTGAGCAAGTGGCACCATGTCCACATGGCCAGTCACAGAGACACCTGAGTCCTCATCTGAATCTCTTTCCCCTTCTGTGTGCTGTCCACACCGCCAGTCAGTGAGGGAAGTGCAGGCCAGCTCACGTGCCGTGGAGCCATGCCGCCTGCTGGGCTGGGATGCTTCATCTCTGGTCAGTGCCTGGCGCCTGGCACTGGAGTAAGCACTCCACATGCATCGCCCACGTCATCACATCTTTCCTCCCAACAATCATGTCCCCATTTTGCAGATGAGGACACTTTCCCAGGGGTGATAACTTGTAATGAAATCCAAGCCTGATGCTGGACCCTATCTTCCTCTCTGTTACGGCAGGGCAACGGGTTGACCTCCCTGCCCCCACTGTCATTAAATCACAGATCCCTTTATGCAGGATGGTGCAGGGAAAACAGAAAACCAGAAAGCTCTGGTCACCCCAAGTACATCTTGCTCTTTAAGTTAACTGAAAAATAACCGAAGGCCTTTTCATCTCTTTTCACCGGGCTACAGGGCTCCACAGTATTGCAGTCACTGAGTACAGGCTCAGAGCTGGGGGCGAGTATGTTCCAATCCAAGGTGACAACCAACCCACAGCCAGGACTGATCTGCAATCTGACGCCTGTCCTCTTTGGTTTCCCTCTCATTACTTGGCAACCCCAGAAACTGGAATGATTTTATTCCATTTTAAAGGAAAATATATGTTGCTTTTTCATTTCTCCTCAGGGTTATTTGAGGGGCTGCACCACATTAATTAACGCCCTGGGGCACTCATGATGTGCTTCTGGGAGGATTTGGTGGGCAAAATTGCGCCTGAGCCACACAGGAGCCTGGGCAGTGGGCACCACTGGGAGCTGCCCGGGGCAGGAGAGGACATGAGGCTCTGGGAGGTGAGATAACTCGTCTAACTCAGGCAGTGAAGTTCCAGAGCAGGCTCATAACCTACCGTAGTGGTTCCCAAACTTGTTAAAAATGTACATTCTCTGGCTCACCCAGACCTGATGAATCGGGGGTGGGCCAAGCAATTCGAGTCATAAGAAACCCCCAGGGTGCTCCCCTGCGAATCACCCCCCTGAAACCCTCTGCTTCACAGAGGTGCAGAGAAGCTGCCGTCTCTTTAAGGATAGGAGGTAATTGCATTGCACAGGTGCCTAGGCATAGGGTTAGAGCCTGGGAGGTGTGGGGCAGAGCTGTGGGCACTCCTAGGCTGGGGAGACCCTGACACTGACCTGGGCTCACTCCTGGCTGGTGTCTCCCCTGCAGCTGCGACCCATTGTCTGCTGTAGCTCTCCTAGGTGGGTGTCATCCTCAGCCAGGGGCCCTTGGCAAGTCTGACGGTGGTTTGCGTAATCCACCATTTGTTGCTGCAGAGTACCAAGGATGTGCACTTTGTTTGGCGAGGGCCCAGGTAAATCAAGAAAACAGAGGGGAGGAAGAGGTGCTCTTGACCACAACTGTGGGTTTGACAAAGACAGGGCCTGCTGGACCTGGGCAGCCAGTTGGCAACTTCGGGCTCCTGATGAAATGTTTGCTGCCCAGAGTGGGGCTGCTGATGGCAGTCCTGTGTGTGTGGGTCTTAGTGACTCCATGGGGCTTTCTAGCTCCGACGTTTTTGCTGACTGCTGGGCAGGTGCTCTGAGTAAAGAGATCTCTGGATTGAGACCAGGGCAGGCCCAGGGGTGGAGGGCATCACTCTGTTTGGCATTCACACCGAGGCCCTAACCCAGAGGGCTCCATCCACCCCAAGGCCTATCTGGCCGCATCTCCCCATTTCCCAGATGGGCAAGCCGAGGTCTGGGGCCTTGCCCAAGGGGCCTCTAATGGGAACACAGCAGGACTGTCTATTTCTCTGCTGACCTCCTTCAGGGCCGGATTCTAAGGCCCTACCCCGAGGCTTTCCTCGGAGCCGGCTTTCAGTAAAGCAGGCAAGGGCTGGGGGTGGGAGTGGGGTGCGCTCATCTTTAAAATCTTGAGGACTCAGGGGACTTTGCTTGCTTTCCACATGTGATAGACCTCATTGCTGGACTTAGAGAGGCGCCCCTGCCGTGACTCAAGTCTGCTCTGGCTGCCAGACATTGAACATTGAAGGCTGTGCCATGTGAGAACTCTTGAACAGAAAAGCCCCTGAGGAGGACTGCTCCTCTCCCAGGTTCCACAGGCAAAGATGCTTTTGTGAATAGGTGGGGAGTGTCTGACATCTTTCCAGACTGGTTCTTCAACCCAGAATGATCTGGCCTTGAATCAGCCTAGATCCCCACAGAGGACATGCGGGCCATGGCAGCTGGCTTCACCATGAGTCAGGCTGGCAGCCGAGCTGCGGCCTCCTCTAATTTGTGAATTAATTAGCATATGGCTGGCCAGGAAAATGGCTTTGAAGACGAGCAAACACATTGGTGCAGGGCTCATGCATTGCTCCTCCTGCAGCACAGCCCACAGCACAGAACCCTCCTCCTGGCTTGACCAAAAGGAGAGAGGAGATGCTGCGCCCCATTCCTGCTCCTCCCCTTCTTTCCAGCGTGATAAGACGCAGGCTCTCCTTCTTCTCCTGGACAACATTATTATGAGACATGGGGGTAGTGGCGCCTTATGGAGAGCAAAGAGAGGCAGGGTCCCAGGGTCAGCTCCTCCTCCACCCTTGAAGGAGCCAGAGGGTGGCAAGTGCTCCTGCAGCCCGGCACCAGACACCCAGCTTCCTCCCAGCTGCTTGTCCTACCTGCCTCCGTCTCTCCCCAGACCACACATCTAAGAGTCTACACAGCACATTCCTCTGAGGCAGAGGTACCTGGCCCTTCGTCATAAACAGATGCCCATGAAAGCCAGAAAGGATAACAGGAAAGAAACACCCCAAGGCAGGATTATAAACTCCTGAGACTGTTTACATGTGCTTTGTGGAATCTGTTTCATTAATTGTGATCACATTTATATTTTCCTTGGCCTCACTGTCACCTAGCACTTTGTAGTACTTTGCAAAATAGTAGTACTTTGCCTCTGTGATCTCCTTTGTTTTCACAATGACCGTGAGAGATGGGAAGGTCAGATGTTAGTACCCCCATATTACCGATGAGAAAACCGAGGCTCATGGAGGTTAAGTGACTTGTCAGGTAGCTGGTGGCCAACCTGCACTAGAACCTCAGCCTCTGACTCAAGGCTCAGATGTGGCAAACATCCCTCCCTTCATAGACCTGCCTGGACAGGCCACAGGAGCACTTTCACTAGTGCTGTTACTGTGATTCACCTTGTCCAGGTGCCAGGACCGGCTCTTTCCTACACCCTCTGTAGTGAAAGGGATCCGTGCTGAACAAATACCGTGCTGGTGGAAGGACAAAGACACTCACATTCCTTGGTGTTGGGGGGTGCCAGGAGGCAGGAGTAGCAGACCATGCCATAGATGTTCCTCGGTCTGTTCTCCAGCATGTAGTAGCTACGGGGGAGAGACAAGACAAAACAGAGACAGGTGAGCTGGACAGCACACAGGCAGGGACTGGTGCAGAGAGCACGGTGGCCAGTCTGCAGGCCCACAATCAAGTCGGGCATGAGGCCACGCCCACTCAGTCACCTGCTCTGTCCACTCAGTTTCCTTGGGGTTTCAGCCTGTCTTGAAATGGAGCATTCTTTTAACAATATTGAGCTGCCAACGTGGGCCTTTCTTTTGATCTCAGCCCCTTTCTGGTTCCTCTCTCTGGTGGCTGTGTTTAGTGTGTGTGCCATCACATCATCCACCAGAAATATCCCTGTGCCCCCACATGTAGGGCCTGCTTAGCCCCCCAGGGGTCACACCAACCAAGGCCAGACCTTCCTGGAGGAGGAACATGCCCTCTGTGAGCACCCTCCCCAGAGCCTGCAGCCTAGTGGGATTATAGGCATCAGTGTGCCTCTGGGACCCTTGGAACTCCCAAGCCATCTTTACTGCTGCTGAATGCCACCAGAGTGCAGCTGCAGGAGACAGACGGTTGTGCTGTCCAGAGAGGTCAATGCAGGTGGCCCTCATGATAGCTGGCAACACAACCAGGTTGTAAGTGCCTCCTTCTCAGAAAGCACTTGACAGAAGACACCCTTGGAAGTGCAAGCCTTTACGCTGGGGCTGCACACACAGTGCAAGGGACAAATCATTCACAGTAGCTCTGTTTGAAGTCCTTCAGCTCCCAGTGATGTTCCATTATGTCTTTCAGCTCCCCGATGTCACAGTGCCAGCCCCGTGGCTATATGACTGCTCAGGTCCTGCTCTCAGGGGTCTGCCCTGTGGCTGTGCTCCCTGCAGCCGTCCCGCTCCCAGGCACAGCCCCTGCTGGCACCACCCTCTCCTTGGGGCTCCCAGCTCGGGCGCCTTCCCTCTGCAGGCTCTAGCTCCTATCCTAGCCTGGGCCCATTTTCCATAAACAAATGCTCAGCGGAGAGCATGGAGCCATTTGTCACACTGTGAGTAGTCGATTAAATAACGTGAGCGGTGCCAACACTTTCCCTATTGCGATTCAAGAACTGGGATGAGAAGGAATATTTCCATGGCTGCTTTCTAATCTCTTTTTTATTAGCCAGGCCCCATGGAGGCCCCTGCTGACGGTAGTGCTAAGCAGCAGCCTGGCACGGGGGTCTGTGGGCTCCTGCCTTCCTGAGCCTGGACTGTTACCAGTAATGTTAGGACCATAATTGCCTGCCCTCCCTCAAAGCCCTTTATCCTCAGATCCCTGTGTATCTTGTAAACATTAATTAACCAATCTCAAAACACCTCCCAGAGAAGCCACGACAGCCAGTTTTACAGCTAAGCCTCTCGCAAATCTACCTTCTGCCCTCCAGAAGCCACTTCTTTCTATGAGGCAGGCCAAGGCAGGTGTCTGCCACGTGGCCTTGTGAGTTCACGGGCATGTGGGCCAGACCAGGTCAACCTGCAGCTTTCTAACGTCCCTGGCCCACGCTGACACTTCTGAGAAACATCTCAGGCTCCTAGGTGGCCACCTGCTCCCCATCTCACCTCCTCTGTGCCTCACTTCCTCGCCCTTGCCTCCTCCACCTTTTCTCACTCTACCTCCACGCATTCTCTCTCCCACCTAGGGGGATTGGTCCCGCTCCTGGGCTGGGAGGCCCTCCAGGGCAAGCCTTGTTCACGTCTATTGGTCCCGCTCCTGGGCTGGGAGGCCCTCCAGGGCAAGCCTTGTTCACGTCTCTATTCCTTGGACCTTGTGCTAGGTACTAAGGAAGGATGATTGTCTGTAAACATTGGCTGAATGAATGAATGACACCAAGTTCTTCTCCGTGGAACTTTGATGCTGAGGTGGACAGAGGCCCCAAAAGGCCTCTCTGCCCATCCTAGTTCACACCCCAGGTGCCGGGCTTGGTCTCTGTCATGGGTAAAGCTCCAAGGCTACACGGCGGATGCACAACACCCGGCTTTATGATGGGTGCCCAATGGGGCCACTACATTTTGAGCATGGGGAGGGTGGTGGCTCTGTCCCACGACTGTGTCTTTGACTTGTCCTGGGCACGAGGCACCTTCTGTCACAGGCTGGCCACCCTCATCTGTGGGGGTCATGTGTATGGGTCAAGCTATGCAACCTATCAAGTCACTCAGTTAAGGAATATTGAAAGGTGATACACTTTTTTTTTTCCCCCTGAAACAGTCTCCTTCTGTTGCCCATGCTGGAGTACAGAGAAGCAATCTTGGCTCACCGCAACTTCCGCCTCCCAGGTGCAAACAATTCTCCTGCCTCAGCCTCCCAAGTAGCTGGGATTACAGGCATGCACCACGACGCCTGGCTAATTTTTATATTTTAATAGAGATGGGGTTTCACCTGTTGGCCAGGCTGGTCTCAAACTTCTGACCTCAAGTGATCCACCTGCCTTGGCATCCCAAAGTATTGGGATTACAGGCGTGAACCACCGAGCCTGACCGGTGATAAACTTTTAAAAAAACATTGGCTCCAAGAGGCTGTTATGAAACTGTCCTTCCTCACCCAGTGAGTGTTCAGTGCCTCCTGACAAGGAGAAGCCACCGTTTTCTAGCACGTATTGCTGCATGCAACATTTCTAAATGTTAGGTTCTCTCTGTAGGACTAGGCTAAACTCCTCACCGCCTGGCTTACACCTGGGTCTCTCATCCTGGGCTGCACAGCAACAAAGAACATGTGGCTGTCTTTTTCTGCCTGGGCTTGTCACCAACCCGAAATCAGGTGTTCATTTAGGGATCTCTGGCCCAGCTACAGAGTGTCCGGTCCCTTCGTCTTTCTGGAAAGGTCTAATTTGCTACTTTTTGATCCATATTTGACTTTCTCCCTAGCCCCCCAACCCCTGTTCTACATAGGTTGATTCAGGTGTATAGCCCAGGACAAGAGTCAGTTTAAATGGGTCCCCTGGGATCTGTTGTTTAAGGACTGACTTTCTCTCAGTCAATAGGTGTACATTTTCCCAGAGAGTTCCTTTCTTCAGGACTCTCATGCCTGTAAGGGACGCCGCAGATTCCCAGATGTTCATTTTCCTCCAACCGTGTTGGTGTGCAGAACCAGTGCAGAGTCGCTGTGTCCTGCCCCCTGCCCCCGCCATCCAGAATCGCGGGGTGGTGGAGCTCCTCCGGGGTGAGGCCTGGAGAGGTGAGGAAGCGTAACCTCTCTCTCCCCCTTTCCTCCTGTTTTGGTTCCCAGGTCCTCCCACACAACCTCTCCCAACAGGAAAGCCTCGGGTGCTGCTCATTGTTCAGCAAGTGTCCTGGCCACACTGTGGGGAGGGCGGAGCATCAGGAGAAGCACCTGCCAAACCGCAGGCAGGGGCCTGGGCCCAGGAGAGACTGGGACAAGGCAATCCGCATCCACAGCCTGACAGCCACTTGGATTCAGGAATGAACGCAGCCTTTCATGGAGCTAGTCACACCGGCCTGCCAAGACTCCTGTGATCCTCCTCTGTGACACAGCGTGACAGCCTCGTAAGAGGAAGTGGGGCCTCCAGGGTCCTACCCTGGGGAAGCCTTGTCTGCAGTAGAGGGGGCAGCATGAGCCCCTGAGAGGGGCTGGGATTCGGAGGTGAGGCGGGGGCCTTCAATTTTGGTGGGCGTTGGGACTGGCAGTGAGGCTTTGAGCAGACACAGCACATCATGGAGCCAACCTGGAAACTGTCCCCATCGTCTGCACCCCTGCGGAGCAGTGCGAAGGCACTCTGAGGCACGTGCTGAGGGTGTCTCTGCACAGGGTCCCTTGCCTGCCCAGCAGGTGTGCTGGGCCTTGCTATGTCCTGGGTGCTGAGAGTGGTGTGGACTGAGCAGGTCACTGTCCCATGGAGTAGGGCGGGAGGCATCAAGATTCCAGCACTGGAAAGAATGTTTAAAAGCCCAGAGAGCAGCCTGCCCACTAATTCTGCAGATGGCTGTCCACATTCGCCTGAATTCTTCTAGAGGCAGGGAGCTCACCACCCTTCCAGTGTCCAACTTCTTTAGTAATTACACACTTTCTGGTAAATGTATCAGAACCAAGCACGTGGTCTTCAGGCCATAGAGTCAGCCCTGGCCTTCGGGTACTGATGGACACCTTCTCAGGTCTGAACCGTAGCCAGGCCAGAGCCAGCAGCATAGGTCGGCGAGGTTCCGTGGTGCACCCACCCTCTCCCTGCAGTAGGAATTTGCCCCATGGGGAACCCTTCTACTACAGCGGCCCCCAGCACCCTGAGTGCATAGTGACTTCCCAGCTCTGGATCTCTGCCTGGAGGTTCAGGCCATCTCTGGGTTAGCTATCTAGGTCTGGATGTCCCATAGTCCCCTCAAATTCCACACACACAACCTCTATCCTCCCTCCACCTCCCCACCAAGCACCCTCTTGCTCCTGTCTTCTGCAGCTGACAAATGGCACTATTTCCACATGGCCAGTCATGGAGACACCTGAGTATCCTCTTCTGAATCTCTTTCCCCTTCTGAGTGCCATCTGCACCCCTGGTCAGTGCTGTCTTTCAGGGGGCTCTCAGATTCTTCCTCTCCTCCACCCCCGGTGCCTCTGCTCCAGCCCTCTCCCTGCCCACAGCATCCCTGGCTCAGCAGTCTGCGTGTTGACCTGCATCAGCTTCGAGCGGAAGGCTCAAGTCTTCAGCGGTGGTTTCCAGAGCCTGGTTCCATCTGCTCCCTGCCCTCCTGCCCAGCTTGTCCACACCCCCAGGTGTACAACTCTTGCTCTGGCCACAGGGACCCAATCAGAGCCCCAGGCACTGCCCAGCTGCTCAGCCCTCTGAACTCTGGCGTCGGCATCTCCACTTGCAGGCCTCTGTCCTAGTCCTACTTCTTAGCCTAACTCATCCAGGCATCACCTCCACAAATCTCCCAAGACCTCTGCTGACACTACCTCCCCAGCCATGAGGTGAGAGGTCCTTCTGCAACTCCTAGGACACTCTGAGTGTGCCTTATGCACTAAGCTGTGGTCACCTCCCCCGTCCCCACTGGCCTCATCACTGCCATCACCTCCCTTGTCCCCACCAGCCTCATCACTGCCATCACCTCTCCCACCTGTACCAGCTGTACCAGGGACACCACCACTGCTTTTATCTTTAGTCTCTATTTGTAGCCCTTGCAAAGCATGATGTGTTGTGGCCACTAGGGGGAGGAAGCAGCAATGATCATGGCTCAGGATTTTCTGGGGATTGAGAGTCTGTATTTTCCTGGTCCCTGGCAGAATTTGCTGAGGTGTCATGCCTGGAAAAAGGAAGATTTTATCTTTCTCTCTTTCAGGCTAATTGCATTTTCAGCTTTTTGAAGACTTCTGATGCATAATCATTTTGGAGGGATTATAGGTATCATATGACTCAAATATTTTTATTAGTAGCTTCCCCAGAGTGTTCCCAGGATACTAAAAATGCTGCTTTTGCATGAAATTTTAGTTTTCTTTTTCCCAAAGTGTTTCACATGCGCTACTGCACTGTAAGTATTCAAGCAATTTGTTTCCTTTTGGTGGTCAGAAGATATTATGATGGTTAATGGCCACTTAGGAGACACAGAGGCAGAGCCTGATGGGCTGCCTGTCCACCGGAGGGGCCAGGACTCTCCGTCCTGGATGCTGCTCCTTGTGGGATGGGACCAAGGCCAGGTGTGCGGCTGCACCGAGGCCTGCAGTATCCATGACCCCTGTTCCCAAGGTCCTTGCCCGTAGCCCCTCGGGGTTTTCTGCAGAAAGCATGCCAGGGTTTGCCAGGAGGGCCTGTGCTTACCCAGGGAGGCAAGGGCCACACTCAGCGTCATTCTCCATGTCCCCTGGTGTCAGCACGGTGGCCCGGAAGAAGCCCTCACAGTCTTTGTGACGCCTGCATATCTGGTAGCCTCCTTTGGAAAACTTCTCCGCCGGGCAGGGGACGCAGCCGTAGTCCTCGTCTTTGGTGCCGTAGCCACAGGACTGTCCAGGGAAAGAGGACAGGGGACACAGGTGAGTGCAGCAGCCAAACCATACGGACTCGGCCCACAGTCCTTGGGCAGTGACGTGCCAGCTGTCTCCAGAAGCTACTCTTGCCGGGCCTTGGTTTCCTGAGTTGTCCTAACTGCAAAACCCCCCAGGAACCAGCTCATGCTCTGGGCTTGCCCCTCTCCTCGCCACTCTCAGGCTCCAGATGCTGCCCCTTTTCTGAGCCTCCCCGAGATGAATTCAGCGAGCTGCTGGAATGCCCAGGCAGTGCAGGTAGCACTTGGCATCTGACTTTCCTCAGCTTGCTACAAGAACCGGACACTGAAACCCCGGAGGTTTCCCTTAGTGCTGAACAGAACACTCAGGCTTAGCTTGCCCAGAGGCGGAGGGAGATGCAGCACTCAGGAAAAAATGTACTAGTACTGGAGAATATTTCAATCCTGCTTCCAATCAGATGATCTGACGCTCATTTAATCAGGGTAGAGTGGGAAAGTGATCCTTTAAAAACATTTCAGAACTCCTGAAAAATCTGTTTATGAATGCTTAGCTGGTGAGTGCCATTCCTGGGCTCACGGCAGCTCTTGCCATCAATCTCAACGTCCAGGGAGCGTGACCGGCTGGTTTGATATACCCTGGCATCCCCTCACACAGCAAGGCAGGCTCAGGGCAACAATGCCACAAGCAGGAGGCCTCCCCTGAGAGCGCACCAGGCTCCAGGAGGGCTGGGTCCTTACCAGGTAGGGCTCCTCTCCCGGCCCACACGGGGGGCACTCCTGGCACAGCCCCGTAGTCTGGTTGTAGTACTCGTTCTCACCGCAGTTTGAGTATTCCGCTCGGGCTGAGCACATCAGAGACACCTGCCAACAAAGGGGGGTGTTGTGGCCTCCGTACCTCCTTAGAAACACATGTGACTCCTGCAAGACCCCAAGGTTGACATAGGAAGGGGGTGCCCTGCGGTGGGGGCTCTGCTGGGGGCTCGGTCTGGGAAGGTGCCCGCTTGTGAGTGCTCACTGCTGCTAAGTCTCCAGTGGCTCCTGGTTGATCACCTGGGCACGGCCAGCCCCCACTAGAACCACCCTGCCTCACCCCTGCTGGCCAAGCCCCATCCCACCATCAAGGCCTGCTCTGAGTTCTCCTCATCAACGCACTTGCCAAGGTCATGGAGGAGGCGCCCCTGTCCCCCACTGAGCCTCTAATACAGTGGCTTCTCAGAACACCGGCGTGTCCAGGAGGATGGGGGTAGGGGTCTGAGTCTTCCAAGTCTTTCTTAGCTGCGCGGCCCCCAAGCATGAGCTCATCACATAGACACAGGGCTGTGTGTATCACACCACAAACAAGCAATCAAGAACGTTTATATCCATGAGACCCTATGAAGGGAGCTACCAACGAAATCAATGTAACTTCAGCCTGGGGCAGAGTTCTGTGCTTTGCAGGCCTGGTTTCATTTCACCCTCAGAAGAACCCTGTGGAGGAGGGACTATGATCAGCATTCCCATTTTACAGCTGAAGAGGCCAAGAAACAGTCCAACCATCATGAGGATGAGGGTGCTGTGGGGGTAAGGGGCTCAGACCACTTACCACCAGGACGGGGAGCCAGGGCGTCTGCGTGCA
Source organism: Homo sapiens (assembly GCF_000001405.40). NCBI lineage: Eukaryota > Metazoa > Chordata > Mammalia > Primates > Hominidae > Homo > Homo sapiens. The sequence continues at coordinate 108,930,997 of NC_000002.12, forward strand.
GTCCCCCACATGGGCCATCCTCTCCCAAGGGCTCACCTGAAAGACATGCGTCATTAGCTGGGCACTGGCGGTAGCACCCCAGCCGGGGGTCTGGCTACCTTTATTTAACCCCACTGGATATAAGGTGCCTTCCAGCAAACAGAGGGGAAACTATACATCCTAAAAGAAAAGCAGACATGAAGCTGAAGCTGTACCCATGCCACTTGGGCTGACTCTGGGGCCTTCCCAGCCTCGCAGCCATGCCTGGGAGGGAGCCTGAGAGGAGGCTAGGAGCACACGGAGGGCCCAAGGTTAAACCCGAGGTTAGTGATTGTGTTTCTCGTGCTCAGAGGGTTTGGAGAAACCTAGCCTTACATGAGCTTTAAGTCTGGAGTCCTCCAGGCCAGTCCTGGCCTCTGGGCTCCAGGACTTAGGAGGACCCCTGGAGAGACTGCCAGGAATTAGATTCTGGTCTTTGCCCCTCTGGATGCTCTCCCAGCCCCAGCTTAGTGTTCTTCCCTCTCTCTGTTAAGAACAGGTTGTCCATCAAAGTGGACAAGTCCAATAACCTAACTTTACAGTTGAGATAGTGGGAGCCCAGAGAGGTTAAGTGATTTGCCCCAGGTCACACAGCTACTTAAGGGATTGAAGGGATTGAGCATGGCTGCAGCTGTTCAGGTGTTCAGATACTTTTCACCAACTATTAATATTACACGAATGCATTCCCTTGAAGGAGGAGGTGGGTTTTTTTTTCTTTTTTTTTGCTTGTTTTTTCACTTTCTGAATGGAGACCTGTGTTTCTGACTCAAAGCAATTTTACTTGGTAGTCTGGGTATTAATTAGCCTGGCTCTACAAAGAGAGATAATGTGCTCTAGTGATCGCCTAAATTCCCCAGTGGCTGCACTCTGGTTCACTGTCCTCTTGCCACAACAAAACAGCAAGTACTCTTCTAGATGCTGGGTTGTGTGAGGAACCTTCCAGAATCAACCACTGACACAGCCCAGAAGACCAGCTGGGCCATGGAACCCAAACTCCCTAAGACCTTTCACCCTCAGAATTCTCTCGTCCTTAGCAAGCTACCATTGGTCATGAAAACCAACTAATTCCCAATACCACACACAAAAACACCGTGACGAACATATGCCATGATGCACAGGAACCTTCCCTCCCTTCCTCCTTTTCTTTCTTTCTTTTGGAAAAGTCCTGCAACAGCCTAAAGGCATTAGGTAGAAATTAGCGAAAGATTATTGGAAATAAATTAAGTTGGAGAGGCTGAGCGCGGTGGCTCACACCTGTAATCCCAGCACTTTGGGAGGCTGAGACGGGCGGATCACGAGGTCAGGAGATCCAGACCATCCTGGCTAACAAGGTGAAACCTCGTCTCTACTAAAAATACAAAAAAATTACCCGGGCATGGTGGTGGGCACCTGTAGTCCCAGCTACTCGGGAGGCTGAGGCAGGAGAATGGCATGAACCCGGGAGGCGGAGCTTGCAGTGAGCCGAGATTGTGCCACTGCACTCCAGCCTGGGCGACAGAGTGAGACTCTGTCTCAAAAAAAAAAAAAAAAAAAAAAAAGAAAGAAATTAAGAATTAAGTTGGAGAAGGAGGTGAGAGCTGTGTAAGTCAGCAGCCAGGGAACGGTGGAGAAGAGCAAAAGACCAAGGGCCCTGTCAGTGGGGACTGACATGGACAATCTTCTTTTCCAAATCCCCCAGGACTTAAGGGCTTCTTCACTGAGATTTCTGGAAAGAGAATGGTCCTTTAGGAGATGCACCCAATGCCAAGTACATATGTGTTTTTAACACATAAACCGTGGGGAAAACATTCAAACCATAGCAGCATGGAAATGTCTCTTCCCATCCGAGGCAGACAAGGCTGCTGCTTAACTTGTGGAACTAATCAGTTAACTGGCTGCTAGGGAGCTTCCAGTCTGCAGGCCTTCCAGAGATCCCTGGGGAGCACGCCTGTCCTGCCTCCCGAGTACAACAGCACATGCCCTCGCTCCCGTAGGAAGAGGGTGGGCAGAATCCTGGCAGGGCCTTAAGATGGTACGCTTGTTTATCATTGCAACAAATAAACACCCACAAAAAATCCAAAGGAACTTCAGTTTCCTGGAACACCAAGCAGGGCTGTAACACCTGTTGTTGGGTGAGAAAGAAATGATAGAGAAGAATGCCTCCGGGTGTATTTGTAAAGTTTCTAAATGCATGAAAGCAGGTCTGGAGCGATGCCTGCTGAACTTCCAGCAAAGATTTTTTTGGCAGTAACTGAAATCGGGTGGGGGTGACCAAGGACTGAGGGAGCATTCTGGGGAACATTCACTTTTTATTTTATGCAGGTCTGTATTGTCTGAGTGGTCTAGAAGAGAGAGTATGAATTCTGTGATAAAGGAAAAAGCGTGTGTCCCTGGCTGCTCTAAGAATAGGTGGGAGAAGGGGGTCCCAGGGGAGATCCCAGAGGACAGACCTGACTGGGGTCACTGGCAAAGCACAGCAGTGGTCCTGGGTCTTTCCTTGGGTCTCGGCTGTTGGCCCAGTCACCTTGGAGGTGTCTCACTTGGTGGAGACCTCCAGGTGGCTTTGGGGAAGGAAGAGTTCTGTTTCCAGACCCTCTTGATGAGGTTCAAAAACTGCCTTTTCCCACACACTGCCTGCACTTTAGTGTTGCATTTACCGTTTGGAAAACACTAAATGGACTGAGGCAAGATTGAGGAGCCAGCCACCCCAGTGGTGAACTCGCTGGGTGTTTTCCTTCTAGCAACAGAGCAAGCTGGGGCAGGCAGCGACGGGAGATCGGGGTGGCGGGGAGGCAAGGGCGACCTGCAGCCCGTCAGGTGGGGGAGGGTTGGGTGCAAGCAAAGGCCTGAAGGGGAACTGATAGGAGCCTGTTCCCCCTCCCAGCAGCCCTGGACTTGGCTTCAGGATGGTGGGGTTAGCAGAGATAGGTTTCCACTGAGTCTGTGGATAGGGCCAGAGGCTCTCAGCAGGGCTGGAGGCCTTCCAAGAACCATATGAATGGTTTCTAATTTAATTGACTTCTAATTATAGCTGAGCCTCGGAGGGCTTCCCTGAATAACTGAGAAGGGCTGGGCCTGCCGCACCTTAGTGTCAACCAGGAGCACTTATCGAAAGGCGCAATTAAAACGTTCCCAGGTAAACCCAAGCAGAGAGAAAAGAAAAATAGATACACAAAGCAGAACTAAAAGTCTGTGGCCTTAGATGTGTTTCATTATTGTTACCAATTCTCTGAGAGGGTGAGTGGGGTCTGGGGGAGGGGAGCACAGGGCAGCCTGTGGTTTGGATCCCACTTCTCAGACTGCAGATACAGGCAGGAGGTGGGCCACTGGGCGCTGGGGGGCTGACGGCTCCCAGTCGTGATCTCCTGTTTGTTTTACTTTGGGGATCCCCAATCTCCATCAGTGCCTGGCGATGCTGCTGGGGTATGAGACCAAGGACCTGACTGACGTGGGGCTCCAGCCTCGTGCACACTGAGCTCCCATATTTGTGACAGTGATGGGGAGAGGGAGCACCTGTCTTAGTCTGCTTTGTGCTGCTAGAACAGAATACCACGGACTGGCTAATGAACTGAAGTTTATTTGGGGTTCTGGTTCTGGGAAGTCCAAGAGCGACTGGCTGCATCCGGTGAGAGCCTTCTTTCCATGTCATAATATGGCAGAGGGCATCACATGGTGATAAGAGAGTGCAAGCAGGGCCAATTCACTGTTATAACCAGCCCACTCTCGAGATAACGAACCCACTCCCGCGATGATGACATTAAGTCATTCATGAGGGCAGAGCCTCACGACCTCATCACCTCCCCACCTTTCAAACCTGTTCACTGGGGATTAAGGGATTAAGTTTTTAACACATAAACTGTGGGGAAAACATTCAAACCAAAGCAGCGTGGAAATGTCTCTTCCCACCTGAGGCAGACAAGGCTGCTGCTTAACTTGTGGAACTAACCAGTTAATTGGCTAGTGATCCAGTTCAGGGGTTGTGAAGCCAGTCGCCACCCAGCAGGTTCTGTGAACACACTCTTTTGGAGTCAAGCGTCACCTGTTGGTTACCTAGTGCCTGTAGGCATTTCATGATATAAGAGACCGCATGACCAGGTAAGTCTAGAATATCTCAAATCTGGCGCTTTACGGAAAAGGTCTGCCACTCCTGCCTGAATTAACAGCTTCTCTTCCCCGACCTGCTCTCTCTTCCTCTGCCTTTGGCCCTTCCTTCCTCAATTCCCATCTAGAATGATGACACAGCTGTAATCACATCAGCTTATGACTACTGAGCTCAGACCCCAGCCAGGCACTACCATGGCTTAATCCTCACCATTGCCACTTTGTTGCTCAAAGTGGGGCCCCTGGACCAGCAGCATTAGCATCAGCTGGGAGCTCATTAGAAATGCAGAATCTCAGCCCCGCCCAGACCTGCTGTCTGGGATCTGCTTTTCAACCAGATCTGCAGGTGGTCTGTGTGCACATTAAAGTTTGAGAAGCACTGGTCTAGACGATCTCCTAGCAACATCTTGCTGAGGTGGGGAGAGAATGTTTAATGTTTAATTAATGTTTAATTCCTTCTGGGAGCCCAGGAAGAAAGCCTTGGCTGGGTCTCTCCCTCTTTAAGTTCTGGCCTTCTTCCAAAGAACAAATGCCGTCATTAGCACCCCTTTTCACACACACACACACGCAGACTCTGCACTAGACACCGATTCCCTTAATCTTGTTAGAGTTCATTCATTTATTCAACAAAGAGCTGTGGAGCTGCTACTATGTGGCAATCTTATAGGCCCTAAGGACGGTGCCAGACAGATAGGGTCCCTGCTCTATTGGGCCTTTATCTGTCCAGGGAGCCAGACATGGAAGACATCATTATATACAAGTTTGGCCCCCTTTCCTAGCCGTCCTCCCCTAGACTCAGTCTCCTCTCTGAGCTGCTCGCCTCTTGGAATGGCCTTCACCCTTGGTGGTGTGGCTTTGACTGTCTATACTTGTCATCACGGCTGCCTCCAGAGCACAGACAGTGCCCACTGCAGGAAGAAGGTGGCCGTCCTCCCTACTGGTCACCACCTTTAGGAGAAGCAGAGTCACTGCCTCGGCTGGCAGATGGTCCAGCCTCCGGGACTTCCCATTCTTCCACCCAGTTGGGCCCCCCTTGACTGTGACGGTGCTACCTCTTCCAAAAGCTTCTCCCTGAAAGGGCCACACCTCATATCTGTGGGAAGCAGCTGAGGCCAGGTGGCTGTGGGAAGCCTTGGCAGGCCTGATGGTTCGGAGTTACCTTTTAAAGTCTGTAGGACGGATGTCCCTTTTGTCTGTGGCCCCTCCAGCGTGCTTACCTGGCCTGGCCCAGCAGGGCTTGCCACGCCTGGGTTGACCGCATCACGGACAGGGAGGGGAGAGGCTGTGGCTGGCCCACTCAGCTCCATGGGCACAAGCTCTTCCATGGCGGGAGGCAAGGTGCTGGCAACTGCCTGTGTCTGGGAGGCAGCCACAGAGCTGGCTGCGGGCTCCCTGCCCACCCAGCGCTACTCTCCTTCCCCGGCCTCCCACGCTCTCCTTCCTCCAGGAAGACCCAAGGGGAGGCTGCTGGTGGCCTCCTCCCCACACCCAGCAGGATTCAGTACTCCCCCGCCTCCCTGAAGCCCCCACTTCCCATCAACCCAGACAGACCTCCCTTCCCTGTAGGGAGCCCGCAAGGTCACCATCAGAGCAGCTGAAAACACTTCCATTTGATGTGATTTACAGCTCTGAATCTTCCCTGTCTCAGCTGAGTAGTGCTAATTAATATTAGATTGGGAGGAGAGGGATGCATTCTCTTTCCACTTCTGCTTTAGTCGGATCTGTTTCACCGGAGCAGGAGGAAAGCAGAGAAGGTAGCCTGGGAGTCCCTCCTGCCCCATGCAGCACTTAGTGTCCTGCTGGCCTTGCCAGCCTGAAGTCCTCAGTGATTTCTGACCCATTTCCATTTTGCACTGGGTCCCACAAATTAAATAGCCGGTCCTGTTCCCAGCCTCTCTGGCCAGGCAGGGGAGGCCCCCCACAGTGCTGTGCCGGGGAACAGACACGCAGAGCACAGGCCAAACGTCTTGGCAAGACCACAGGCACCGTCCTTCCCAAGGCTGGAGTGGAGGGTGACGCTGAAACAGAAGTGACTGGCAACAGAGCACACTGGCGGGCCCCAGAGTTTCAAACAGCATCACATGGGGGTTTATAAGCAGCCACTCTTCTTTATCACTGCACTGAAAATCTTTCATTTGCAAACTCCCTGGTGAAGATTTCAGGGCTATGAGGGGCAAACTGACCTTTGGCAGCCCCTCAAAGGGGTGGGCTGTGTCCCTGCATTCTCTCAGGCCCTAAGTGTCTCAAGGGTGTTGCCCACCCCAAACATATGGGTGTGAGTGTGTGCATACACGTGAGTGTATGTGTATCTGTGAGCACCTATGTGTGAGTGTATGTATTGTATATGTGAGGATGTGTGTATGCATGTGTATATGTGAGTGTGTGCATAAGAGTATGTGTATGTGTATGAATGTATGCATGTGTAAGTGTAGGTGAGTGTATGTGTGTGAGTGTGTGAATGTTATGTGTGTGTGTATGCTTATGTGTAAGTGTATTTGTATATGAGTGTGTGTATATGTGTGTGAGTGTCTGTATGTTTATGTTTGTGTGTGTATATGTGTATGTTTATATGTGTGAGTATAAGTGTATGTGATGTGTATGTGTGTGAGTGTATGTGTGTGTATGTGTGTGTGTATCTGTGTATGAGTGTATGCATATGAATGTATGTGTGTGAATGTATGTGTGTGTATGTGGCAAACCCAGACAGGCCCCATGCACAGTGGACCTGCGGGGAGAGGCACAGATGAGGGCAAACCAAATGGCCCTGAGCCCTCGGGTGGGGCCTTCCCAAAAGACGTGGACAGAGGTAGGTTTGAGTTGAAAGTTTAAAATCCAAGTTCCCAAGTTTCCTTTGTTAATTTGAATTGAGATAATACTCAGAAAACAGATATTCTTGCACACGTAGAATAATAAATATAATGCATGAAACACTTATTTACTTCTAGATTTTCTTTTGAAGGATCACTACTAATACAAATAAGCATGTCCAATTCTTCAGAACTCTCTGTGCATCACTGAATCTTCAGCAGAACCCACAGAGGCAGGAAGAGCATGGAAAATCAGTATTTTGGACACATCTGTTCACATCTCATCTTTCTATTTGACTCAACTTTTTCCGCTAGTCTTTATTTTCCTACATATAAACCAGTGACGATGATAATTTCTGAAGTGCAGTAAACAGTCGTGGCCTAAAAACATTTCTGAACACCAACATGGTTATTGCTGCTTGTCAGACTAGGTTTGGGCTTCTCAGAATGCTAATTATGTTATGAAGCAGGTGTGTGTGCACTTGTACACAGAACTGGGGCTGGCGTCCCAAAGAGGAAGGAAGCTCTCTCTGCATTTCCCGCAGTTTGTGGTGCTCGGGTGCTCTGCACTCTTGGAGGATTGCTCACGAAAATAACGTGGCTTGCAAATATCCATGCAGAAGTTCAGAGGGAGAGCACTTATCCTCATCCCAATGTCCTGCTGTAAAGATATGTGTTCACAATTTCATTTCTGTTTCATTGAATGCCTCAGAGCTGAAAGGATCTTGTCGAACTGACAAGCTTGGAGAAGTTTTGAAAAAAAAAATCCCTACTTTTTTGCCTTATCAAAATTGAGGGAAAGCATTTTCAGGGTGAAATCAGAAAAGTTATCATAACTAACACATTGCTTTAAATTACAAAATGCAAGTTTTTCTAGGACTTCTTCCCCCCCCGCCCCACCCCCCAGAGTCTTGCTCTGTAGCCCAGGCTGGCAGTGGCATGATCTTGGCTCACTGCAACCTCCACCTCCTGGGTTCAAGCAATTCTCCTGCCTCAGCCTCTCGAGTAGCTGCGACTACAGGCACCCGCCACCACATCCAACTAATTTTTGTATTTTTATTAGAGACGGGGTTTCACCATGTTGGTCAGGCTGGTCTCGAACTCCTGACCTCATGATCTGCCCACCTCAGCCTCCCAAAGTGCTGGGATTACAGGCATGAGCCACCGTGCCTGGCCACTCTAGGACTCTTATATAAGCATAGTAACATGAAGTTTTGTTGAAACATGATAGGAGCCACTCTTCAGCACTTTAATACACATGCCACTCATCCTTCCATTTGTTGTTGTTGTTTTTGAGATGGAGTCTTGCTCTGTCACCCAGGCTACAGTGTAGTGGCACGATCTCAGCTCACTGCAACCTCCGCAACCTCCGCCTCCCAGGTTCCAGTGATTCTCCTGCCTCAGCCTCCGTAGTAGCTGGGACTACAGGCGTGCGCCACCACACTTGGCTAATTTTTGTATTTGTAGTAGAGATGGGGTTTCACCATGTTGGCAAGGCTGGTCTTGAACTCCTGACTTCAAGTGTCTAGTGCAGAGTATGCGTATGTGAAAATGGGTGCTAATGACAGATTACCAGGTGGGGAGGTCAGGAGGACTGTCCCAAGTCCCAAGAAGAGATGATGGCTAAGAGTTAGCCAGGAATCACAATGGAAAAGTAGAGAGAGAGGGAACAGTGTGGGTGAGGGCTGGGAGGAGGAGAACATGTCCCGTTAGGAAGTGCAGTCACAGTGTATCCCCTGTAAGGCCATTGCTATACCCTCTTCTCTCAGCAATAGATGAATGAGTTATTTGCTTAACTGCATTCTGATAAAACCAAGAACTCTTTCTTGTTTTCTGCCAATGGGCTACTGTGCTGGGTCCTCCCTCAGCTCTTGTCCTCATTTCTTTGCTCTCATCAGCTCAGAGATATTTGGAAAGCAATACTTTCAGCCTGCCCTGCCTCCCCCAGACCCAGCCATTCCTGTTGGATCTGGACTCCACTAGAGAACAGAAAGTTGGCACCTTAAAGTATTTGTGGTGTGATGGAGACGAGGCCTCCTGCATGAACGTGTCTCAGTGACGCTGATTCTGCTTCACAACAAAAGCAAAACAAGAACGTAATCCTTAATCATTGAAAGACACGCTACTAGAATCCCAAGCTATGTCAGCCAGACAGAAGACATCAATTTGACTGAGACGATAGCCTCTAAGTTAAGGAAGTTGAAGAATATGAACCATTTATTGGCACCAGGATCAATAGAGTCTAAAATAGCACAGAGCTGCCGCAGGCAATGACGTGAAGAGGCGGTAAAGATGACTGCCATTATTACGTGTCCCGAGGGCCTGCAGAGGGCTTGCTGCTCCTCTCAGGCTGGCTATTGTAGGTAATGCAGAAGGTGCCCACATGGGTGGTGGAGGCTGAGCCTCCCAGGATGGCTCGGATGGTCTGAAGGGGAAGGTGCAGGGAGGGAGGACGTATGGGGGCTGGCAAAGCACGTGTGGCTCCTCCATGGCCGAGCCGGCCCACGTGCCTCCTACTCTGCAGCCCTTGCCTCCCACTCCCCACCTCAGCTGCCCCTTTGAAGCCACTATGAGCCCAGGGAGTAGTGGGAATCTCAGTGCGTGGCCCATGTACTCTGGGCTCCCCTGGGCCATGCCTGAGCCCCAGATCGGGCGGAGGTGAGAGCAGCCAGGCTCTCTGCTCCTCCTCTGTATCAAGCATCCAGTGCCGTCGTCACACAATGTGAATGTGGAGTCACGTGTAGAATAACAAAGAAGCAGCTTCTGAGCAAAGACCAAGCGCAATTACAACACGTCACACCACGCGATGACGTGGGTCTGAACGGGGCAGGCTTCCAGGGGCAACAGTGCAAAATGATGAGAGTGGTGTTCTCAGACTCTGCATGTTCCCCAAGAACCTACAAGTTGATGTCCTGATTAGTGGCACAGATTTTTGTATTCTTATTGCTCAGATGATAGTTTTAAAACTAATCACGTTTATTGAGTTGTAATTAACTTGCAATAAGCTTCACATTTTCCAGTTACAGGTGGGAGACTTTGATAACGTATATACACCCCCTGTGGCTTGATACAGAGCCCATCTCTTCCAGAGCATCTCTTGCGCCCTTGATCATCAATCTGCCCCACGCTGGGCTGTCACCGGTCATCACTATAAATTTAAACCGATTTTGCCTGTTCTAGATCTTCATATACATGGAATCGGGCAGCTGGTTTCTTTCACTGAATATAATACCTGTGATGCGTCTGCGTTGTGGGAATTAGGACTTTAGTCCTTTTTATTGCCGAATCGTATTCCACTGCATTCGTAAACCACAATGTTTCTCCATTTGCCCATTCCATTTGTTTTTGCTAAGACTACATTTGCAAAATGGTTTTTGGTTGTTTTCTGGGCCTGGGCAGTCCTGACCTTGCTTTTGATGTCGGTGACTCAAACGTGAGGCAGGTTCCCAAAGGGGCTGCCCCTGGCTTTTGTCTGAATCTGCTCTGGCCAGAGGAGAGTCCTGGTAGCTCACAGCCTTCCTCCCAGTCACCAGGGCAAGGCGGAGGCACTGAGCTTCCAAACAGCTTCCCCTGAGCTGTTCCCTTTGAGGGGCTTCCTGGCGACCCTTCCTGACCAGCTGGCAGCTGCCATGGGTAACTTACACTCAGCTCTGAGGGTCCTCTGCACCAGCTGGGGGCATGGCCAACAGGGAAGAGTAGAAGGAGAAGAAAAACGATCTCCTTGGCCCAGAGGCACCCAGGGACTAGTTCTCAACAAGTCACTTCCAAAAGATGGTGTCTTACAACAACCTGACTGCCATTATAAATAATCACCCTCAACCCAAGCCTTCTCTCCTAGGATGTGTATTATGCTCGCACACAGAATTGGCTCAGAGGAGAAGCAAACAGCCCATGTGTGAGGCCCTCACTACGCAAGGGCACTTCTGCCCTGGTCCCAGCAGCCTCTTCCCAGCCTCAGTGAACGTGTATGCCCAAGGAGGCCAGTGCCCGACAGCAGGTGGGAGCTTATCAGGTCACAGCTGACAAAGCTCTGCTGCACAGAGAGGCCTGTCCATGCCACGGTTCCCTGCTGGCTGGGGAAGGTGGCTGCCTTTCAGGTGCCCCTTGTGTGATGGAAACTCCACAGGTGCCTCAGAGAAAGTTCGCTGGGCTTCTTCCGGAACCTGTGTTTGGAAGTGGACCTGCAGGTGTGTGTGCTGGGGGCAGAGGCCCCATCTCTCAGCCTGCTGAGCATATTCGTGAAGGGCCTATCCAGCGCCAGACGTGTCACTAAACCTCCCCAGCATTGCAAGGGAGGCACTCACTACTCCCCACATAACACATGGAGTCAATGGCGGCTCAGAGAGGGTGAGCGACTTGCTAAGGTCACACAGACAGAGGTGGGAGAGCCGAGGCACAATGCCGGATCTACTCAACTTTCGACACTTCTACACAGCTTTGGGAACAGAGGTCTGGGAGCCAAGAGAAAGGCTGGCGATGGCTGGGGCTGAGGGGAGGAAGGGCTCCAAGCGAGTCAAGGGGCCTGGGCGTGGATGCATGGACTTGGTTTCATCCCACCCCTGTGGACCTGTGGCAGTTGGCAAGTTCCCGGGGAGGCCAGGTGAACCACGATGAACCACGGCGACGGCAGGGGCCAGCGTCCCCGTCTCCCTCCCGTTCTAGAAGACATAAATGGTGCCTTCATTTTGTGAGTCTGCGCTGAGTGAGGCCGTGAGGCGGGCGGTTCCGCCACCTGCTTTCCACGCCAGAGGCCTTTCAAGACGGCGGGAGCCCTGCGGTTCCAGCGCGTTCCTGTTCCCGCCTCTCCTTTTACCACGAAGCCAGCTTCGCTCCCAGGCACCACCCTGGCCATCTGGACTCTCACGAAGGTTCGTGCCCTGAGAACTTCAGGAGGAGGCGCGCTAAGAAAACTCAACAGCAGCAACAAAAACATTTTCAGGCTCCCAGTCTTTTAAGTTTGAGCGGGTAGGATTTTTGTTTGTTTGTTTGTTTTGAACGATTCAATAGATGGATTTTCTCCCTGCTCCTAATCCTGGGATTAGACCATGCCTTCCCGGCCCCTTCGCTGACGTGCAGGTAACCCGGCACAGATGGCGTTTCACCGGGCAGGTGACCCGCATGGTGCAGGGCTATAAATAACCATTACATGTCCCTTTCAGAGTGGGCTTTTTTTCCCTCCCTTACATTCGAGTCCCAGCATGAAGCAAAGAACTCATAAATTTGGATCCTTCCTGTCAAACTCAGGGTCTTGTTCTACCGGTTTGAAAGAGAATTCGTTTCTTCGTCATTCTCTTTTCAAGTACAGTAACGGGAAGGCCTTGAGAAGGGCAAGCTCAGCAGAGGTACCTAGCTAGAGCACCTGAGACGGGTCTGCTCCGACTCCAAAGGGCTCTGCTGCACCCTGGGAGAAACAGAGGGGAGGCTTTCTATCCCTCAGAGCTTGGGGATCAGAGTAAAACCTTTCATTTCTGGCTCACCTCATTCTTTATATAGTTAAATTATGTATGAATGGGATACAGATTAAACTGCAATCACACCGTATTCATCTCTCTACCCTGTGCCTTTTTTCCAAGGTGAAAGAGCTGATGTTACTACCGAAGCCCTGGACAAACTTTTTGAAAAAGAGATTGCTGGGGCAGGTGGTGACTAGTCCGAATTATCCAGAACCAGTGTGACATGGGGCAGTCACCACGGGCTTGGGAGGACTCACTTCCGAGCACAACAGAATGTCCAGAGCGAAGACTCCGCGTATTTTCCGTGGCCTGGTGTGTTGAGTAACAGCAGCCATCCTTTCTTGGCTCTTTCTTGGTGGCTGGTGTCTGCTCTCCAGTTTGGGGGAGATGAATCCATGGGGCTGAGCACCCCTCCTTTCTCCAGGATGCTCTGTGTTGCTCCGCAGCACACCTCAGGCTGGGGCAGAGGGCTGGATGCCAGCCCGGGGCTGAGCAGAGACTAGAATTCCTCTGAGCCTATAACCTTGCATACCATTTCCACCCACTGCACCTCAGTTACGTTGCTTCCAAAACAGGGAGACAGGTTTTCCTGCTCACTCATTTCTCAGAGGGTAAACTGAGGTGAATGCATGTGGAAGTGTTTTGAATGTAAAAGGCTTGATGTAGATTGTGGTTTCTCAGGAATGTACACAGGCAATTGCTATCCAGCCACGTAGGAGCAAACACTCTGTTCCTGTTTCTGTCTCTGTTCGGCAGGAATGGTATATTCTTTTTTTTGAGACAGAGTCTCGCTCTGTCAGCCAGGCTGGAGTGCAGTGGCACGATCTCGGCTCACTGCAACCTCTGCCTCCTGGGCTCAGGCAATTCTCCTGCCTCAGTCTCCCAAGTAGCTGGGATTACAGGGCTGTACCAACATGCCTGGCAAATTTTTGTATTTTTAGTAGAGACGGGGTTTCACCATGTTGGCGGGGCTGGTCCTGAACTCCTGACCTCAGGTAATCCACCCGCCTTGGCCTCCCAAAGTGCTGGGATTACAGGCGTGAACCACCGTGCCCGGCCCAGGAATGGTATATTCTTTCAGATAATTTAAAATAGTTTGACTATGGCTGCGGCAACAATGGCCATGGAGCCAATGCTGTTGCCTCTAACCTCATGGGGCTGTTAATCTGGCTGTGGGTGAAGCAGGCTCTCCTGGATTGATAATGGGCTCCTTCACAAGCAGACCTGGCCCACATTCCTGCCCTCAGCAGACCTTACGAAGCCCTGCTGGGCTAAGTGCCAGGGTGGGGGATAGGGTGGGCAAAGGCAGCAAAACAAGGAGAGGCCCTGGGTCCTGGTGTCTGGGCCTGGGAGGGAGGGGCTGCAGCACCCCCACCGTGCAGAGGAGGGAGCTGTGGCACAGAGCCGGTCCCAGACCTTCCTGAGGTCACAGAGTCAAGGGAGAAGGCTGAGCCAGAGAGCTGACCGCAGAGGCCAAGCTTCTAATCCCAGGCCAGGAGCTATGGTCGCCGCCACCTGCAGGTCCCAGAGGAACTGACGCCGGGGAGGTGCTTTGAGCCCTTTGACATGAGCAGAAGGCCTAGGGTGTCCCTGCTTGGATGTTTCCCGTGGTGCAAAGGGCAAGGTTTCAGTGATCACCGTATTATACCAGCCTGGTGATTTGAAAAAGTTGCCCCCTGCTGTCTGGCTTGCATTGTACAGTCTGGTGCTTTCTGCCCTTGAATGCGCAAAGGAGTTGTGACTATGTATGTGGGCGCTGCCTGTCCGTGAGGCAGCTCAGGAAGCTCGATCCTGTGTGGGGAGCAACAGCTATAGGGCACTCAGCCAAGCCCAGCTTGGGTGGGGGCGAGCTCCCCGTCCTGGGGCACTGTATATTCCAGGGGCCAATGGGATGCTATGCCACTGAGTCCAAGCATGTAATCTTTAAAGACATCTTTTATTAGGTGTTTCATTACACATTTCACTACTCCAGCAGTTCCAAGGCCATTTATTTATTTATCCCCATGCCAAGAGCCCCCAAGCAACGCCAAGGCATTTGGAACTAGAGTATGCTGGTACTAAAATAAAATTAAAACCTGTTTTAAAGCCTTGAGACTTACTAATTTATTAAATTACTAAAAGGGGCAATGTCTCTGGGTCTTAAGAGGAGCCAGCAGAGGGCTGAACAGGATGGATAAGCTGGGCTTGTTGGCACTGTCTGCATTTTAAATGCCAGCCACAAAGAACACCAGGAAAAAGGACTGGAAATGAAAGGAAAATAAAAATGCAGCTAACTTTCTAAAAATTTGAGATCTATTTATTTCTAAATGCCATGGATCCCAAATGGATAAACAAAGTATGGCATATGCACACAATGGAATATTACTCAGCCTTAAAAAGGAAAGACTTTCTGACACATGCTACAGTATGCATGAACCTTGAGGACATTTTGCTAAGTAAGATAAGCCAGTCATGAAAGGACAAATATCATGTGATCCCACTTGTATGAGGTCCCCAGAGTAGTCAGATTCACAGAGACGGAAAGTAGAATGTGGGTTGCCAGGGGCACATGTTACTTTGTCATGAAGATGCCTATTCTATCCTATGCTTCCATTTGACCCTTCCTCAAAATAAAAGACAGTTCAAGCAAACTAATGACTTGATTGCATTTTCTGACTCCATTCTCTGCACTAGTACTGGCAGCACTAGTCCTCAGACATGAAGGAATCTGACATTAGGGAGGGCTGCCAAGTTTCTGGTGACTCCAAGGACACACCAGCCCCTCCTCCTGGCAGTCGTCCACACCCTGTGAGATGTGCTCGGAGTGTGTCCCAGCAGCTGTGAGGAGCTGTCAGGTACAAAATGCACCAGGGCATGACTGGGTATACTCAGCCTCCCCCGACTTTATCACAGGCTCTTCAGATACACCCCAAACTCATGTCAGTACCTACGGGTGACAGTGACGGGAGTAGCACCTGGGACAACACATATCTGAGTGTGTTCAGCATTGCCCTGTGCCTGCACACCATGGGGCTTGGTAAAGACTTGCAGAGCTGAATTATGCACAAAGACAACCCCTTGGGGACTGGTGTCAGGAATATTGGCAGCACCAAACAATTCTTAAAAAGTTGGCTCTCTGGCCAAACACATATTTTACATACTAAAAAGTGGAATTATATTAGTCCATTCTCCCATTCTCACACTGCTATAAAGACTGGGTAACTTATAAAGAAAGAAGGTTTAATTGACTCACAGTTCCACATGGCTGGCAGGCCTCAGGAAACTTACAGTCATAGCAGAAGGCAAAGGGGAGGCAAAACACATCTTACACAGTGGCAAGAGAAAGACAGTGAAGAGGGAAGTGCCAGATACATATCAAACAACCAGATCTCATGAGAACTCACTCACTATCATGAGAACATCATGGGGGAAAGCGCCCCATGATCCAATCACCTCCCACCATGTTTCTCCCTTGACACATGGGAATTACAATTTGAGATGAGATTTGGGTGGGGACACAGAGCCAAACCTTATTCCGCCCCTGGTCCCTCCCAAATCTCATCTTTTTTTTCACATTTCAAAACCAATCATGCCTTCCCAACAGTCTCCCAAAGTCTTACTGACTCCAGCATTAACCCAAAAGTCCAAAGTCTCATCTGAGACAAGGCAAATCCCTTCTGCCTATAAGCCTGTAAAATCAAAAGCAAGTTAGTTACTTCCAAGATACAATGGAGATACAGCCATTGAGTTTCCATTCCAAATGGGAAAAATTGGCCAAAACAAAGGGGCCATAGGCCCCATGCAAAAGTCTGAAACCTGGCCGGGCAGTCATTAAATCTTAAAGCTCCAAAATCTTCCTTGACTCCATGTCTCACATCCAGGGCATGCTGATGCAAGGGGTGGGCTCCCATGGCTTTGGACAGCTCTGCCTCTGTGGCTCTGCAGGGTACAGCTCCTGTAACTGCTTTCATGGGCTGGTGTTGAGTGCCTGTGGATTTTCCAAGTGCATGGTGCAAGCTGTCGGTGGATCTACCATTCTCGGGTCTGGAAAATGGTGGTGCTCGTCTCACAGCTCCACTAGGCAGTGCCCCAGTGGGGACTCTGTGTGGGGGCTCCAACTGCATTGCCTTGGTAGAGGTTCTCCATGAGGGCTTCACCCCTGCAGTAGACTTCTGCCTGGACATCCAGGCATTTTCATACATACTCTGAAATCTAGGTGGAGACTCCCAAAGCTCAATTCTTGTCTTCTGCACCCCCGCAGTCCCAACACCAAGTGGAAGTTGCCAAGGCTTGGGACTTGCACCCTCTGAAGCAATGGCCTGAGCTGTACCTTGGCCCCTTTTAGCTGCAGCTGGAGCTGGAGTGGCTGGGATGCAGGATGCCAAGTCCTGGGGCTGCACAGGGCCCATGAAACCATTTTTCCCTCCCAGGCCTCCGGGTCTGTGGTGGGAGAGGCTGGTGTGAAGATCACTGACATGCCCTGGAGACATTTCCTCCACTGTCTTGACTATTAACATTCAACTCCTTGTTACTTATGCAAATTTCTGCAGCCAGTTTGAATTCCTCCCCAGAAAATGGGTTTTTCTTTTCTACCATATAGTTAGGTTGCAAATTTTCCAAACCTTTATGCTCTGCTTCCTTTTTAAACATAAGTTCCAATTTCAAACCATCTTTCTGTGAATGCACATGACTGAATGCTTTCAGAAAAAGCCAGGTCACATCTTGAATGCTTTGCTATAGAAATTTCTTCTGCCAGATGCCCTAAATCATCTCTCTCAATTTCAAAGTTCCACGGATCTCTAGAGCAGGGGCAAAATGCCACCAGTCTCTTTGCTAAAGCATAGCAAGAGTGACCTTTGCTTCAGTTCCCAATAAGTCCCTCATCTCCATCTGAGACCACCTAAGCCTGGACTTCATTGTCCATATCACTATTGGCATTTTGGTCAAAATCATTCAACAAGTCTGTAGGAAGTTCCAAACGTTCCCATGTCTTCCTGTCTTCTTCTGAGCTTTCCAAACTATTTCAACCTCTGTCTGTTACTCAGTTCCAAAGTTGCTTCCAAATTTTCAGGTTGTCTTTATAGCAGTACCCCAATCTACCAGTACCAATTCTCTGTATTAGTCCGTTCTCACACTGCTATAAAGATACTACCTGAGACTGGGTAATTTATAAAGAAAGGAGATTTAATTGATTCACAGTTCTGAATGGCTGGGAGGCCTCAGGAAACTCACAGTCATCGCAGAAGGCAAAGGGGAAGCAAGGCACGTCTCACATGGTGGCAGGAGAGAGAGAGAGAGTGAAGTGGGGAGTGCCAGACACTTATCAAACAACCAAATATCCTGAGAACTAACTCAATATCATGAGAACAACATGGGGAAAACTGCTCCCATGATCCAACCACCTCCCACCAGGTCTCTCCCTGGACATGTGGGGATTACAGTTTGAGATGAGATTTGGCTGGGGACACAGAGACAAATCATCATATACTAAAAAGTAGAGTTGGCCAGGCATGGTGGCTCATGCGTATAATCCCAGCACTTTGGGATGCCGAGGCAGGATGATCACTTGAGGCCAGGAGTTCAAGACTGGTCTGGACAAGACAGTGAGACCCCCATCACTAAAAAACTTAAAAAAATTAGTTAAAAACACATACATGTTTTTAGGCAGAGTCTCACTCTGTCACCCAGGCTGGAGTGCAGTGGTACAATCATGGCTTCACTGCAGTCTCGACCTCCAGAGCTCAAGTGATTCTCTCACCTCAGCCTCCTGAGTAGCTGGATCTACAGGCTTGAAACACCATGCCTGGGTAATTTTTTTTGTAGTTTTTTGTAGAGATGGGATTTCCCCATGTTGCCGACACTGGTGGTGTACTCCTGAGCTCAAGTGTTCCACCTGCCTTGCCCTCCCAAAGTGCTAGGATTACAGGTGTGAGCCACCAAGCCTGGCTAACATAGGCTATTTTTAATAAAAGCAATAATACAAGTATTAATTATTCCAAAGAGAAAAGCAATGCATTAATATTCACATGCACAATATCTGATAATTTTGCTTTTCAGTCAGTGGGAAGATACGGCTTGGGCATCTTATGCTGACAAACAGCTGTGTTTGACCTGAGCCTCCAGTTGGCTCTGAATAATATTGCCTACTGCGTCCCACAACTCTATGGGGACATCCACTTCCTGCTGCCATCAGGTCTTAGCTAACAGCCTCCAAACCAGTGCATGACTTGCAATTAATTGCATCATAAAATCTTTTTTTTTCCTAAAAATGTGATGAGATTTCTCCCTCTTGCTCATAAAACATAATCATCTGAGGTTGGAGGATTGGTTTGGGGCTGCAGGAACTAATCATCCAACCAGAGAGGCCACTGAACCCCAGTCCTGTGTGCCATATGGAACATGCATGTCCTTATTTCTTCTCAAACTCCAAAGAGAAAGAGTGACTCAGTTAAGATGATGAGGTATGTAGCCAATGATTTATCATGGGTTAGGTCTTCATGGTGCCTTAGAAGCAGATGTGACTGGAAAATAACCTCCGAGTAATATGTCCCTTCCAAATCAAAGATTCTATGAGCTCATGGAGGCCAATGCCCTCATTTCCTGAGGTTTTTGAAATAACAAATGTATATGGGAGTAGGGGGAACTGTGGAGATTGGGTGCAGCAAACTGGACAAATCAATTGTCAGATGGTTTATTCACTGAGTGCGGCCTGGGCATGGTGCCATGGGGAGGGGCACTTATGACCCCAGGAGGGGCCTGCTGGCTGAAGAGTGAATGCAGCACACATAGGGACATGTTCAGCCCTACAAGGCAGAACAGATGACAGCCATCTAAGATGTCATGTCTTTTTTCTCTTTCCTTCCCTCCCTACCTCCCTCCCTCCCTCCCTTCCTTCCTCCCTCCCTCCTCCCTCCCTCCCTCCATTCCTTTTCTTTTTCTTTCTTTCTTTTTTTTCTTTTTTTGACAGGCGGGTCTCAGTCAAGCATAGCTCACTGCAGCATCAAATTTTTGGGCTCGAATGATCCTCCCGCCTCAGCCTCAAGAGTAGCTGGGAGTACAGGTGCATGCCACTGCCTCTGGCTAATTTAGATGTGATGTCTTTATGTAGAGCATGTTGTATTTCTGTTTATAAGGGCCGATGGTGTTTAACAGCACATGAGCCAGACAAGGCCAGATCAACCAGGGAAGCACAAGAGATTGTTTATTCGTTCATATTCTGACATGATGTAGCTGAAAGCTGGACAGTGTGTGACTTCATCCTGAACACCACAAAGCTCCAAGTCTGCATTCTGGACGTGACACACAGCCATATGCTGTCCCCTCTGCTCTGTTGGAGCTGCCCTCAGCCTTCTCCACATCCCTGCCCTTGCTCCCTTCATGAGTCCAGTTCTCCGGGAATCAGACCTTGGGCTGGAGATGTAAGTGCAAGATATTTATCAGAAGGCTTTGGAATCAACACTGTTGGCAGAAGGGGCAATACATTCTCAGCACAGGGATGGCCCTACAGAGCTGTCCTGAACTGGAGCAAGGGACCCAGGCCTTCACACATCCACATTAACCAGGCCCCCAGGAAGGGGTGTGACCTTGCATGAGGCAGGCTTCTTCACCCAAGGGCAGCTGCCAGTTGGGGGACTCAGCTGCAGCCTTTGTCTGCCATCCATTGTCCAGCATCTGGGAGCACTGATGCTTCTATATTGAAGGGGCCACTTGTGAGGCATGCCTCTCATAATCCAGTTATTTCTTGCACTTGCTCACCAGGCTGATAACTACCTGCCCTGGGAGTTTCTCAGCATCCTGAGAGGATTCTATGTAGCTTGAAGCCTTTTTTCAGAAACCCATCTTTCCCCTTCTCCTGGTTATATGAGCTCAGTTTCCCCTATAGCAGCTGTGTCTTGAAGGGTCTCAATATCGGTCTTCTGCATTTGACCAGGCCAATGCCATGTAATTCCAATGACCACACTACTGTACAGGTATTGAAGAAACTCTGAACTTAGCAAATGGTCACAAAGAACTGAACCATCAGTTATTTCTGTTAGCTGGGCAGCATTGTGTCCAAGGTCATACAGGAATTCGACCAGAAAGGCCAGGATGTCTTATGTGATTATTGTACTAGCACGTAGTGAACTCCAGAAAAACTGAAATGAATTTAATATAAAGCACAGCTTGATGGGAGGGGCTTATTCTTGTCAAAATTTAGATGTGTGTTTAAATTTATTGTTCCAAATCCTATACACAATCCTGTATAGATATTGGCACAGGGATAAAGGTGATATGGTTTACAGGGAAGGGCACTGGATCAGGATGGGGCCTTGGGTAAGACACTTCACTAAAGCCTGCAATTTCTTTAACTGTAAAATGAGGGTCTTATACTAGATCATTCTAAAGGTTCTTCCATTTCTGCGAGTCCACGAGGTTCTCTTAGATCTATGATATGCAGTGAAAGCTCTTGGCAACACTATATCAGAACCAATGCCTGTGTTATGGACTATCTTCTCAAATCACAGTTATATTCCAATTAATTCGGCAGACATTATGATCTTCCCAAGGTCTCTTGAGGTATTGAATGGTGTACAATGATGAGTAAGACATAGACTTTCCCTTGACACTCTTACAGTCTAATAAGAGGGCTTAGATCCAAGACAAAAGACCATGCAGGCAGGACCAAGAATATTTTCACAAAGAAGCAAAAGCATGTTTTATTTTTCTCTTGTTACTGCTTTGTTTTTTCATTTGTTTGTTTGACGGAAGGTCAAAAGGGAGAAATCACATTGCTAGTTAGGCACATTGAAGAAGGTTAAAATGGTGGCATTTGATATCATCTCAAGGACCTGAAAGAGGGGAGAGAATTTCAGGTATGAGCACCATGTGTGGAAGGGCCAAGGTGGGGAGGTACAGGTGCTGGGGCAGCTTGTTGATTGATTTGGTTTAAATAATGGGTTCATGTGAAGGGGACTGGGAGATTGGGTAGAAGGTAGTTTGGTGACTAATTGCAAAATACTTTAAATATCAGGATTTTGTTTCCTTTAAGTACACAAGATAGGAGAGGAGGGTTTCTGAATAATGAGGACATGATGAAATTTTTAAAATACTCTATTATGCAGATTAGGAAGGTTCAATTGATCTGACTTTAATTCACTGCTTCTCTCTTCTACAGCCTCCAATACATTGTAAAGCCCTTCTGGTGAATTTTTCATTTCAGATATACTTTTCACTTCTAGGATTTCCTTTTTAAAAAATACTTTCACTTGCTCTGCTGAGATTCTCCATCTGTTCACTCATTAAATCCAACTTTTTCTTTAAATCCTTGAACATATTAATATGAGTTATTCTAAAGTCTTAGTTAATTCCAACATCCGGATTATCCTGGGGTCTGTTTCTATTGAATTCATTATTTTTGGATTATGGGTCACATTTTCCTATTTCTTCGTATGTGTGGTAATGTTTTATCATATGCCAGACATCGTAATGATATGTGAAATCTACTTTAAATAGCACTGAGTTTTACTCTGGGCAAGTGTCAAATTACTGGAAGATCCTCCCAAACCTGTCAGTCTTGACTTTTTTCTTTATTAGGGTTGGTCTATTTATGTTTCTGCTTTTAGTTCCAAGGCATTATCCTGATTCCTGAAGTATAGACTTTCTGAGGTCTTTTTAAAAAACGTTTAATTTTTGTGTGTATGTAGTAGGTGTACATATTTATGTGGTACATGAGATATTTTGATATAGGCATGCAATGCGTAATAACCACATCATGAAAAGTGGGGTATCCATCCCCTCAAGCATTTATCCTTTGTGTTACAAATAATCCATCTGTGCTCTTGGAGTCTCTATTGAAAGCTCAAAGTGGTGGCTGAGCTTTCTGCATTCTGGCTAAGCCGATGCTTCAGAATTGCTTATCCCTGTGAGGCATCTGAGCTCTGCTGTCCACAACAGGTGTTCTCTGTTGTCTGCTAGCTTGTGCCGAGTCTTGGCCAAGACCCACCGGTAAACTTCATGCTGATTTCTGGGACTTTCTTCTGTGCAGTACTCTCTTCTCTGGTATCCTGTTCCACAAATTGTAGATACTTTATCTCTAAACTCTGCCTCTTCATCTCATTAAGACATCCTCTCTGCTTGGCCTCACTACAGTCTACAAATTCCCTCTGGCTAGGAAGCCAGGGTGAATGGGTATATTTTACTTTTCTTAAGGCTCACGGTCCTGTGCTGTTTGTTGTCCAATACCTGATGACAGTTGCAGTTACCTCCCATACTTGTCCAGTTCTATAGTTGTTTTTGGTAGACCAGGACACAACCAGATGATTTTCTAGGAAGACTAATTTGGTGCTGTCATTGTCGGATGGATGTGACTGATGAGACACTGGAGGTAGCTATGTGAACAAGGACCTAAGGTAGGCTGGTGGCGATGGAAACAATAAAGAAGCACCAGAAAACTGGCAGGTGGAGAGGCCAGTTAGGCAGAAGAAAATGGTTCTGAGGCTTTGAGCCTTTCCTCTGCTCTTTAACACCATTTGTGTGCCCAAGGGTCAAGTGAAGTTGAACCAGACAGGTCAGAGGGATCAAGAATATGGATATCCTTTGAAATAATGTTTTTCTACATATTATAAGTGAGACACTAAAGATTACCAAGATCCTAAAACTTCTTTGGTTGCTCCTGAAAGGCATGATAAGTCTTCTAGGGTCAGACAAAGAGAATTAAAGGAGCCCCTCTCTCTGTATAAGCCTATCCCCTCTATGATTTCTTGCTATGGTCTCTCAGATAACCCAGTGAGGAAAAGTAACGCACCTTATCCACCAATTCCCTCACCACCTTCTTATAAAATCCTGCAGTTATGGCAACCTAGATAGCATAGATGGCATTTCCATGTTATGTCCTAGATCATTTTCTCTTTAGAACTGGAGATCCTGTTCCGGAGACCAGCAGCAGATTGTGGTGTGTGGGCAGATAGCTATACATCAAGACCTATACCCCAAGATATATGGGCTGCCATTTTCCCATCTTAATGTATATGCTTATTATTTGAATAGCTCATTACTTAAAGGAATTTCACAGACATTCTGCAGCCTACCTGCCCTCTCTCGCCCTGCAAACTTTGGATAGGTGTGGTGGTCTCTATCCCATTATGTGGCCACCAGTCCTGAAACTATCCTTGGAAAAGGCTCCCCACCCACTCTCCTTGGCAAAATTGTGAGCCACATGCTTTGCTCTTTTCATCTTAGTCAACGCTCATCCCACCCAGCCCTGTGCCTGGTATGTATGGTCCCTGAATTCTGTGTCTCTGTCTGCTTTCCTCTGTCACATTCCCTCAGTGACCTTTATTCAAGCAGCTGTCACTGGGAAGATAATCTTTTTTTTTTTTTCTGAGACAGAGTCTCGCTCTATTGACCAGGCTGGAGTGCAATGGCGTGATCTCGGCTCACTGCAACCTCCACCTCCCAGGTTCAAGCGATTCTCCTGTCTCAGCCTCCTGAGTAGCTAGTATTACAGGCGCCCGCCACCATGGCCGGCTAATTTTTGTATACATGTATTTTTAATTGAGACGGGATTTCACCACGTTGGCCAGGCTGGCCTTGAACTCCTGACCTCAGGTGATCCGTCTGCCTCAGCCTCCCAAAGTGCTGGGATTACATGCGTGAGCCACCAGACCTGGCCGGGAAGATAATCTTACACAGGAACTCCCACCAGGCTATGAGTGACTGGCACATCTCCCTGAGGGAAGCGCTCACAACTAATTTTAATAATAGCATTAAAGGGTAGTGATTATAAGAACAGGACTCTAATGTCTGATTTCCTGGGTTCAAATTTGGGCTTAATTTACTAGCTATGCAACTTTGGGCAAGTAATCTAAATGTCTGTGCCTTGGTTGTCTCATCAGTAAAATTATGATATTAATAGAACCTAGGTCAGAATGTGAGGATTAATGAGATAAATTAAATGAGATGATGTGTATAAAGTATTTACAACAGTAAGTGCTAATGAATGCAAGGTAATATAATTATTTTCCAATTATGGAAGAATTGTAAAATAAAAGAAAAATATAAAGAAATAAAATCATAACCCATTAATTTTGGGTTTTGGCATTTTCTTTCAGTCCCTTATTTGTAGAGACATATATATCTTCTAAAATGAAATTAGGCCAGGTGCAGTGGCTCACACCTGTAATCCTAGCACTCTGGGAGGCCGTGGTGGGCAGATCACCTGAGGTCAGGGGTTTGAGACCTGCCTGGCCAACATGGTGTGGTGGCACTTGCCTGTAATCCCAGCTACCTGGGAGACTGAAGCAGGACAATCTTGAGCCCAGGAGGCGGAGGTTGCAGTGAGCCGAGATCACACCACTGCACTATAGCCTGGGCGACAGAGTGAGACTCTGTCTCAAAAAATAAATAAATACAATAACATAAAATAAAATTAGAGGTAGGGCGCGGTGGCTCATGCCTGTAATCCCAGCACTTTGGGAGGCCGAGGCGGGCAGACCACAAGGTCAGGAGATTGAGACCATCCTGGCTAACACGGCGAAATACTGTCTGTACTAAAAAAAATACAAAAAATTAGCCGGGCATGGTGGCAGGCGCCTGTAGTCCCAGCTACTCGGGAGGCTGAGGCAGAAGAATGGCGGGAACCCAGGAGGTGGAGCTTGCAGTGAGCCGAGATGGTGCCACTGTACTCCAGCCTGGGCAACAGGGCAAGACTCTGTCTCAAAAAAATAAAATAAATAAAATAAAATTAGATTAAAACACTGTTCGGGCTACTTGTGGTTTGACTGTTTCATTCCCTATTGTCTTAATTATTCTTAACAACAGCCTTTTTAATGGATTGAAAGTATCCCATCAAATGAACAAGCCATAATTAAATCAACCAATCCCCTAATATTTGTCCTTCAGGCTGGTTCCCAATTTTCACTGTCATAAATACAGTTGCAATGAACATCTTTGTGCCTGGCTGGAGATACCCTTTTTATACATTCTGAAGAGTAGAAGTTAAAGGGCATGAGAGTGTTATGATGCCTGTAGAGGTGTCCTCTAAAACTTGGAGATGACTTTGGTTTGGTTTCAGGTAGGAACTCCATTTGGTTTAGAATACTGGCATTCCTGATGCCACTCAAATCCCTCCATGTCCTCCACTAGCACTGCACCAAGAGTCTCTCACGTCAGCAGGTTCTGATGTTTATCAGTCCATTCTGGGTAGCCAAGAAACTACACATGGCATTGAAATCTGGCAAGGCACAAGGCTCCCTTGGGTGCTTTTCTGGTTAGATGGTTGACTGACAGTGAAATTTCCCTCATAGATGCTTGATTATGGGCAGTTCCTTCCATCTGCTCAGCCACCTTCTTATGCCACCAGAATTTGCTGAAAATATTTGGGTTATGATTCATTTTGCATATCCCTCCTTGTCCTGGACTTTTACGATTAGGATCCCAAGTTTTGAAGCTCAGCAGGAAAGGCGAAAGCTCTCTTTTTTTTTTTGTTTTTTTTGAGACAGAGTTTTTGTTCTTGTTGCCCAGGCTACAGTGCAATGGCACGATCTCAGCACACCGCAACCTCCACCTCCCAGGTTCAAGCGGTTCTCCTGCCTCAGCCTCCCGAGTAGCTGGGATTACAGGCACCTACCACCACGCCCCGCTAATTTTTTGTATTTTTAGTAGAGACGGGGTTTCTCCACGTTGGTCAGACTGGTGTCAAACTCCCGACCTCAGGTGATCTGCCTGCCTCGGCCTCCCAAAGTGCTGGAATTACAGGCGTGAGCCGCCACGCCCAGCCAAGGCAAAGGCTGTGTAACTGTGGGACTTGCAGTTCTACACTTTCCCCAGGCCTCAATTCCTTGAAATCTAAGTGAGGTAACTGGCCTGGGTGCCACTGACAACCAGTTCCAGCCCTCACACTGCATCTCCACCAAATTTCTGGTGGGCTCCCAGGTGGCTGTTCACCTTCGCTTCGTGAGACAGATGAAAGCCTGGAAACAGCAACGCCTCTTGTTTATGGGCAGAGATGACCCTGTTTGAACTCTCATGTGGAAGCCAAAGGTCTTAGTCACTGGTTTAGGAAGTCGGGGGCAGGTAATGACATCTGTTTGGGCATATCTAATCACTGTTTTGGTTTCTAATGACAGTCCTTCAAATAGAGGGCTATAAATCAAGTGGCCCCGGGCTCATGGAGGCCCCCCAGGGGGCTGGATGGTTCTATCAGGTTCTGCCTGCCATCTGATTTCTTCACCCTCCTCCACTGCAGAGATCCTCAGGCTCCATGCTTCTGATCCACAGCCACACACCTGGATAAACGTGGGTTAAGAGTAGGTGCCTCCAACTGCATTTACAACATAATTGATGCGGCCTTACAAACTATTTGATGTCCAAACCCCATCCTTCACCGGGCCTACCAGGCGAGGCTAGTGGAGGTGAGAAGCCTCACAATCCATGTTTTTTAATGCATCCGAGTTATTCCAAAGCAAAGGGTATTTCTTTCCCCTTTTGCTCCTCTAATTGATGCAGCTGTTGCCTAGCCTCATCTGCATTAAGCTAAATATTATGTTTTTGTAACGTTTTTGATCTTTATTAATTATAGCGCAGGAAAGCTGACAAAAGCAACCTGTCTCTTTAATATAAACAAGATTAATTGCACAGTTCCTGCAGAAAATGAACTACCAGCAGTTTAACAAAAAATGTTTGTCTTTAAGCAGCCCTTTGGATTAAAAAAAAATCAAAACTGTTACAGGAAGTGCCAAAGCTGCCAAATTACCATGCCCGTGAGCCTCACCCTCATTATCAGACTAAACGAACGCACACACCCCTGCACTTTCATCCTCCTCCAGGCCCAGGAGAAAGAAAGGCGGGAGAGAAAAAAAGGGCCTTTATACAAAGAAGTGTCTCTGAAGTCTGGAATGCACCCTGGCTGTTTGAAGACAAGATTTATACCTGACACCTTTCCTTAAGCTCACTGTTGAGACTCGCCTGTTTTCAAATCAACCGCAGACTGGCTGCTTGAGGTACTTCAGCTCGTAACGACCACATAATCTAAGATAAATACACAGGGAATTGCTATCACTTTCATTAATAACCATGAAATAGTTATTCCTTCAGCAGGAAAAAAAAAACAAAAAACAAAAAACAAAAAAAACCCCAGGGCAGTGCCTTCCAGGAGCTGAGGCAGAAGGCTCACAAGGGTGCGTTTGTTCAGGCAGGGGGCAGAACAGGGGGGCATGGCAAGACCCTGGACCCAGGACGCACAGTAGAGAGGGCAGAAGGACGGTGGGAGGGCACCCCATGGCCGCCCTATTGCTCGGGACAGCTAGCTCCCTTAGCAATGGCAGAGCCAGGAGTCAGTCTCTGTAGTTAAGAAGCCCAAGTCCAGCTCTCAGGCCTTTGCAGGTGACTTCTGTTGGAACACCCCTAGATATCTGGCCCAGGAGACCTAAAGCTCAAGCGCAAGGCTTCTGATTTTGTTGAATGTTGTGACTGGATGTGAATGAATTCTGTTGAATGTTACAGCCACTTGGAAGTGTCAGCCAGAGATAGTGGGCTCTCCAGGCTCATGGCTGGCTGGGAAAAGGCACCAAGTTTGGGGCAGGTGACAACACAGTTCATGAGAGAACCTGGGAGCCACATCCACATCATGGAATGCCACTTCCCTGCAAGTCCTCAAGAAGTGGCCTCCATGGCTAGTGGCTGAGGCCATTGGAATTGGCACCCATGAAGAACGGGACACTGTGCTCCCAAAATCATGCTTAGAAAGTGGGTTAGAGCCAGAAAAACGTGTATCAACACCAGTTCTCTGTGGCTTCCCGTGAATTCCTGACTCTGGAACAGCTAGAATCGTGACTAATGGAGTGTATATGGGGCATGCTGGTGGCAGGTGGCCCGAGGAAAGCCAAGGCTTCAGTAAAGCTGATGGGGCCATTGCAAGGCCAAGTTTGTGCAGAGGGGCTGATGATGGCCTATGAAGCCCTGTGGTCTGCGATCTGGGAACTCTTACAGCCTGGTGGATGGAGAGATGACCTGGTGTTGGAGATTTGTTTTCCCAAAGAGCAAGACATGCAGCAGAGAAATCAGAGCTCCCCAGTGTCTGTAATGCAGGGGACGCTGGGCTGTGACTTGGGGTTCTCCCTGATCCAACCCAGTTCAGGTCCTCCTGGGTCTTTCATGAGCAGAATATTGCATCTTTCAATGCTTTGTTTCTCTGTGATGCTTAAAACCTGTGCCAAGATGACTCAGGTTGTCAGGTTTCCAAGGGACCTGGTTCTCACAGCAGTCATGGGGCTGAGGGGAGCTGGGGCCTCACACACCCTTGGGGCTCCAGCCAGGCCAGTGCCGGCTGTGGCATGCGCCCTGGGACTCAGCTCTGGATGCCCGGTGAATGGCTGCTGGGGCCGTGGGCAGTGGAGATTTCGCCTTTCCCCAGCGTATGAGAGCCAAATGTCTACAGGGGATTCAGGAGCTTGATGAGGAGTGCTGGCTGAAAATGAGAAAGATATGTCTTCTGAGACACCAGCTTTTCCACAGGTCTCTCAAGAAACTCAAGCCTTCTCTAAAAATACTCGCACATACATACAAGCACACACATATCCAAGTGAAACCAACACTTGCCCTACACAACATTCTCCATCCTAGACCATGTTACACAGTGCTATACCACATGGTCCCTTTCCATTTAAAACATGCTAGTCTGCAGCCACTCAGTCAATGTCATGATGCACTAACGTGGCCACGGTGGCTCTGAGAAAGCAGTGCCCTCCAAAGAGGGAAGCTGGGTGCTGGCCTGTCCACCCTGCACACCCTGTGGCTGGGTCCACTGATAGTACAGGGTGCTAAGAGGAGCGGGGTGGGGATCCCAGCCCTGGCTCAGTCTGGCCTGGGTGTCCTGGCAACCACCAGTTCTCCCCGGGGCTGCAGTTTCTCTATTTGTCCACAAGAGCCTCAAACTGAGGATCCCCCAAGGTTTTAACTCTGTTTTTAGGAGCTGGTTTGACACTTTCCTAGGAGATTGTCTGAACAAAAAAAGTGCTCACTGCCTCAGAATGTTTAGTGGAGGGTGGTCTATGTTCTCAAGACGCTCTTGCTGATGAATGCCTCTATGGGTTCACCTGTGGTGCTCCCCCCAAAAACAGGATACCAGAATTTCTCAGATCAGGCAAAGAATAAGTATAATCTGGAATGTTTGGAAGGTGGGGGCATGAGGAGCCAGGGCAGGGTGCACACCTGTCTCTGCTGCCCCGTCAGCCAGCAGAAAAGTGGACAACAACTTCCACCACGCTGGCTCTGTCACTGATAGGTTTTTACATTTTTTTTCATATTTTCCTGATTGTAAAAACACTACTAATTGTAAAGAAGTTTTCAAACATGTAAAAGTATAAAGAAGAAAACTAAAAATCACTGCTGGTCCTACCATATGGAAACATTATTGAGATTTTGATATATTTCCTTTTACTATGTATAGATATATAGATATATCATAAGGAGTCATATCGTATATTGAGTTTTGTATCCTGTTTGCTTAATGATTTAATGAGCCTCTTCATTTGAAATATTCTTCAGGAACATGGCTATATAGTATTCCACCATGTGGATGTACCAAGAGTATCCCCTAAGGCTGGACATTCGACTTTATTTCAAAGTTTTTCACTATTATAATGAACGCCACAACGTACATAAAAGACACAGTGGATAGACTTCTAATTATTTCCTTACAATAGAGTCCCAGTGGTAGAACTGTTGGGTCAGAGGCCAGGCGTATAAATGAGTGGTGGGTGAGCACGCATGGATGCAGAAATGCTCGGCCACCTCCCGACCAGCACTGGAGCAGACCCTGCAGAGTGGCCCCCGCTGCAGAGCCTCTGGGCCTGGCCCTGACTGGGTTTTGGAGGCCCAGACAGAAAAAGAAGACTGACCATAATTTTTAATGAAAGGGTAAAGAACCAGATTCAGGAAAGGGAACAGTTGCCAGTCCTTTCCCTCCTAAATAATTAAGAGGGGGAGACACACTGCAGCCTGGAGGCCTCTGCCCCCAGGACCCACCAGTCTAGGCTGACCTCCCCTCACTCACTCAAGGGCATCTGGCACACCCACCACCAGTGGAGGCAGGCAGGGAGGAGCCAGCATTGGAGCACAGCTTCTCTGGGACCAGCCACCCTCCTTGGCTGCCCTGCCCTGCTCACAGCCAGGCCCTCTTCAGAGGGAGGTAGAGCTCCTGGTTCCCGCTGCCTACATCAGATTTACATGCTGAAGGTTGAACTGCTCTTTTGGTTATGGACGTTCTGCAAAAACAGACATTTACATTAAAAAAGCACTCACTGGCAGATGGTGTTATTGTTACGTTTTCTTTTCTGAAACTCTATGGTCAGAACACATTCATTCTGATGCAAGGGGCCTTGGGCTCAGCTCAGCCTTGGGTGGGTGCGGAAAAGCCTGGGGAGGCTTCCTGGAAGAGGTGAGAAGTGATCAGCCCATGTGTTGGGTCTTTTAACCTGCTGCTGCTCTCTCGTGACCTGAGCCTGGGGAGGGAGACCCTTGCTTCACACTAATGGCCCCTGTGCTGGAAATGAATGGAAGCAGTGAGTCCATAGCAAGCATAGCTGGGCCAACTCTCATTTTTCCAAGTTAATATTTGTAAGAAAAACTCTAGCTGTGTTCAGGGAAATCAAAGAGGGGAAGCGCAGCTGTAAGATAAGTCATGAGCTGTTTCTCCCAACACCTCTCCCAGAATCTAACAGTTTGGATAAAATCCTGGAGAGACTTTTTTCCCTGTGTAAATCACAGAAGGAAATCCACAAAGATGTCCAAGTGAGACTGTGAACTCTGGTAGGGTAGCATGTGGCGCCCTGTCTAGGCAGCCTCTCAGCCTTTCCTTAGGGTTCCCTGATGGCAGATGGCGCATTGCAGATTGCGCTGAGATGCTCGGACGCTCTCACAGCCTTTCACACATGTGAACCAACGTTCATTCGCAGGAAAATCTTATGAAATAGGTAGGTTGTGTTGTCCCTGTCTTACAGGTAATGAAATGGAGGATTAAAGAGTTTGGGATAATTGTCAAAGCTCAAATAGCCAATAAGTGATGAAAAAGGAACACAATCGGCCAGACGCGGTGGCTCACGCCTGTAATCCCAGCACTTTGGGAGGCCGAGGCTGGTGGATCATGAGGTCAGGAGATCGAGACCATCCTGGCGAACACAGTGAAACCCTGTCTCTACTAAAAATACAAAAAAAATTAGCCGGGCGTGGTGGCGGGCGCCTGTAGTCCCAGCTACTCGGGAGGCTGAGGCAGGAGAATGGCGTGAACCCAGGAGGCGGAGCTTGCAGAGAGCCGAGATCGCTCCACTGCCCTCCAGCCTGGGCGACAGAGCGAGACTCTGTCTCAAAAAAAAAAAAAAAAAAAAAAAAAAAGAGAGAAAGGAATGCAATTCAAGGGCCTCCCATGCCAAGGCCAACTCTTCCTGGCATGACACCATCGCACACACACCCTTTTCAAAACCAACCGCAGTACCATTCTGTCCAAGAGACTGAGCAGAGTGATGCTGAATTAAAAGCACAAATCCAAAGATCCTCACTCTTCAATGGTTTTGTCAAAGATCTACAAACAAGAGATCTGCAGACAATCCCAGTGTTGTTCTAGGATAAGGAGAGAGCTACAGAGATGCCAAGGACAGGAGGGCTCACTGTGCACTTGTCTTACCCTTGCCAGGGACATCTGCACCAGCGATCAATTGAACTGAACAAAATCTGGTGGCTCTGCGTCACTGAAGGTCACTCACTGTCACTTGTAAGTCCCCAGTCCAGCCCTGCAGAGGCCGCAAACTGCTGTACACCCCTAGCTTCAACCACTTGACTGTGTGCACGAGTCCAACAACAGAGACACATTCCAGTTTTGGGAAAATACATCTGAAGTTTTACATGATGTATTCTTATCTGAAACTCTGTGGCCAACGTAAAAGGGCTACGTAAGCAAAAATGATCACGCACTACACACTGTTAAACTGTTCATAGCAACTATGAGAAAAGAATTCAATTTGCTTTCAAGAGCCCTTCAAAATCTGTTTCTAGGATGCCTAGAGCCGACGTTCTAAAATTCAAGAAGATTCGAATTGTAAAAACTGCACAAGGACATTTAAAAAAATTGAGCTTTCTATTTGAAAGTGGATTCACGTGCACTTGTAAGAGATAATACAGAGAGATCCCATGTCCCCGTTACCCAATGTACCCCAATGGTTTCGTCTGGTAAAATTACAGGATGATGGCACCTGCACAGTAGTCAGGTGTGGACAGCAATATAGTCAAGACAGAAGACAATTACAAGAGGGGTTTTAGAGACTCCGTTTTATAAAACTCCATGATCTGCAAGAGCCAGGAGCCCTTTCAACAGAAGAATGAACCTGAGAGCACTGCAGAATGTTGCGGCCAATTCTGGGCAATTCCCAGGCTATGGGTATCACAGGACTGCCTGGCCTGGGGCCTGCAACCTGCAAAGAGGGACCCTTCCATCTGTAGACTCTGCCTTCTTGTGGGAAGATAAGGCAGAAAGAGGAAAGTGTGAGCTGGCTGGAGAGACACCCACACACTCAGAAGCAGATGACCATAGACTGAGGAGCCAGTAGGGTCGGCTCTGGCTGGAGCATGGGCCAATCCTGGACTCACTTCTTGGACCATTTTCCTCAACCATCAGCTGAGGCAGCTGAGCCTGGCACTGTCCAGGACTATGGCCTCTGTGGCTGCTGAGCCTGAACTGTGGCCACTGCCCCTGAAGCACTGAGTTTCTCATGTTAATGAATTCTACTTAATTTAAATTTAAACAGACACGTATGGCTGTGGCTACCCCACTGGGCAGCACAGAAGATAGTCTTTCAGATCCCTCCCACCTCCTGAAATGCTCTAATTAAAAACATCCAGGCTTGTATAGATGGGGCACGTTTTTTATTTACTCCTGGGGAAACTGAGACTCTGAGAGATCCAGGACTTTTCTGAGGTCCACCGGTGACCTGTGCTACAGCCAGAAGCCCCTGCCAGGTCATCTGGACTCCAGTTCAAGTCTCAGTCTCTGCCACATGATGCCACGGCTCCAAAGCAGTCCCACTAACAGGGAACTGTGACGAAAAGGGATCAGGTCATGGAGCTGTTCATCTTTCCCTAAACTGAAGAGGAAACCCAAAATATGAGAAATAAAAGTCCCTACTCTAAGAGGAAATCAGGTACTTTGGGGGAAAAAAACCCCAACAAACTCCAAAAGCCCAACCAAACCACAGTCACCAGTGACTGAAATGAGGATAATCTTTTAACAACAAAGGGCAGCTGTTTAAAGAACTAGGTTTCTCTGAGCAAATGGAGCAGCAAATAGCACTCCAATTCCAGAAAGAAGAAGTGCTGAAGGCGTGTCCACAGGAGAGCATCCCAGTGCTGGAATCCACACTCTCCGTTACGCCACACTCAGTGCTCACTAAGTGACAGCAGGCAGCAGCCCTTGGCTTGCTTCTACCCAGAGAGCTGAGGTTCCTAATCAGAAGACCTTCCAGAGAGCCACAGACCCCAAATGTTTGGAAATAATTCCACAAACTGTGTAGCATGACAAAAACATACTTAATAACAGCACGTCTGGAATAAGGAACAGTTCATTCATTCTAATTAAATCCTATAAAGTTCAGCTTAACATTTAAATTTTTTTTAATGATCTAAGACTCTCTTCAATAGCACAACCTGCCTCTTTTACATGAACATTCTAAAAACTTACTTTAATATTCCTCCAAACATTTTTTAACTATGCCACCCACTTAGAAAAGTGTGTGTGCACGCAAGCATGTGTGTGTCTGTGTGTGTGTGTGAAGGGTACTGGTATTTATTTTTTGAGTGTCCAAAGTGTCATGATTATATCTTTTAATGACAACAAATGGGCCAGGCGCGGTGGCTCACGACTGTAATCCCAGCACTTTGGGAGGCCGAGGCAGGCGGATCATGAGGTCAGGAGATCGAGACCATCCTGGCTAACATGGTGAAACCCCATCTCTACTAAAAATACAAAAACAAAATTAGCTGGGCGTGGTGGTGGGTGCCTGTAGTCCCAGCTACTCGGGAGGCTGAGGCAGGAGAATGGCATGAACCCGGGAGGCCGAGGTCACGCCACTGCACTCCAACCTGGGAGACAGAGCGAGATTTCGTCTCAAAAAAAAAAAAAAAGATAATAAATGACCCAGTTGTTCCCAGATACAGGTCTTTTGGGGAGAGAAAAACATTACAGACAGGAAGATCCTTAGAAGGTTTTTACCCCATCAGGATTTTCTCCTCCTGGGCTCTACTGGCTTTGGGTCTTTTCCTCTTACCTTTGGGTGTCTGTATGCCTCCTTCCTTCTCATTTGGGTGACTGCTGCAGTGGGAGAGCTGGGCACCTTCCCTGGGTGTGTAGTAATTGGGGTTTGATGTAGGAGAGGTGTGACTGCTCTGTGCATTGATGTGGTGGTGGGGGGCTGGGGTTTTAGCACATCACAGGAAATTCAAGATGGGCCTTTTGATGTGCAGCACCCTCTCCTCCCCTCCTGCATCATGTACTCTCCCTCCACCTTTCCCTTCTGTGCTCCCCCCTCTCCCCCCAGGCAAAGAAATATTTCCTGAAAACTGGAAAAACCAGGTACTATCAACGTCAAATCAGTGCCAATTAAATTCGGTTATAAAATTCAGGCCTTGTCCCTCATCTTTGAGTGACACCTTCCCTTTTACAACTGGGGCTGTTAATACCACAATTAAAACATTCAATATCACCATATCCTTGGATCTAAAGCAGTTTATAGCCTTGGAGTTCTGTTAAGAAAGTCATTAACACCTCAAGGTGTTTTGATAAGACCAACTTTGAAGCAAGCCTCTCCTCCTGGTCTTTTATTGCCCCTGTCATCTTAAGTATCAAATTTCAAGAATGCAAAGACCTGTCTGCCTTGCATGTTGTTGCCTACTCAAGTTCCGTCTTTGTCATTTCTATTATCAATATTTTAAAGTCAGATGATCTTTGCAATTAACACATGAACTTTGGGTGAAGGGTTTAGATTTACTATGCTGAGACTGGCATTAAGTCCCTTCAAAGCCTTAAGAAATGCAGTGGCATTGGAGGCCAGCCGCAGGCAGAGCTCCTCTGGAGTGACTCCTCACAGGGCACAGGAAGGCCTATGCCTCATCTCGCGGGCCCCGGTGCAGTTATGTGGGGTCAGAGCCTGTGGTCTCAGCCATACCCTGTGCTCTTTCAACCTGAAGACTATGAGGAAGAGGTCATCTTCTGTCTGGACAATAGTCATCAGAGAGTTCTACGGTGCCCAAGTGCATTCAAATAGTAAGGAAACCCTACTGTCTTCAGGAACACTACTGTGTTTGGCTATAGGGGTTCTGAGAAAATGAGCTTCAGCTGTGTTGGCTCTGCCTGTAGAGAAGGGCTTCCCAAGCTACTGAGCCCACATGGCCTGCTGGCAGAGGCCAAGTGCCAGCCCTGGAAGGGAGCACAGTGGAGGGAGGATTGATTGCCTGGGGACCACTATTCTTGGCTAAACTGCTGAGTAGGACAAACAACTCCACTAACATGATGAAGTGAAAGGGAGACAGAGAGGGACCCTCTTTACTGGGGTTTGTCCCAAAGACCAGCCAATTGTGCATGGGTTTGTTTGTTTGTTTGAGATGGAGTCTCACTCTGTTGCCCAGGCTGGAGTGCTGTGGCACAGTCTTGGCCCACTGAAACCTCTGCTTCCCAGGTTCAAGCAATTCTTCTGCCTCAGCCTCCCAAGTAGCTGGGATTACAGGCACCCGCTACCATGCCAGGCTAATTTTTGTATTTTTAGTAGAGACGGAGTTTTGTCATGTTGGTTAGGCTGGTTTTGAACTCCTGCCCTCAACTGATCCACCTGCCTTGGCCTCCCAAAGTGCTCAGATTACAGGCATGAGCCACTGCACCCGGCCAAATTATGTTTTTGAGATCAAGTCCCTGGGATAATCAGTTGCAGGTTCATATTTCACAGGGAAAAACAGGAAAAAAACATGAAGAATATCAAAGGCTAGAATTTTTTTTACTTCAATAGTTCATGTTCTCCCTGAGGCTGCAGCAAATGTGCTGTAGAAAATGGTTTGAGGGCTTGTGGGCTAAGAGCAGGAGCAGAAGAAGGGGAAGCCTGCTGTTCTCCAGGCCTTTAAAGTTCGTGTTTACGGGTCTCCTACTTGTCTTTTTATCCTTTTTTTATTATCAAAGAGGTTTACAACAGTCTTGTGCACAACAAGTGACTTCCTAATTTTTCTGCCAAGACGGGGTGGCTATAAAACTTGAAAGAGCAGGGGGCTGTCCATGCCTGACAGAGTGTGTCTTTGTAGGAAAATGTAAGGTGATTTTGATCCTTTAATTGCTTCAATTTTACTTCATAAACCAATTTCTTTTCCCCTTATCCCTCAAAGCTTCCAATAACACAGTCTATTGGGAAAAACTAGACGGTGGATTTCTGCTTGTTTGAGAGCTTCATATGTGGATATTTTTTAAAAGGAAAGTAAGAACCCACCAAGATAAATTTCTCTTCAGGTAACAATGTTATTGAGAGCAGTGACTTCACAGAAACAAAAGATGGAAAACCCTCAAGATTAGTGAGTCTAAGACCTGTCAAATCCGGCTTTGCGGAGCTGGAGGGCCCCAGCCACAGGGGTAGAAAACAGCTCATGCACACAGAACAGGACGCGTGGAGAGATCATAGAGAGATGTGTTATTGAGCATAGGACATGCGCCCACTGTCCCAAGAATGCCTCAGTCCCAGGCCCTGGGATGGAGCTGAGTGCTGCACAGGGATAATATCACCTGATTTTCACAGCCACCACCTGGGGAAGGCGCCGTCATTGTTCTCACTTTAGTGGAAACTGTCTCTTCTCAAAGTGGGGTCCACATACCAGCTGCATCAGCATCGCCAGAGAGCCTGTTGGAAATGAAGAACCTGGAGCCCCCTAGATCTACTAAATCAGAGCTGACCCAGACATACTTCAACATTTAAGATGGAATGGTTTAGCTCATAGGTCTTCAAGCCTTTTTTTGTTTTTTGGATTATGCATCCCTATAGAAAAATAATTGTACATGCATCCTTTTGACTGTTGAAGTTTTGCAAACCAGGGATGTAGCATTTTCTGTTCATTATGGGGAGGTTTGTCCCCAGCAGTTCTAACCAGGATGAGGTAACACAGATCCCACAGAAATATTCTGGCTTGTTGAGAATTGGAGCAGAAGGGTGGTAGGCATACTCAGAGGGCAAGCCAAGGCTGCATGGGTGACCAGTCTGTCTGTGGCGCCTCCTGATCACAGGCATGGTGTTCTCTTTTCTTCCTAGCTACCAGGGAAGAAGTGAGCTGGCACCTTCTTCTGCACTGCTGTGCACAGAATTTGCCCCCTTTACTCTGGGTAGCCCTGGGTTAAAGCTTGATGCTGATACAAAAAGCCATCGAACACTAGGAAATAAGGTCATGTGGAAGGAAACTAGCTTTCCAGGGACTCAGGCCTGCCTGAGATGATGTCATCTCCAGGGGCGTGTACCTGAGCTTCACTCTGCTATGCACTATTTGGCCAAAGCCCAGTCACGGTAGGGTTACATGTTAGCTTGCAGATTTTAGCCTGATAAAAAAGACAACCACAAAGATTGTAAGACTTCACTGCTCTGTGGGACCTTAAGCAGTTTTGTTATCCTAACTTATTCCATTCCTCAGAAGCTCCCGGAATCAGCAAGGCCACCTCAAGGGATCCCTCATTAAGGAGCTGAATGAGTCCCTGATGCACAGTCAGTTTACGTTGTGTGACAGTCATGGTTTTAGCTCCTTGAGAATTGGATTCAACAAGGGTGATGAAGAAAGAAGGCACCTCTGCTCTATGGCTGGTCTTGATCTCTAGCAGCTGAACCCTGGCTTTGACAACCTTCTTTTTTTTTTTCCTGCTCTTCTCTCTGCCCTCAGCTCCAACCTCCACCCCACCTATTTTTAGATATGCACTTTGATTCTGTCTTTCCAAGACCTTATTTGAAATTACCCACTTTCTTGGTCTTGTTCTTGCTGCTATTGATCTGTATGTGCTGGCTAAGTTCGGATGGTTGTATCTCCGGTGAGAGGAGAACGATTAATGAACTCACGAATCAAGCATTTTTCAAATGTTTATGGGGCCAGACACCATGCCAGGCCTCCAAAGGCATACAGGTCCTGGCCCCGAGGACTCAGTGAGGATGTTGGCATGAAGCAGACCTTTATATGCTATTCAGGGAGGGCTGTAAAATGGGGGTCATTCTGTTTCAATTTCATTTTTATTCCCTTTATTTCTCAAACTAATTTTTCATTAAGTACAGGAATTTTGCTTTGGGTCATTTAAAGAAAAGATATTTATTAAGTGCTTACTAAAGGCACAGCACCATCTCAGTGCTGAAAGAAATATAAAAGAAGTGAAAGGAGTGTGAGCTGCAGTCCCAGGGGCTTCAGCAGCTAGCTGGAAAGACAGAAACATGTAAAAGAAGAAAACCCAAAATATTAATAACAACGCAAGGCAGTGTGCAATGAAGAGCTAACTTGTGCAGGGATCCAAAAAGGGGTGAAAGAATCACTGAGTTAGAGAAGGCTTCAGGAGAATCCAGAGTTCAATCTGGGTCATAAGAACATACAACTCAGATTTCTTTAAACACAGTTAAAAGTGGGGAAATTGCTAATGGAGGGTCTAGCCAGCCCAGCACAGGCTTTGGTGACGTCTGAGCCTTGGCTATCTGGATGACGTGATGAGTCTGGCTAAGAAGACACTTTCCCCTGTGGAAAATGACGGATGGGTAGTGTGGCCTCATCCTGCAGAATCTTGCTGCTTGAGCTTTGCACTGAGAGGGGAGCATCGCCTGGGAGCTCCTCAGAGCTGGAAAATCTCAGGCCCCTACCCGAGGCCCAGTGGGTCAGAATCTACATTTTTAGCAGAACCCCAGGTGGTACGCATTTGAGTTAAAGAAGCTTCTTTACGACACCAGGAGACATGAGATGTTTGGAGTCAGTGACAGGATGCAGGAAATATTTCAGGACTATTAATCTGCAAATGGTGTGTAAAGGTTAGCAAGAAGAGAACCTGGGAGCCCAGAGTTCACCTAGGAGTCTGTTTCAGAGGCTGAGATATGAAGTGAGGAGGATCCTGACATTGCCTTGGTTATACTGAGACACAAGGAGGGCAGGACACTGAGTGGAGATGGTCTGGGAGCTGGGGCCTCTGGACGGTGCCCAGGGAGCCTGACTGGGCAGGGAGGTGGACAGGATTGCAGGCAGGCCACACAGAGAATAACCAGGGTGGGGCAGGGGACCAAGGTCTAAGGTTGTGGGAATACTTCACTTCCTTCCTGCTCAGGGGATGGGAAGAGGGCCCTTTGGAGAAGACAGAAAAACCATAAGGTAGAAAGAATAAAAGCTAAGATGATGGTTTTTTAAAAGCTATTTTACTAGAATTTCCATAAGCCTGGAATTTTACACCCTGAAGATAAGTTCGGAAAATACACTTTAATTTGTTTGTGGTGCCAATAAAAGCAGGCTCACTAAACAAATGTTTAACCTGGGGAATAGTCTACAGGACTGAACAAATACAAGTGATAGATTTGCTAATTCTTTTCT
Organism: Homo sapiens; assembly: GCF_000001405.40. Taxonomy (NCBI): domain Eukaryota; kingdom Metazoa; phylum Chordata; class Mammalia; order Primates; family Hominidae; genus Homo; species Homo sapiens. Next base: position 108,970,916 of record NC_000002.12, read on the forward strand.
TTCCCTGTGGAAATAACTACCGTTCAGCAAAACAACCTAATTTGTGGAAGACTTCCAAAGATCACAGAAGGATCTGGATTGATGCTGTGTCCTGCTGTGGACCTGAGGGGACAGGGGATGATGCTGGTGGTGGGGAAATCACAGGGTCCGGCGAGACCGTGCTCACTGGGGGATTCTTCACCCCCTCCGACTCAGTCCTGGTGCCTGGACCACATCCTGGGCAGGCGGTCAGACCCTGATGGTGCTGGCTACATGTTTTCCGTCTCCAACTGGATTCCTTGTTCCATGAGGGTGGGAATCATCTTTATATTTTTATATCTTTATATTTCTGCGCCTTTCTTCCAGCATCTAGAAACTGGCTCTGAGGAGTTCAAAGAGTGGTCCCTGGGATGCACTGCATTACCCAGGAGCTCGTTAGAAATGCCAAATTTCAGGCCGCACCCGAGACCTCCAGTATCAAAATCTTCATTGTAACAAGACCCCCAGGTGATTTGCGTGCAAATCACATTTTCAGATTATGACTCCAGAAGGAGGACTCTCAACCCTGCCCGCACAGTAGCATCACTAGGGGAGACTTAAAACCAGGCATCAGTCTTTTTGAAACTCCCCAGGCATTCTAGCAGAGAGCTGAGTAAATGTTTAGTAAATAAATACCCAGAATGAATGAAGGTGTGAGGGTGTGAGGGCTGAGAGGAAGGGTATTAGAGATAGGATCAGCTCTCTCATTTTATGGAAGAAGAAACTGAGGCTGAGAGATTTAGAGCAATTTGCCCAAGGTTACACAGAAGTTAAAGAGGAGTTGGCATTAGAAGTCAGGTGTTGTGGTTTATAACACATACACAAACTCTTTGATACCACCTTCAAAAGGTGGAGCCTAATTCCTCTCCCTGTGTGAACGGGCTGGATTTTAGTGACTCGTTTCTAGCCAACAGAAAAAAGGGCAGAAGAGACGGTGCAATTACAGAGACCAGGTCACCAAAGGCACTGAGCTTCCTGCTGTGCCGTGGCTGCTGCTCAGTCACATAGGGGCAACAGAGGAGCAGCCGTGGGGAGCTCCCGTGGCCCGGAGCTGAGGCCTCCTGCCGCAGCCACTTGCGAGGCCTCTGGATGTGGGTCCTCCAGCCTGGCCTGGCCCGCAGATGTTGCAGCCCAGCCGACTGCAGCCTCAGGAAGGACACTGAGCCAGAACCACCCAGCGGAGCCGCTCCCTGATTCCTGACCCTCAAAATCTGTGGGATGGTCACATTTGTTGTTTTAAGCAGTTACATTTGGGAGTCATTTATTACACAGCACAGATGACTAATACGCCTTCCAGTCCTTTGCTGTTTCAGCCACACCCCTGTAAGAGACCAACTTCTGTTCCACAGAACTTCAATAGCCATGCCGGCCCAGTTCTCGACAAGCTTAGGATTGAACACAGACAATGATGACCAAATCAAAACAGGGGCAGGGCACTGCATGGTGTGGTCTCCACTCCTTCCTCACGGGCCCTGGAGCCCTTGCCCAACCCTCCTGGCTGGCTTTCATGCCAACGTGCCAGACACTGCCCTTTCCAATCCTGCCCGCTGTGGGAGTGCCGGGGCAGGGCAAGGTCAGGCTGCAACGGGCCGAGGCAGCCTAGGAAAAAAGAGATTGTAGGTGACCTGGGTTCAGAAGCTGGTGCCTTGCCCTGCACGCCAAGTGTTGGTAAAACAAGTGTCTGCACAAGGGTGACGGGTGTCTTCCCCACTCTGCTTGCCTTGTAGCTATGGCTGTGATCAGAGAACTTGACGTGATCATTTGAAAAATAAGCAGCCCTCATCTGATTTGTCAGTCACAAAACAATGGCTCACAGCCCATGCAGATGCTGAGACTCAGAAGGGGGTGAGGACCGGGGGGCCTCCGGCAGGGGCGTTCACTCTTCCTCCAACCTCCCCAACCTTGGCTAGCTGGATTCTCCTCTTTGCCTTCTTGAACTTTCTTCTAGAGCTCTCTGAGCTGGGCACGCCCAGAACAAGGCAACCTGTGCTCCAAGTCCAAAGAATTTCTTAGGAAGAGGTCTCAGCAGGTGTTTATTTTTTTATTTATTTTAATTGAATTTTTTTTTTTGAGATGGAGTTTCACTCTTGTCATCCAGGCTAGACTGCAGTGGCGCAATTTCAGCTCACCGTAACCTCTGCCTCCCAGGTTCAAGCACCTCTCATGCGTCAGCCTCCCCATTAGCTGGGATTAATGGCACCCGCCACCATGTCCCACTAATTTTTTGTATTTTTAGTAGAGATGGGGTTTCACCATGTTGGCCAGGCTGGTGTTGAACTCCTGACATCAGGTGTTCTGCCTGCTTCGGCCTCCCAAAGTTCTGGGATTACAGGCATGAGCCACCGCACCTGGCCTCAGCATGTGTGTATAGTGCCGCCTCCCTGCAAGTTGTGAGACAGACCATTAGAAGCTGACTCAGGGGGCTGGCTAGGGCAGGAGGGCGGTGCAGAGAGAGTGTCCGCCATCAGCCCCTGAGACCTGGGAGGTCTGGGCTCAGTGCAGTGCTGGCTGCCTCCTGCCTTCATTTCTCCTGCTTTCCAGTGCTTTCCAGTACCTGAGGATGCCAAGGGCCTGAACCCTGGCAGAATCTTTCTTTCTTGACTGCCATGGACATTTCCAGCCTGTGAGTGTGGCTCCTGGAATCCTCAATGACTTCTTCCCTCATCTGCAGGGTGCTGGCTGCCTCCGGAAGAACAGAAGGAGAAATGCACTTTCCAGGGGTCGTGTGTCCTAGAACCCATGCCACACATGGTGACCGCTGCCTGTTCTGACCTCCACACCGACTACAAAACCTGGAAATTTTTTGGCTGGAGCCACAAGCTTGGCTTCCATCTCACAATAACGAAAACATCATCAGAGTTCTCAAAGGCCCTTCAACTTTTGAATGCCCCACAGACTTTTGGTTTTATGTAAATAACAACATTTCTTGGGATTCAAGATGAGGATCACAGGGTTTTCAGCACAAGGCTCTTACCCATTTTAAACCAATTACGGAGCTGTAAGCATCACCTTTGTTCACAAAAGGCTCAACAATCCACTTCCAGGAGAGTAAGACCATCCTGTCCATTCATTCTCCAAATAGAAATAATAAGAAAAATAGAAATGCCACATATTGGTCAGGCGCGGTGGCTCACGCCTGTAATCCCAGCACTTTGGGAGGCCGAGGTGGGTGGATCACGAGGTCAGGAGATCGAGACCATCCTGGCTAACATGGTGAAACCCCGTCTCTACTAAAAAATACAAAAAATTAGCTGGGCGTGGTGGCAGGCGCCTGTAGTCCCAGCTAGTTGGGAGGTTGAGGCAGGAGAATGGCATGAACCCGGGAGGCGGAGCTTGCAGTGAGCTGAGATCACACCACTGCACTATAGCCTGGGAGACAGAGCGAGGATCCGTCTCAAAAAAAAAAAAAAAAAAAAAAAAAGAAATGCCACATATTGACTGTGTATTTTGTCTTAGACACGATGGTACCCTGTTTATGAACATTATCTTAATGATTACACCATGAAAAGTAGACATGACTGGGCATGGTGGCTCACGTCTGTAATCCCAGCACTTTGGGAGGCCAAGGGGGGTGGATCACCAGGTCAGGAGTTGGAGACCAGCCTGACCAACATGATGAAACCCCATCTCTACTAAAAACACAAAAATTAGCTGGGCATGGTGGTGTGTGCCTGTAATCCCAGCTACTTGGGAGGCTGAGGCAGGAGAATCGCTTGAACCCGGCAGGCGAAGGTTTCAGTGAGCCGAGATAGCGCCACTGCACTCCACCCTGGGTGACAGAGCAAGACTCCATCTCAAAAAAAAAAAGATACTATTCCCATTTTTCAGATAAAGAAACTGAAACTGAAACTGAGAGGGTAGAGGGAACTTGAAATAGCCAGCAAATGGCAGAGCTGGGGTCTAGCTCTTCCCACCACCCCGAGCTGCCTCACCAGGCCTGCCCACAACACTTGCAGTCTGCATGCTGGAGCTCTAGCCTTTCTGAGGTGTGCAGGGCTCTGGTGGAGATTCAGGAGTCAGAAGGAAGAGCCCATCAACCCCTGAGCCTCTCAGGCAGCCATTCTGCAAGTCCCCTCAGCAAGCACTGCCTTTCTACCTGGCCTGGGAAACCACGGCCCCATTGTGGAATCTGCTTTTCCACGGAGCCTAGCCCCAAGTGCCACCTGGGGCGAGTGCAGCAGGGACCCTGTCTGAGGGTGCTGGGCAGGGTCCAAAGGGGAGCAAATGATGGTGCAGCACTCCAGGAGCTGCAGTCCAGCCTGTGTGGGAAGGGGCAAAGGAGAGAGAGGATCTGAACACAGGGATAGCAGCTGCGGCCTCAGGCAGAAAGGTGCAGAGTAAATCCCCTGCCGGCCACCATGCTCCTGCCTGGGTTCCCACCCGTGTCTTCTATGGGTCAAATCCAGCTGGAGGCTGGGGGCAAGGGAGCTTGTGGGTGCAGCTCAGCCCTGGGCACAGCATCAGGGAGAGGGCTGGAGCATGGGCCGGCGAGACATGGATAGCGCCAGCACATGAGAGCAAGACCTGCGTCTACTTTAACCTGGGACCCTAGCCTGGGTCAACCCGCGGTAGCTTGGTGACCAGATGGATGCCGGAGTGAGAAGAGGTGGGTGGGTGGACTGTAGGCTCAGCTCATTCCTACCCCAGCACTGGAAGCAGGGCAGCAGCTTTGGGGAGGCAGCCAGCACCAATAAGCCTAAAATAGAGCCGGGGGAACAGGGGTGCGGTCTGGGAGCTAAGGAGCTTGCGAAGCCCCTGGCCAGAGCCCTGTGGTGGTCGGAGGAAATGACATGAGGACACAAATTCATTGGTCCAGCAAGAGAAGGGTGGCACTGTCGGCCAGGCTCCGTGCGGCATCAGGATGTCTTGTGGTCACTCCTGAACGAGCTCGAGAAGTCAAGGCCACCCCTCAACTGCTGGACGGCGTTCTGTGGATGGTGGAAAGGGCAGGGCAAAGAGGAGGGTGACTGAATCATCTAGACAAGGGATTTCTTCTGCTTTAGGACAGTTTTAGATTTATAGACAAGTTGTAAATTCAATACAGAGTGTTCCCGGGGACCCCACACCAGTTTTCCTTTTAGGATCTTACATGATGCAATACAGTGGTCATCCCTGATGAACAAATACTGGTGCAATACTGGTGAACTGAAGTTCATACATCTTCAGATGTCCTTAGTTTTCTCCTAACGTTCTTTTTCTGTTCCAGGATCCCATCCAGGATCCCACTTTACATTTAATCATCACACATCCTTAGGCTCTTCTTGGCTAACAAGACAATTTCTGACTTGCCTTGTTTTTGATGACTCAGAAGTTTTGAGGAGCACTGGACAGGTGTTTTGTAGAATCCTCCTCAACTGAGAGTTGTCAGATGTTTTTCTCGTGACAGACTGGGGCTATGGGTTTGAGAGGAAGACCACAGAGGCAATGTGCCATTCTCATCACATGAAGGGTCCATGCTACCAGCATGGCTCAGGATTGCTGATGCTGGCCTTGATCACTGGGATGAAGCAGTGACTGGCAGGATTCCCCACTCTGAAGTGACTCCTTCCGGTGCTCCTTGGAAGGAAGTCTCCAGGCGGAGCGCACACTTAAGGGAGGGAGTTATCCGTTTAACCTCCTCAAGGGCACAGCATCTACATGAATTACCTGGAGTTCCTCTGCACGGGAGACCTGCCTCTTCTCTGTTATGTATTTGTCCATCCGTCCATTATTTATTTGTCAGTGTGAACACATGGGTATTTATTTTAAACTCTGGGTTATAACCCAATATTACATTATTTATTTTGTTGCTCAAATTGTCTCAGCTATGGTGACTGGGAGCTCTTTTAGTTGGTTTGTGTGTCCCTTAGACATACTACCATTTTTTTTTCTTTTTCTTCTTTTTCTTTTCTTAGGACCTCTTTACTTTCTGGCACTACAAGGTGCTCCAGGCTCCTCTTGTATTTTCCCTGCCCCAGCTCTGGAGTCAGCCACTTCTCCAAGGAGTCCTGGTTCCTTTCACTGGAGATTGGCATTAGAATCCCAGATCTGGGTGCACAGTGAGGACTGACAAATGCTAAGATGAAAAGGTGTCTGAGGGTGCCCCAAATACCTCTGACTTCCCAGTTTGGAAAGAACAAGCTCTCATTTAGAAAGACACCTGTGCTGTGATCAGGACGCCAATAAGGAGGCACTGATGATTCCAGTGGCCCCCACTGGCCCGGGCCTGGGTTTTCCTAGATGGCTAAGGCTAAAGGGTGCCAACAGGCCCTGCACCCCTGACCACCCCATGGACCATCAGCACTGCCTTTGCCGCCGGGAGATCTGGTGGCCTCTCAGCTTGGCTCCTGAGAAGCTCGCCTTTTCTTTTTTTTGAGATGGAGTCTCGCTCTGTCGCCCAGGCTGGAATGCAGTGGCGCGATCTCGGCTCACTGCAAGCTGCGCCTCCCGGGTTCACGCCATTCTCCTGCCTCAGCCTCCCAAGTAGCTGGGACTACAGGCACCCGCCACCATGCCTGGCTAATTTTTTTTGTATTTTTAGTAGAGACGCGGTTTCACTGTGTTCGCCAGGATGGTCTCGATCTCCTGACCTCGTGATCCGCCAGCCTCGGCCTCCCAAAGTGCTGGGATTACAGGCGTGAGCCACCGAGCCTGGCCAGGAGCTCGCCTTTTTTGAGTGTTCCTGAAGTGGAAGACTGTTCCTTGGAGTGAGGAGGGACTGGGGACATCTGGACGTCCTCCCTCCTGGGACCCGGCTCTCACTAGGAGTCACTGTTGTTTCAAATGCTGACAAAGCCCTGGAGATTCCTCAGTGAACAGAAGGCCTCAGAGCTGAGGGTGGAAACAGGCCTCAGTGTCTGAAGGACCCACAGCCACCTCAGGACAGTTCCTGCTGAGAGCCGCACCCTCTTTTCTTGTTCTACTTCTGGTTCACACACTTTTTAAGCCTTCATCAACCACAAGACATCATATTAAATGACACAGTAAAGAAACAACAGCCATTTGCTTATTCTCTTATCTATAGGCAGGATCTATGGACTCTGTGGATGCAGATGAAACTCCTCAGGGAGCTTCTATTCTCGTAGAGGAACTCCAGCCAACTTCATCCACAGAACAGGGCTGCGGTTCAAAGTCGTTCTTCCTTCTCCCGACAAATGGCACTGACATAGGGAAGAGCCCAGGGTAGGAAGACCAGCAAAGGGCCCCAGAGGGCAAGGCTACACAGGTCCCGCCCCTGTAATGCCAAGTACAGGGCCTGCTGAGCTACGGCCTTCACTGGGGATAGACGTGCATATCTTTTAGGAACTCATCATTGGTCTATGAAGCAGAAAAGGATCCAGGCAGGGCGTGGAAGTGTTTCAAGGGGTTAAATACACCATCCATGTCTAGAACATCTGATTACATCTCTGTGGTTTCCAATAATCACCATCTTATTAGGTGGCCAGGTCTCCTATTAAGTACAAAAAGCTCAGTAAAAAAACAAAAATATCAAACTTGGTCGACTCTGCGTGTCTTTGCTAATCTGTGGGCTTGTCATATTTGTTAGACGCCTCAAGAGTTTTGCAACGTATTTCTAGAGGGTAGAGCTCCGAGGGAGCCACGGGCTTAGGGAACATGCAGATCCTCCCAAGGAGGCTGAGGTTCAGAGCACCGAGGAAAAGTTTTTTTTTCTTGTTTAACAGTGATTTTTAATAAATAATTCATTTTAACTATTCATATTAAAATATTAGAGAGACCTAGTTAGAACCTGAGGTGCAGTGAAGTTTGGTCAGAGGAAACAGGTTCTGTAGTGAGGCAGAACACCAGCAGACAATGCCCAACCCCGTGCAGGTTTTGGTATGGAGACAGTCTATCGGTAAGCTGGAGAAAAGACGGGAAAATCCATTCTGAAAGCAGGAGGGCACCAATGAAGTTGTTAGCACAGCTGCAAATCTGGTTAAATTAAACCCAACAGGCAAATAATCCACATACAGAGCAGAGGGAAGCAGATAATGTAAACTCCAACGAAGACCATTTGAAAGCTTTCCAAAAGGAAACCATTAACCCGGGAAAGTTCTCAGCAGGGGCAGGAGGGGGTGTAGTGTGTGAAGTACAGACATTCCATTTCCAATTAGGCATCTACTCAGTAAGCAGAGAGGTGCCAGCTTCAAAAACATTCAGTGTTGTGGAAAACCAGATTCACTGAAAATTCGGAAACGTGGAAACATCTGAGGATGCCAAGGCTGCCCCTCCTCTCACTGTGTTTCTCCATCCACTGCCCGAGTACTTGACCCTTACTTAAGGAACAGCTCTTTCTTGCTGTTGGGTAAAAGGAGAATCTGCGTCTTAGAGCCCAGACATGCAGAATTAAAGGTGTCATCTGGTTGGAGAAGTTTAGTCAGATTTGCCTCTTCCATTTGGCGAACCTCACTCCTCCAACACTCTTGTTTGCTGGGGCTGACCCTGGGCTGCCCCCTGCCCCACCACTTCCCCCAGCCTGGTCCAAGCCCCATCCCAAGCTTTGGTTGCTGTCTCTCTCTCTCTTTCTCTCTCTCTGTCTCTGTCTCTCTCTCTCTCACACACACACACACACACACACACACACACACGCATGGCACACCCCAGGAGCTGAAGTGGGGGCTGGAGAAAGCAAGCTAGTAAGCTAGGGGCATGTCAGGTGGCGGCTGGGGACTTGGAGACCCTGAGCCATGCTGCTGAGGTGCAGGGCTGTGGAGAAGAGAAGCCCCTCCTGCCTCCCTACCCAGGGTCAGATTAATCATGAAGGATGCAGATGGCAGGAACTGCAGAGGAGAGGAGGGCTTGAGCAGGTCCAGGCAGCAGTAGCCAACAGAGGAGGAGCCACTGAGGCGCATGTCACCAGCCAAATGGGTCCCTTGAATAGAGTTTCTTCACTTTGGCCATCTGACATGACATGCTTCCTGCTAGGCCCTGACAGCCAGCCTGGCTCTGACGGGCAGCACACGGGTAGGGGGGACACCTGGCATCACTGCTGGGCGGTGGGAAGCAGGGTGCTGTGGCTCTATTATCCTGGCTGAGATGAGGTGTGCAAGTGAGTCTCCTGGCCTCTGCTTCTTCACTTGAAAATCAGTGTGATGCATTCACCTCTCAAGCTTGCTGTATCAGTGACCATGGACACACTCACACTTAACAGATCGCCCATCGTCAAGTTCAAATGAATGGTGTGGGGTGGGGTGGGGTGGGGTCGGGTGGGGGGCTGGGCAAGTCACTCACCACTTTCTCTGTTCTCAACCTGATACTTTACTATTTCAAGGTCTCCTGGTTGTTCTTTAACCCCAGCTCATTTCATTCTCTTCCCTATTTGCTTCACTGATTCCGGACAGTTCTGCAGTGAGAGAATCCCAGGGAGGCCCAGGTGAGTCACATCCCGAAACCTCTGTGAAGGTGAGGAGAGCAAAAGCCCCCTTGGGAGGCTCTGGAGAGCAAGGAGGAAACTGCCACTAATGCTCTGGTGGGCACGCCCTGCCGCTCACCTCAGCAGCAAGTCGTGATTTTAAACTAATACTTATTACTCACCAAGTTCTAGGTTCAAATATATATATATTCACATATATATAATACTTATGTGATATTATGTGTGTATGTATATATTTACATATATATATTTATGTGATATTACATGCATATGTATAAGTCGTTGAGTGGACACTGTTATGGATAAAGGTAAAACAGGAGTCCAGGGGTGGGAGCTGCTGTTTTATACAGTGTGGGGCCAGGGAGGGTTTCTCTGATAAGACGACGTGTTAGCATAGACCTGAAGGGAATGAGCAAGACACACAGACATCTTGGGCCAGCGCGTTTTGGGCAGAGGGAACAAATGCGGCAGCCCTGAGCTTGAATCAGTGTGGCCAGAGTGGGGTCACGGTGTCACTGGTGGGGAGGTGGCCAACCTGGCACCATACTCCATGGGGGCTGGCAGAGCCTGCTGTGTCCCCACACCAACCCCCGTGTAGCTGCCCCTTAACTGCAGGGTCCTCATGGTGTTTTGAAACCTGGCCAAATTGATAGACTGCTCCAAGGAAAGACAGGGACCTCTGACGGACTAGACCGTGGGAATGACTGCCAGGCAGAGGTTGAGCTGACCCGTTAAACTCAGCCCGTGAGTGCATACAGAGCATGAGCAGGACTTCCAATGTGCTCACGGCCCGCTCTAAGCACTCTGCCTGCCTTGGCTCTCGGAAATCCACATAATATTCCCATGAGGCAAGTATGTGACCTTCCCTCGGGGAACTGAAGTGACAGAAGTTACCCAGCAATGATGATCTGACGTTCCACCACCAGCACGGGAAGGGGCTGGCTCTGGGCCTGTGTCCACCTGAGGCTGGGCTCCTCCCCACCCTGCCGCCAGCATTCTTTCCAGAGCCGCACCCGCCCCAGGTGGCTAGCCCATGCCAGTCCAACCCCACCAGGACCAGTCCACCCCAACTTCAGGGAAGAAGAAAGGCTCCTGAGGTTGAAGTTGTCTGGCGCGTCTTAGGTCTGGTATGACTGCTATTGTGAGAAGAATGGCTGGCCAGGTCTGCTCTTGGCCTTGGGGATACAAAGAGAAGCTTCCATTTTCCGCTCTAGCTCCCAGCATCCTGCAGCCCAAACAACACCTGTCCAGGATCCGGGGCTAGCCAGCAGGGCTGTCTGCTGAGGTGTCTCTGGGGAGTTCAGCCATGTTTAGCATTTCACACATCTGTCTATACCTAGACCTCTGCTCGATATATACTATCCCCACACCCGAGATAGTTATGATACAAGGTTAGACTTCAAGCTAATTTGAAACAGCCCACATCATCCCAGCTCTCATTTCTGAACGAGCCCATGGAAACGACAGCAAGGCGAAGTCCATGAACTTACCAGGAGGGAGGTCTCAGGCAAGCCACCTCACCTCTCCAAGCCTTACTCTGCACATGTGTGAAGCAGTGATGATTGTCTCTATTTCACAGGACTGCTGTGCAGATTAAGACGGAAACGCTAAGGAAGCAACAAATGCCCAATAAATGTGGGTTTCTTCAACATTTATTGAATACCTACTGTGTGCAGCCACTGTGCTAGGTGCCAGAGAATGAACAGACGGATGCTTCCCGTCCTCAAAGAGGGCACAGTCAGTGCAACGGCAGGGACAGATGTTTAACGGCTCAGTAACAGCACCATGCAATTTGGCTATCTCTCCTATTTCCTCCTTTCAATGCTTTAGGCCATGAGAATAGGGGCCAGGTCTTTTATTTCTATTAGATCTCCCAAAGCCTTGAGAAAGATCTAGAGCCCGTTGTCTTACAGCAAATGCAGTGGCCTCTCTAACAAAGAAATGTTCCAGGGTAAACAGGAAAGCAGCCACCTCAAACCCCATCCAGCCCACACTGGGAGAGCTGTTTACAGAGATGAACCCAGGGAGGTGGGTGGAAGCCTCAGACCCTCCCTGGTGGGAGGCTGTCCTGCCACCAAAGGCCTCCATCTCCAGAGGCTCCTGCTTTAACTGATGCCGTGGGAGGCATGCAGCCAGTCCTTTAAGAACTAGGGACATTGGCGTTTGCCAGTGTCTCAGTTCTGTTTATTCTGTAAACATAAGGAGGAGCTCAACATTCTGTTGTACTTCATTTTGCAATCTTCACAAAATAAATATTTGCCTTCAAAAGCAACAACTGTGATAATCATCAGGATAATATTCTCCAGCGCCATTTCCCTCGCACATGCCAGGCACAGAAGGCAAGTCAGAGTGCTGTGTGTGGTCTGTTTGGATAATAATTTTCATCTGGAAACCTCAATTTGGAAACCAACTGGCAGTAATTCTAGAGAAAGTTTGGTCTCCTGGTTTTTAGAATTGACTCAAAACCGAGTGTCCCGAGTCACCTAAGTCTCCTTGCTTTGGTTACGTCTGCCCGTAAAATGAGAAGCAAAATTGCTTAGTGAGTGCTGGCGGGAAACTAGGACATTGGCGGGGTTCACAGTGGCCACAGAACAAGGACTGGCCACCCAGACAGGCCAGGTGCCTGCTGCATGTGCAGGGATGGTCTCTCTCTCTCCAAATCTCTCTAAGAATGAGCTAAAATTCAAAAAGAGTTCTGCTGAATGTAAATGGTACTTATTGGAGATTTTATTGCCCATAAAGAAATCCATCAACAGAAAACCACACTCTGCAAATCTACCGATGCACAATTAGTTTGTGCTGCTTACAAATCCCACTCTAAACTCAGCTGTCAGTGCCCTCCCTTGGCCACGCTTCTTGGAGATACAGGCTTTCTGCAGAGGATGCCGCATGTCAACAAACACATCCCCAAAGTGTACACTCTGATTTATCTTCTTCATTATGGACAGGAGGCTTTAGGAACAGCCATTTTGAGTCTTTATTAAGGACTAAATCTTAAAGAAAATGAACCTTGAGACTCCTCTAAAGTACCTTTTAGGGATGCTCAGTGCATTTCCATATTTTTAAGGATTAGGATTTTTTGGGGCCAGAGGTAATGTTTATTACCCAAGGACACAGAGCCTCAATCCAAACAGTAAACCATAAAACCACATCTAACTGGGTAAATAAAATCAGCCAACTTAATAGACATCTGCATCCCACTGGAGCATTCCCCGTGGCCTTCCACTTTCCTGTATTCATCAGACCCCAACCAGACATCAAGTCAACAATCCCGCCCTTCCAGCTCCTCCCTCGTGATCCATCTGTCTGCCTTGACTGCCCTGGAGTTCCCAGAGACAGGTATCCTCCTCCAGACTGACTTCCCTCCTAATCGACCTGCATCTTCCAGATACGAGGAAGGAAATCAAACTTTCCAGGTGCTGGTGGCTCCGTGCGGGACGGGGCAGGGAAGCCACCTTCTCTCCAACTCCAAAGGCCATATGGAGTCAACAGGAACAGGTCTGGCATGCTGGCCAAGGGCATCAGTGATCTCTGAACCCGTTCTCCAACAATTTTGCCAACTGAGCCATCAGAGAGCCACTGCGTCCCCACTCCATCTCACACCCGATGCTGGAAGGTGTCCCTCTCTCCAAGTGAGGAGGAAGCGAGTGCAGCTGGCCAGTGGCTCTGCGACTGTGGGAGTGTCCCAGCAGGGCTGCAAGGGGGGCGACGGCGATGTCTGTTGCTAAGTGTTCTTTCTCTGCACAACTTATTGAGTCTTGATAATCTACTTTCAGATTTTTGGAAGTGTAATCATGTGTTTCAGGTTAGGGTCTTCATAATTTTTCTCAGAATGGATCCCTTTGGCATGTGTTAACGGCCAAGGGAGCAGGTGTTGGTGAAAATGGATCATTCCTCTCCTGCCACCCTTCCTGCTGCCTGCCCTTCCTGCCCTGCACCTCAGCCAAGCCAACTCTCCCAGGAAGAGGCTACTTGGAGACCCAGCTCCTTAGAAGCAAATTACAGCAACCGGCGTGGCATGGGATGGGGTGGTGTGGGCACTGACTGTCCCAGAACAACACAGGGCGTGAGCCACCATGGCTGAACTTCCGCCCTGACTTGACTTCTGTTTGCCTTTCCATCACCCTCAATGAGAGCCCAGCCCCCTTGCCACGGCCCGCTCAGGCTCCTGGTTCTCCTCTCCTCTCCTTCTGTTCAACCCTCCTTTCCCTCTGCTCCGGCAGCATGGCCTTCCTGCTGGTGCTGGGACATCTCCAGCTCACCCCACCCCAGGGCCTCCTTTCTTGCGGGTGTCCTGGTTCACTCCCTCACTTCATCCAGGTCTTTACTCAACTATTTCATTTCCCAAGAGGCCCCCACTACTACCCTGGGCACCTTCTTTCTACCTGCCCTGCTAGTTTGTTTGTTTTTTTTTCATGGCGCTGGATTTATGCATTATAGCTTCTCTCCCTGCAGCAGAATCTAAGCTCTGTGAGTGCAGGGATGTTCTCTCTCCTCACCCATGGGACCACTGTGTTACTCACTACATCCCAGCATGGTGCCTGGCATGTAGCAGATGCCCAGAAAACATTTGCTGAATGAATGAATGTGCACTAAAACCAACTTGAAATCCTGCCTGCTTCCTCCTGTGCATGCAGGATTCTGTGCAAACATGGGATTGGAAATATGGCAAATGGAAGTTTTAAGAGAAGAGATTTGGTAACCATCTGAGAGTCGTCAAAACAGTGCATGCCCTCTCATTTTTTGCTTGCAGTCTGGTTTTGCATGTCTTTCTTCTATCCTAAGAAAGTGCTTTCTCTCAGGATTAAGGTGTTGTTGGCAGAATCAACTCTTTTTTATTTTCAGGAGACTAATACTGTATCTTATTTCAGTATTTGGGCTCACCTTTTAGTTGCCTATATCTAGCTATTGAATGGTATCAGTTAACAACATCAGCCTTAAGCCCACCACTAAGCTTGGCTTCTGTGCTACACTGCGGGCCTCAGGGCTGTTACTAAGAGTAACGTGACTGTGGTTGTTATTGCCCTCATTGCTGATTTCGTCCGACTCACAAGTGAAGGCGCGCCTTCCTACTGTGTTTGGAGCAGTAGGTCTGATTGACCGTGAAGTGAGTTAAGCTGGCATGAGCTCGCAGGGTGGTGCAGGCAGGGCTACCGCCACAGGTGCATCTTCCTCTGTAGGGCTCCTTACGGCCCACCTGTTTTCCATAGTCCTCTGTTTTCTCGGAAATGGAAAACAAAGGCATCCTGGCTGGTTACATGTGTACGTAGGTGTATAAAATGATGGGCATTTCCAGAGTGTGTCTGGGCAAGAGGATCTGGGCAAGGAAGCAGGACCTCCAGCTTCACCCACATGTGTCTGCTCCTTCCTGGGGTCCAAACAGTGTGTTTGCCACCCTTGGGCATCCAGCATTTGAGAAATAACAGGTGTCTCTGCCCCCAGAGAGGGTAGCTTTGCTAACTAGGATTTGTTTGCTTATTGACTTAGGGGATGCTGATGTTTGAGCAGCCCCCTTGTCCCTAACTGTGTCATTGGAACAATTGGTGACCTTTCTCTGACAAGAAGGATGAAGGAGCCCATTCATTCATTCATTCATTGGACATATTTTCATGGAGTGCATGATGTCCTTGGGGTGTGCTATGACTGAAGACACTTCAGGTTGTAGGATCCCTTAATACATGACCTAATGAATGGCTGATCCCTGCCAAGACCCAGGGCAAAGCTTTTTTCATAGCTTTGACTGTACAGGGTCAGCTATCCTTGGGTAATGCTTTGTGACACTCTAAGGGCAATGATGAAAAATTAAATATGGTCAAGCTCATTTGTCTCAGGGGCCAGTGGGCTGTTGGGATGCCTGAGCCCCAAATGCCATTTTGAGTTTTTTTTTAGTTACTAGACTATCTTAGACTGAACCACCTACAATGGCCTATATTTGACAGTTTTTTTCACTATATAAAAACTACAAACACTCTAACTTTTATCAGGAGGGTTCACAAAGAACAAAACTGAGACTGTTTCCTCTTGATCCCTCGCCTCTGAGGACAGGAGATGAGTGTGTCTGGGGCTGACACGACCCTGGGAAACTAAGATACAGGAGGGGGAGTGTTTGCTTACTCCACTCTTATTTTTATAATCCCTGGTGGCTGTCATTGCACCATCTCCTTGTGGGGGCAAATGTGTCAGTGTTGGAGGCAGAGGACACAGGTTCTAGTCTCAGCCCCTCCAATTATGAGTGACAGGCTCCACACGAGGCCTGGGCATACTGAGTGCTAACCTAGACCAGTTCTTGGTGTTCCCATAATCATTATGAGCTGTGGGACTTCGGGCAAGACAGTGAACCTCTCTGAGCCTCAATTTCCTTATTGGGAAAATAGAGAAGACATTCATGACAACGCTTTGTAAAGTGCCATAGAAATGTACAGCAGAGGTTAAATGATTAGACATCAGCTTATGTTTCCTTGCTTTATTTTTTAGGAAAATAGTAATCTTTGGGACTTAAAAAAAATTCCTTCCTGCAATATACGAATTCAGTAAGGACAGAATCGTAGGCATTGAGATGGAGGCGGCATACTCACAGGAAAGGCTGGCTGGGGCTTTTGTCCCCTAATTGATCTAATGTGCTAAGTGGGCTTAATGTAAGTTAATTAATGATACTATTGGTGGGTGGAATACCTAGGCAGAGCCTCAAACAGCATCAAAGGAACGAGCAGGCAGGTGTCATCCAGGATAATTGAGGCATGCAGGCAGTCACTAGGCAGGCTAGGAGGAGGGTGAGGGGAAACTGAGCCCAGCTGAGGGGCTGAGCCACTTAAGCAGCAAGGCTGTCTGCCAAACACCATCCTGTTTACAGCTCCTGTATTTGAATTTCAGATTTGCTTGAGTCTTTGAAGCTGGGTTCCTGGGCATTTCCTTGAGAATAAATTCTATTCTTTGGAAACCACAAAACGCACTCACTTGGACCCAGAAAGGAGCGTCAGGTAACCCAGCTTCCATCTGTGGGCCTATGAGACCTGAGGAACTTTGACTAGAAGAGGCTCCCCATTTAACAGAGGCAAGTAGGTTTTGCGCTCCGTGAGATGGGGTAAGACCAGGTCTGTCTGCACTCCGGAGCAATGTTGGGCTGCCGCCCAATGGCAGGCACTGGGCTAGGCAAGAGGGTACCATGATGCCTGAGAAACAAAGATGAGCCCCTGACATGTCTGTGCTTCACAAATGTGTATGCCCAACAAAATGAAAGTCCAGCTCACAAAAGCAAGAAACCAGGTAGTGGCCAGGGAGTGAAAATCAAGCATTTCAGGGAAAGTGTATTTACTTTTTCCTCCCAAAGACTGGTCCTTCCAAGATTATCCTCCAACTGTGCTGTCACAAATTAATCCTCCCACAGCACAGCCTGGCCCACTTAGGGATGGGGAGGGGTACAGTGGAGACCCCCGGCCAATCGCCACCAGGATCGCCAAACTTTCCCAGCCGTGAAGGGTACACGTGGACTGTCATCGGAACGAACGCTTATTTCCAAGCCTTGACCAGAGTCACTCTCTTTTTGGTGGCCTCTGTCAAAATGTATCTTTAAAGGTTTTAAGTGGCTATGACTTACAAATCTCAGAGTATTAAGCCAGGCAAGAAACATTCTCTATTTTAGATGCCTGGATCCCTTTTTTCCTTCAGTCTATTATGGCTCTTCACTTCTTTGTTACACTTTCACTCTTGCTTAGAAAGTGTCTCAAAAATGCCACTTGAGAGCCACAGAGCAGTGGCCTGGGGACTGGGGAAGAGGACGGTGGTGCTCCTGTCTCTCCGTACGTCTCCTCACATGCGTGTACCCCTGGCTGTGTGGGATTGCCCACTGACCGGCATCTGCCCTGCTTGTTGATTTTAACTGTCCCTCTTGTTGCTGACCCAGCACAACATGGGCAGGGAAACCCAGTGGGAACCTCGCCTGCTGACCTCCCTGCCCAGCCACCCGCTTCTCCCTGAGCTGACATCTCAAAGCTTGGCTGCTGCAGGAGGCTGGGAATCAGAGCCGACTGAATCAGAGCCGACTCCTGTCTAGGAGCCCAACCCACCCCACGGTCTGTCAGAGTGTTGAGAGGAACCTCTTGGCTGGAAATGAAAACCTCAATCATCACAAATAGGTACCCACTCCCCTCCTTCTCTCCCTCTCCCCGCTCCCCCGCCACCAACACAGAGGCCAGGATATGGGGGGTCTCAGACACGACTGGAAACCCCACTTGGAAGGTCTCTTAGGTCACAGCGGGTACGCAGAGTTGGAGGCAGGTACAGAGCCCAGCTAGAGTCCCTGCCGCGCCTGCCTTCCCCAGTGAGCCGGGCACAGGGGCAAACCTGAGAAACATACTTTTCACGCTCCCTGGAGGAACCCGTTGCTTCAGTAGCCCAAATCTTAAAGCCTGTGAAGCACACACAGAATTTGTCTCCCTAACCAAATGTGCAACCAACAGCAAAACAGGGTTTCTGATGTTTTTCTAAAACAAAGGAACAATCTCAGGTCTTAGAACTGGTAGCGCAGACATACTGCAATCGGTAAAGCTTGTTCAAACGCAACCCAAAAATGACATGCATTTCAAAAATGCACCCAGCCTCTCTCCCAGCCCATGACACCTCCGTCTCGGCCACAGCTGAAGAGTTTAGAAAACCAGAGGAAAGGACCAGGGCTTACCTGGCTTCTGTTGGAGGTCAGCTTCAGTCCCAGCAGAAGATGGGTCTATGAAGAAAGTCAGGTACCATCCAGTTCTGGGTGACAGGCTTCACAGGTGGCCACCGTGGCAGCCCTCTCAGAAGCAGGTACTCTATGTCCTTAGGGGCCAGCAGGGCTGCCTGGGACCTGGCACACCTCTCTGACACTAGCCCCGCTTCCTTTCCGTTTAAAGGGCTTCCCGGGAACTCTTCCTTGACCGCTCCCTGCCCTGTCTGCAAGTTTGGAAACTCAGTCCTTGCCGAGGGGCTTTCCCTCATTGCAAACTCACCTGCACCATCTAGAGGTCTCTCCCAGCACTGGAGAGGCTGGAGCGGGCACGTTCAGCCCTGCTGCCATAGGTCCCTGGCACACCTGGCTCTCCGGCCGTCTGCCCCTTAAGAGATCTGTTGGAATGCGTAAAAATCATGGATTTTTTTTTTTGCAGGGGTGGGGGCCTTGCTTCTATCAGAGCCTTTAGGCGTGGGAGTGCTAAAAAGCTAAACTAGCATTAAAATATCATTAATCAAAGCTTGTTCGTAGAAGGACCCCCCACTGAGATGGCTACAGGCATGGGTGCCACTGCACGGATTCAGCTTCCAACATGTCTGTTCACATTCTCACCCATCCCCCGCACATCCCTCAGGGTTTGAGCCACCAGGACTGCTCTTCCTTTCCTCTCTCTGGACACCTCACACCACCAGTGTATACCCATGTAACTTCAGATAACCATACACACCCCCCGTATAACTAGGTAATTAGGAAGCCATTTGAAACATCAACATTTTGAAAGGACATACCTTTCAGTATTGGGCAATTATTTCTCAAAAAGTAAATGATTGGGGGGGGGAAAACAGCCTTAAAATAATGTCATTCTCTTGTCATTTTCTCCCTCATTCACACCTACACAGATAAATACAGGAACAGAGCAGCTCCTCCAGGCTAGATTTCTGTGTTCTCCTTTTCCATCTTGTCCCCTCTGCCTTGGAAACCTACAAGGTAACTCACACATGAGAAAGTAAGAGCTTAAGAAAGAAACAGTCTGGGCTCCGTGGCTCACACCTGTAACCCCAGCACTTTGGAGGCTGAGGCGGGCAGATCACTTGAGGTCAGGAGTTTGGGATCAGCCTGGCCAACATGGTGAAACTCCGTCCCTACTAAAAATACAAAAATTAGGCCGGGCGCGGTGGCTCACGCCTGTAATCCCAGCACTTTGGGAGGCCGAGGCGGGTGGATCATGAGGTCAGGAGATCGAGACCATCCTGGCTAACAAGGTGAAACCCCGTCTCTACTAAAAATACAAAAAATTAGCCGGGCGTGGTGGCGGGCGCCTGTAGTCCCAGCTACTCGGGAGGCTGAGGCAGGAGAATGGCGTGAACCCGGGAAGCGGAGCTTGCAGTGAGCCGAGATTGCGCCACTGCAGTCCGCAGTCCGGCCTGGGTGACAGAGCGAGACTCCGTCTCAAAAAAAAAAAAAAAAAAAAATATACAAAAATTAGCCGGTGGTGGCATGTGTGGAGGCTAAAGCAGGAGAATTGTTCGAACCCAGGAGATGGAAGTTGCAGTGAGCCGAGATTGTGCCACTGCACTCCAGCCTGGGCAACAGAGCGAGAATCTGTCTCAAAACAGAAAAGAAAAGAAAAGAAAAAAGCAGACAGAAATGTATGGGGCTGGGGCAAGGACCTAGACTGTAAAGGACTAATTCTGCCTCCACAGAGATTAAGCTGAACCAGAGTTACTTAGCTGACTTGATCCTTGTGGATGATTAATCTAGATAATATAAGCTCCCAAACAAGAATTTTAACTTGAATTTTCAGGTTTGGTTGTCTACCCTGCTCATGCCGAGTTCAGACTGAGGGTCTGTGATAAATTAAAGTCACTGAAATTATTAAATTAGGAACCTGGGAAAATGAATGGGAGGTATTCTGGGCTAATCTGTTCTACTCCATATAATTTTTACTTTCTGGTGTGCTCACAGTGTGTTTGAGGTTTGGGATTATTTTAGGTGTAACTAAAACATTTTTTCTATTGGAAATTAAGTGGTGATTTAAAATTTACCAAAAGGAATGATACTGATATTTCCCAAAGAGAGAGAAAAAAGACACAAGAAAAAATTAAAATGGCACAAAATATGGATGCTGTAATAGAAGCCAAGGGAGTTTTTTCCTCTCTTTGAAAAAAATCCAAACATCATGGCATTAAGCAAGGTTATGGATGGTTATACTTGAAGTCTGCCTAGTCATCATATCCAAATGAAAATGAGTATATAATTAATTCAGTTGATTAAGAGAAAGAATGAAATGAGAAATCATTGCTTATCTTCATCATGTAAAGCTCCAGAGCTTTGAAGATATGTGATTTTCTGTTTTATACATTTCCTAAGAGACTGAGGCAGAAATAGCAACAGGTTATCAATAGCATTTTTTAAGTAAGAAAATGAATCAAGACTGCAGAACATGGTTGGGTGAAGGGGGTCTCCTGGGGCTGTGTTCTAAATTTAGAACAAATTTAGAAATGATGAATGTAATTTAGAACAAATGAATTGTAATTTAGAACACATGCTTGCTACACATAACAGCCCGGCCAGCCACCTGCCCCCTTCATGAGGTGTGCTCAAATGCATGGCCAGGAGTCTTATGGAGGGGCACAACAGGCAGGCTGGCCCCAGCTCTCAGCTCCGCAGCAACAAAACTTCGCAAGTGATTTTAGAGAGTCAATGGACTCCCATCCCTGTAAAAAACACTCAGGGGTTGGTAAGAATTATCTTGCAGATCAGATAATTTCCAGTGAGTGAAACAGAGCCATATTCTGGTCATCGTGATTTTAAATTTGTGTCTTTTATTTTTTTGGTGAGACAGAGTCTTGCTCTCTCGCCCAGACTGGAGTGCAGTAGCGTGATCTTGGCCCACTGGAACCTCTGCCTCCCAGGTTTAAGCGATTCTCAGCCTCCCGAGGAGCTGGGATTACAGACATGTGCCACTGCTCCCATCTAATTTTTGTATTTTTAGTAGAGACAGAGTTTCACCATGTTGGCCAGGCTGGTCTCGAACTCCTGACTTCAAGTGATCCTCCTGCCTCAGCCTCCCAAAGTGCTGGGACTACAGGTGTGAGCCACCGGACTCACCTTAAATCTGTGTCTTAATTACAAATCTCATGTTGTGTGAGCAGAAAGAAAATCCTTGATACCCATGTACCCCATCAAAGTAGCATTCTCCTATGCCATCATGTTCATGTGTTTATTCATGCAGCAAATGCACGTCACGTCTTCTACGTGCCGGTACTGTTCCAGTTGCTGGGTAGATCACAATGAGAACAACAGTCAAAATCGCTGGCCTCAAGAAGCTTATGCTCTGTTTGGGGAGGCATAGAGTAATCAAGTTATGAAATGGAGATGAAAAGTACTTCTTGGCCGTGATAAGCAAGGGTGCACAGGATGCCTGGATTATTTGTGTTTGTATGTGAGGGGATTATCAGTTGGCTGGTGACAGTTTCCTGCTACTAATTACTGTCTCAAAAAGTGGCAGGGGAATCAAACACTCCAAAAGCAAGATGCTCCTGTCTGGCAGCTGGGCCCTGACATATAATTGGTTTCACCTAACAACTCACCACAGCAAGTAAACTTCTGGTTACCTGCAGGTGAAGTCTATCTCAGAAAACCTTCCAGGAAATGACATTGCTCAAATCCTAACACAGTGTGTGTATATTTGATGAAATGTTTTTATGCTCATGGTGACACCCACTAAGTTATTCAGAATAAAATGATCACAGTTCTGTCTATAGTGTAGAGTTTGCAGCTTCAAATTTGTCCCACAACTGGGACTGTTTTCTGGAAGAACGTTGCCCCTGCCTCGTGGCACAGTGGCTCCCAGGACTGACCTGGCCTGGCTTCTTTGCTTTCCTAAAATGCGTTTGTCCCCAGCTCTGTCAGTGGTAACCTCACAGGGCTCTGCCCTCCTCAGCACTGGCCAGCTAGTTTTTAAAGTATCATCTCAGAGCACCCGCTACTCATGTGGTCACAGTTCCATAGGCAGAAAAAACAGGAATATAAATATTTGTGATTTAAAGTCTCTCTTAGGAACCACACCTTCCTAGGCTTGCAAATGTGCCTAAAATATGAGAATGGAATTGGGTGATACGGCGGACACCAGCAAGCTGATGTGGGGGTAAGGGGGTGTGAGGGGCGGTGCTTTGGTTGTTGAGAAGGAAAGTTGACCAAGACTTGCGAAGGAAGAAGGCAGTCCTGCAGAGTTGGGCAGAAGGTGTTTCAGATGGACCAAAGGTCTTGTACAAAGGTCCTGTGGGGCCCAGAGCCAGGTGTGCTGAGGAAACTGACAGGAAACTGTGGCCACAAAGCAGGGAGCTGGCCTGGGAGGCAGCTGAGCCCAGCCCAGGAAGGGTGGTAGAGACCACATTCCACGTGGGGGCTGGACAAAAGGGTATGGATTCTATTCCAAGTATATCATGATTTGAAAATGATGGAAACTTGTTTTAGAAGTAAAATGGGCCACTATCCTTAGCAAAATGAGGAAAGGGAGAGACTAAGTCTGGGGGAGTATTTGCACAGAGGGAGGGCCTTTAGGGTGTCACCTAGATACCGGGAGATGAAATGCTATGTGAACCATTGTCAAGCTTGGGTGATCTGTCCTCCCCCAGCATAAATTCAGATGGGACAGCTCCAGGTCAAAGGCAGAGGAAAGAGCTGGGCTTTGCGTTGATTGTACCCTATTGGAGAATGAGATTCTGCATTTAGTTATTTAACTAAACTTTGAACACTGACCCCCTGCTACTGATTAAACAAAAGCCTGGCTTTCCTTTGGCTACCTGCCTTAGCTTGGGCTGCTATAACAAAAATATTGTAGGCTGGGAGGCCTCAACAACAGACATTTGTTTCTCCCAGTTCTGGAGGCTGGGAAGTCCGAGATCAAGGTGCCCAGCAGACCCAGTGTCTGGTCATCTCCCATGGCAGATGGGGTGAGGCCGCTGTCTGGGGTGTCATTTACAAGGGCACTAATCCCATTCATGAGGCTCCATCTCTAGCCTCCATGACCTAATCACCTCCCAAAGACCCCACCTCCAAATACCATCACCTAGGAGCTTAGGATTTCAATATATGAATTTCAGGGGAGACACAGACACCCAGACCACAGCACTTCCCATTTGCCCAGGATTCCCCCCATGGACACCTTATTAAAAATGCAAGCTGGATTTGGAACACAGCTGTCAATAATGACTCTGGTCACATAAAGGAAGGACCATAATGAACCACCTCCATGGATGAAGGAAAGCTTCAGGCCAGGAGCTTCGTGCAGGGCAAAGGCATGCCCTCTCCCGTGGCCTAAGCTCTCTCTGCTCCCCAGCCAGGGTTTGAGACGGCCCCCACCACCTCCATTATGTAAGCAGTGAAAACATAATTGAAATTGATCCTCGCTGAGAATGGCTTTACGAGCTTGAATAGTGCAAAGGTTCAAATACTAAATCTTTTTTACGATCTGTAATATTGTCATTTAGCTCAACAGTACACATCACTATGTTTTTCTAATAAAGGAAACCACAAGAGTATTATAAAACCTATTTGCACTATACCAGAAAAATTAAGAGGGGAGAAAACTGAGTTTAGAAATATGAAATATTGATATCTTCATTTGAAAATCAACAAATTCATCCTTCCAATAGGCAAGTACATATTTCTATCATAAATCATGGCTCCGGGGAAAGGGGATTATGGGGTCATGGGATTATCATGCTATTAACCAGTGGATATCTAAAAGCAGGGAAGTATGGGTCCATAGTATAAACATAAAAAATTATCTGTGCATTGGGTTATATATATATATATATATATATATATATATATATCTTTTTTTTTTTTTTTTTGAGACAGAGTCTCGCTCTGTCGCCCAGGCCGGAGTGCAGTGGTGCAATCTCGGCTCACTGCAAGCTCCACCTCCCGGGTTCACGCCATTCTCCTGCCTCAGCCTCCCGAGTAGCAGGGACTACAGGCGCCCGCCACCACGCCTGGCTAATTTTTTTGTATTTTTAGTAGAGATGAGGTTTCACCATGTTAGCCAGGATGGTCTCGATCTCCTGACCTCGTGATCCACCCGCCTCGGTCTCCCAAAGTGCTGGGATTACAGGCATGAGCCACCGTGCCCGGCCGCATTGGGTTTTATTTATTAGTATTTATTAATCAATGGATTTTTTTCTAGAGACAGGGTCTTGCTCCATCACCTGTGCTGGAGTGAAGTAGTGAGACTGCGGCTCACTGCAGCCTCAAACTCCTATGCTCAAGTGATCCTCCCACCTTGGCTTCCCAAGTTGCTGGGAATACAGGTGTGCCTGGCCAAATTAATGAAATTAAAAATCACACCTATTACAACATTTTGCAGGTAATCTGTAAGGCAGAGGAACGATTGATTTACAAGGGCTAATGTGTTCTTGCAGGGGGCATGTTAGTTCTCCCTTACTCTTCACCTGCTATGGATATGAACCCATTGTCCAAAGATCCCCAAAGCTGTGGTCAGCAAAAGAAAGCCAAAATGGGAATAAACAGGCATTTTAACAGGAATTCACCCTGGCTGGCAGAGCTGCTGCCTGCCACCTCTTCCCAGCCTCCCTTCTCCAGCAGGAATCTCCCAGCTCTGCTCAGAGCAATATGCCTGGCTAAATGGTTGCATTTCTTAGCTTCCCTTGCAGTTAGATGTTGCCGCGTGCTTCAGAACTGTCCAATGAGCCACAGCAGGTGTCAGAGACTTCCAAAAAGGCTGCCAACTCATCTGGGAGGAAGCTGTTCTGCCCCTTTCCATGCGTCCCCTTTGCTGCCACCTGGAGTGTGAACATGACAGCTGGGTAGACATCAGAGTAGGACGGAAGGAGCTCCAACCCCTTGTGCAGCTGCCCCACCAGGCCCAAATTACCTGCCTCATTCATGGGAAAGAATAAACCCTCATGTCTTTCAGCCACTGTAGCCAGGCCTTATTAATAAAGACTAATTAATTTGCAGTTTCTCATTATGAAAAATTGGGATATGCAATTTATTCTTTTCTAGATAAGCAAGGTTTAAGAAAGTCTGCTTTATGGCAATTTTAGCTTTCATATCAGTTCTGCTGGGGTATCATTCATAGTATAAAATGATTCCCCAAGGAAATGAAGTGTTGACTAACTGGAAAGATTCTGATTTGGGAAGAGGGAGTGAAGAGTGAGAGTTCCCTGCTGCCTAACAGTGGGGATAGGTGCCAGGCTTCTGGTGTTGACCAGGTTTGAACCCCAGGAAGGTCTGAGTCTGGGTCTTGGTTCCACCCTAAGCCACACAGTTTAGGGATCTTTACACCCCAGGTGCAGGGATGTACGTTTAAGTCCAGCACAGTTTCTCACAATCCCAAACTGGGCTGGACACTAGAGAGCTCTCCTCTACTCATGCCTTCAAGGTGGCTGGTAATGTCCAACCACACTCCTTGGGAGCAGCTCAAAGTAAATAAGAAAGGCTCCAGATAGGTGAGTGGCCACCAGGACACTGGCCTCATTAAGCAGGCCCATTAACGGTATGCGCCATGGACTTCAACAATGAAATACATACCCCAGACGGGATCTAGGGGATTCACTGACTGGGAGAGAGTATGTGGAAACTTCTACTTCCATTCCCCCCTGCCCATGAGCATGGAGCCCAAGCCTGCTGTGCTGTTGTCCTGTGCCTTTGAATCAGTGATCTTACCAGCAACATCCATCTGCACAGGCCAACAGTGTGGCAGTAACACAGGAACCCTGAAGTCTCGGTGGCATAATACAATCATAGCTCGTTTCTTGCTCATGTCACATCTGATGCGGGCTAGGTGGCTTTTCCAGATGGTTCTCCTGCCAGCAGTGACTCAGAAACCCAAACTCCTTCCAGCCTGTGGCCCCACCATCTGCCTCTTCTCAGGTCAGACAGGAGCAAAGGCTTGGATGAGCACATGGGATGCTCAGGACCAGGCCCAGCAGTGGCACACCACTTCAGTTGGCTAGCATCTACTCACATGCCTCCAGGCTGACTGCTGTAAGGGTGGGGAGTGCAGTGTTTTTGTGTGTCCAGGAGCAGAAAATGGGATTCAAGTGTGTAACTAGTCTCTGTTGCCAGAAACTTTCCTAAACTCCTCATTCTGTTTAAACAAAACCTCTAGCCAGTGGGTCTGAAGCATAAGATGTCCTAGTATGGCTGGGCGCAGTGGCTCACGCCTGTAATCCCAGCACTTTGGGAGGCTGAGGTGGGCAAATCACGAGGTCAGGAGATCGAGACCAACCTGGCTAACACGGTGAAACCCCGTCTCTACTAAAAATACAAAAAATTAGCCAGATGTGGCGGCGTGCGCCTGTAGTCCCAGCTACTCAGGAGGCTGAGGCAGGAGAATGGTGTGAACCCAGGAGGCAGAGCCTGCAGTGAGCTGACATTGCGCCACTGCACTCCAGCCTTGGAGACAGAGCAAGACTCTGTCTCAAAAAAAAAAAAAAAAAAAAAAAGATGATGGTCAGTAAGGGTTTAGAAATGTCCAGAGAACACCTGCATTTCCAACCTTTGGCATACCTAACAGATAGAAAGAGGCAGGATGGCTGGCTGGATATCTGGCCCTGGAGCCTGAAGACCTGGTGTTAAGACACTGCTCTGTGGCCGAGCACGGTGGATCACGCCTGTAATCCCAGTACTGTGAGAGGCCGAGGTGGGTGGATAACGAGGTCAGGAGTTCAAGACCAGCCTGGCCAAGATGGTGAAGTCCCGTCTCTACTAAAAATACAAAAAATTAGCCGGGCATGGTGGCAGGCTCCTGTAATCCCAGCTACTTGGGAGGCTGAGGCAGGAGAATCACTTGAACTCGGAGGGCGGAGGTTGCAGTGAGCCGAGATCGCGCCACTGCACTCCAGCCTGGGCCACAGAGTTAGACTCCGTCTCAAAAAGCAACAACAACAACAAACAAAAACACAAGACACTGCTCTGAACATCCTGGCATGAGCAAGCTGGCTAAGTCCTCAGCCTCGGCAAGTATCAGTGTGCATCTCTGAATGATGGTGATTGTCTTTTATGGGTCATGCTGAATTGCAGTGAGATGGTTGTATCCACTCTTCAGTCTACCGGAACTGTTGCTCTCCCTACACTCTGGGATTGTTCTTGCCTAGGTCACCAGGGACCTCCTAATTGCTAAAGCCAGTAGATACCTTTCAGTCTTTATGCTCCTGGAGCTTTTTAATGCCATGCAACAAGACCATGATCTCTTCTTCCTCTGTGAAACCTGACTCCTGGTTTATTCTTGGTCTCCTGTGGGCCATTCATCTCGACCTGCCCCTCGGATAATGCTGTTTCCAGGGTCCCACTGCTAGGGTCTCCATATTCTCCCAGGCTCATTGTTTCATCAGCCTGGCGACTCCTGCACTTAATTTTGAGCCCAGGCTTCGTCTTTTAAGCTTTGATTCTTGTATTCGTGGAGTGGAAAACATCTCGTTGGGAAGTCTCAGAGATGCTGGAAACAACACCCTCAACACATCCAATCCTCCTCGTTTCCTGAATCAGCCAGGACCACCACTAATCCTCCTAAGGAGAGATCACAGAATCATTTTCAGCGTCTTCTCTCTCACTGTTTATCCTGCTTCTGACTTTCTCTTCCTCAACCCAGCCTCTACAGTGATTTATCTAAAATGCAAACTCCGAGCCCCAGCCACTGACCTTAATAATGAAGGCACCCTCTCACTGGCCCCTGCCAAGTGTTCCTGGATGCAGACCACAGAGCTCCACAAGAAATTCAAAGATCTGGATTTTTTTTTTTTTTAAGTAACATCTTCCCATTTTTAAATATGGCAACTTATCTGTGTGGCCCAAGTAAACACAAAAAATGGCTTCAGCCTGGCTCAGGCCCCCAGGTGGCCAGTTGGTGTCCTCTAGCCTGAAGGCTGAAAGCTGGGCCCGTGCCTCCTCCACCAGAGCCTGGTTCCCTGCTAGCCTCACTGTCCCCAAGCTTGCTTTGATCTTCAGACTCTAACGGCAGCAAAAGGTTTGTGGTCTCAAGCCATTCTGTTTTTCCAAGATGTGATTTTGCAAATAAATTTATCCATTTTAGTGCTTATTGTCGAGCTGACTATAGAGTTTAAAATTCTTATTATTGTAAGTATGTGAAATATGTGGTTGACTGGAGATGCCTGGGTGCCGACAAGCTGCATTCTCCTGGCTTGGCTTCTAACTTGCTTAACCTCCAGAAGCCCTGGGTTCTTCATCTGAAAAGTGGGAAAAATAACAGTACCTACTTCATAGGATTGATGTGAGCATTAAATGAGGTAACATAAACATGGGGCTTAGGCTGGAGCTTTGCATGTTAAGTAATGTTAGCTCCATTCCTATAATTAACAATTACGCTTATCTCTTTCATTCCTTAACATTACCTTTGGCTATAAGTGAAGTGACTTGTGGATTCAGCAGCTACACAGCAGCTCAGAACTAAATGATCTGCCCCATTTTCGGTAATTACCCAGATGACTTTCCCACACATCTAACTGAGCAAGGTGACCCTGGTCTTGATCAGAGATTAAGTACTTGCTTTATTGAGAGACCAGGCTGCTAAACGGACTTTTAAATCTTTCGGCACAAAAGCTTGCCACAGTCTTGGATATGGCGACGCCACATGGAGATTCCTGGTAGGCTGAGGGTGAAAAGCACAGGCTGTGTTATGTACACTTTTCGGTTTCCACATTTCCTAAATATGTGTGAAATCCCTGAAATTAAGGATTTTAGGCTTCCTAGAAGGCAAAGATTAAGTAGTTTTTTAAAAAATTACGAAATTTCCCTTTTTATTATTACAAAAACATGGCGGGAGGAGGCATGGGGAGAAATGAAGTAAGACTGGATTTCTGACTTTCCATCAGTGGCAGAGGTCAAGGGCTTGAACCCAGGGCTGTAAGAGGTGGCTCCACAGCCCTGGGGTCCATCACAGCAATGTTTAGTTCAGTCCCATCTTATGTGCCTTTGCCCAGGCTGCTTGCTGCCTGGTAAATGACGACCTGCTCTCAAAGGCCTTCTCTAAGTTTTAGACAAATCTGTGCTTCCTTTATCAAAACTGGATCTGGGAACAGCTACAGTGCAGAAATGCAGCAACGTATCTGCAGGGCAAGCACCTGAATCCAGAGTGTGTATCCTGGGGAAAAGTTCAACCTATTGGGAATTAGAGTCAGGGCCATAACGGTGTTCCAGATGAGGAGGCAAATAATACATTTGGATGTAGATGACTCAAGAGCCACAGGAGAAATGCAAATAAAGTCCTAGGCCGGGCACGGTGGCTCATGTCTGTAATCCCAGCACTTTAGGAGGCTGAGGTGGGAGGATCACTTGAGCCCAGGAGTTTGAGCTCAGCCTGGGCAACATAGCAAGACCCCCTCTCTACAAAAAATTTAAAAATTAGCCAGGCATAATGGTGTGCACCTGTAGTCCCAGCTATCGGGAGGCTGAGGTGGGAAGACTGATTGAATCTGGGAGACAGAGGCTGCAGGCTGCAGTGAGCTATGGTCACGCCACTGCACTCCAGCCTGGGTGACAGAGCAAGACCCTGTCTCAAAAACAAACAAACAAAAACCCAAAATAAACAAAACATAAATAAAAAGTAAAGCCTTAAAGCATGCAACAGGTCAAGTTTCTTCCAGTTGGAAACTGGGGACGGCTTCTTGGGAAAAGAGCACAGGAGTTAGGCCTTGGAGAGATAATAACAACATATAATAAGAAATAATAATGTCCAGCATTACTGGGCATTTCCCATGAGCCAGGCACTAAGCACTTTATGTGACTTATCTCATACAACCCTTACTGCAACCCTATGAGATAGTCTTATCCATCACCTCATTGAGAAAACGGAGGCACACAGGATGAGGAATATGTCCCAGGTCACGTGCCTAGTCAGGAGCAGAGCCAGGACTCAAGCTGATGACGAGACTGTTGGGTCAGAGTGCTGAATTCCTTCAGTGCCCTGCCCTGAGGCCCAGGTGAGGGACTGGGTTCCATGTGCTGTGAGCCTCTGAGTTTAGCATCCTTCCAGGGGGAAGTAAAGAGCAGATCAGAGAACCCTCACCCCATTGTAGGTTTCCTGTTTGGTTCTGATAACTTTCTCCTTATCAGCAAGGGTGCTCAGAGTTTCATTGCTACATGAGTGGCTCGTATAAGAAAATCCTAAAGGAATCAACTGTGCTGCGGGTGTAAAAGTAAAGGCACTCACAGCAAGTCCAGGAACCATTCACTCCTGAGGCTGAGCTCCAGACCACACAGTCTTTGGCACCATGGGACAATCACAGAAAGAATCAGGACCCTCAGCTGAGAAAGCTCCTCCCAATCAGCTATGTGGCCAATGCTGAGGCCAAGGAAATGGCTCGTCCAGGACACGTGGGGTCACAGTAGGGGCAGGGCAGCTTTCACACAAGAACAGGCAAGTCCAGGCCTGGCTCTCAGATGGGTGGCAGGCAGTAACTGCAGGAGCTGGGCCAGCCCCATGGCTGGCTGGTGGCAAAGGGATGGGCAAGAGAGAGGAGCTGGACAAGAAGGGAGAGGGGGACCCTCCCACTGTGCCTGTAAAAGTGGGCATACCAAAGAGCACAGCAGCTACTGACTGCCACGTTGTGGCCCTGCTGCATGAAGATCCCTCATGTCCCCTGGCCTCCCTTTTGGAAAGGAGACACACAGAATTGGCCCTAAATTCTCCACGCTACTGTCTTTAGGAGGGCTTATTTTTATAATTTGCCATTGAAGTTTTTTTGTGTTTTTGTTTGTTTGTTTGTTTGTTTTTTGAGATGAAGTCTCTCTGTCGCCCAGACTAGAGTGCAGAGGCGCAATCTCGGCTCACTGCAAGCTCCGCCTCCTGGGTTCATGCCATTCTCCTGCCTCAGCCCCCAAGTAGCTGGGACTATAGGCGCCCGCCACCACGCCTGGCTTTTTTTTTTGTATTTTTAGTAGAGACAGGGTTTCACTGTGTTAGCCAGGATGGTCTCGATCTCCTGACCTCATGATCCGCCCGCCTCGGCCTCCCAAAGTGCTGGGATTACAGGCATGAGCCACTGCGCCCAGCCCATTAAAGCCTTTAACGGAGCCCAAAAAGCTATTTTCCATCCAAGAGTAGGGAGTTGGTGGCTGCCATTTGCTGCCCCTTGTGTCCCATGGCTGCACTGCACCCTTGCTGTCCCCCAACTCTTTCTGCTCCTGCCTCCAGGCGATGCTTCCAAGAGGCCGACCAATGCAGGAGGCCCCCAGAGGAGGACCCAGGTTTCTGGCCCTGGCCCTGTGCTTGCTCCTGGAATGGTGCCTGGGGCCAGCTGTCCACCCCTGGGTTCCTTACGCTTGTGAGCCGGGATTCCACTTCCCAGCTTGCTAGGCTCTTAGGTTTAATGCAAAGGGCACCACACTTGCCTCCTTCTCACTCACTATGTCTCCCTTGAACCACTGCTTTGGCTTCTCCCAATGTCTCCTTGCTTCCATCCTCCACTCTCAGCTGGAGTGGCCTTTCTATGATGTTTTTCCTATCAGGTCACCTCCACATTTAAGACTTGGCTCCCCACTGCCCTTGGAATAAAGTCCTAGGTCACTGCCTTAATTACCACACCTCAGTGCACCGAGCCCTTCACAACCTGGCCCAGCCATCTCTCTAACCTCACATGGACCTAGGTTCCCTCTGCTCCCCGGCCACCCTCCAGCAGGTGGGAGAGTCCCTCAAGCACCAGGCACTGATCAGGTTCTAAAGCTAGACCTGCCATTGGGGTTTTGGGTGTTTTTGTTTGTTTGTTTTGGTGGGATAGATAACAATCCTTCATTTCAGTTATACCAAGACACTCACAGTTTGCAGAAAGCTGTGTCATGCTGTTCTCCACTTCTAGGCTCCTCTGATCAGAACACCCTTACCCATTTTTACCTATGAAGTTCATGCCTCATAATACCCCTTTACTAAAGGCTTTTAAGATTCCAGCAAAGTGGCTGGGCATGGTGGCTCACACCTGTAATCCCAGCACTTTGGGAGGCAGAGGTGGGCAGATCAAGAGGTCAGGAGTTCGAGACCATCCTGGCCAATATGGTGAAACCCCGTCTCTACGAAAAATACAAAAATTAGCTGGGCATGGTGATGCTTGCCTGTAGTCCCAGCTACTCGGGAGGCTGAGGCAGAAGAATCGCTTGAACTCGGGAGGTGGAGGTTGCAGTAAGCTGAGATCATGCCACTGCACTCCAGCCTGGGTGACAAAGTGAGTCTCCCTCTCAAAAAAAAAAAAAAAAAAAAAAAAGATGCCAGCAAAGTACACGTGCACTTTTCTGTCTTCTTCACCAGCTGTCAGCTCCTTTCAGGCAAAGAACAAGACTTTATGAGCTTAGCACAGCACTTGGCACATAGTAGGCCCTCAATACATTCCTGAAAGGATGCATGAGTGAATGATGGACGGTTGTTGCCATCCCTTTTAATTTTTTTTCTTCTTTTTTTTTTTGAGAAGGAGTTTCTCTCTTGTTGCCCAGACTGGAGTGCAATGGCATGATCTTGGCCCACTGCAACCTCCGTCTCCTGGGTTCACGTGATTCTCCTGCCTCAGCCTCCCAAGTAGCTGGGATTACAGGTGTGCGCCACTAGGTCTGGCTAATTTTTGTATTTTTAGTGGAGATGGGGTTTCATAATGTTGCTCAGGCTGGTCTTGAACTCCTGACTTCAAGTGATCTGCCCACCTCGGCCTCCCAAAGTGCTGGGATTACAGAAATGAGCCACTGCGCCCAGCCAGTTCTCTCATTTTGAACTAGGGCTTACATCAAATACCCATGTCTCCTTAAGGTGCAACTCCAGCAGCTCTATTCTGCAGGTGGGAATAAAATGTGCTAGCAAGGGACATCGGCAGGCAGCTCTCAGGGTGTGAGATATTATATGAAGAGACACCAGCAGAGTTGTTTGTTTAGGTCTTGGTTTGCCTGCACTGGAATGGTCTTCCCTTACTGCCTCATGGAGTGGTGAGGTCTCCCAGGTTCCCCGAGGTGCAGACATTCTAGGCTCTTCTAGCTGACATCAAAGAGGGATGACAGGCATTGAGGGAAGTGAAGCACTTTAAGGACAAAGAGTGAATGGGAGATAAGCTTTCTCTATTTTGTGTATTCTGAAAAGAATGTTGACATGTGCATATTTTTGTAAAATAACATAAAATCATTTTGGCAATAAGGGTGTAAGCCCAAGAGACTTGGTCTTGTATCTCAGGAGCTCATGGCAACTTCGTAAACCAAGTTTCCTGAACTGAAGGGATGACCTTAGGACCCCTGATGGCCCACCCTCACGTGCTGTGGGTGTGAGGGAGTAAGGGAGCCTGAACTCAGGGAGGCTGCTCCCAACAGGAGCCAAGCCAGCTTGTTCCTCATAGTCCAGAGGTTCTCAGAATGGTCTCAGACTAAAAGCATCAGCAACACTCAAAAGTGTCTTAGAAATGCACATCCTCAGACTGTATGCCACCTCCTGAAGCAGACACTCTGGGATGGGGCCCAGCAAGTTGTGTTTTAAAGCATGCTTCAGGTGTTCTTGTGCCCATTTAGGTTCGGAAAGCGCTGCCAGAGTCCAACCATTGGGCATCATCTTTGGGAACAGAGTTGGGGGCACAGGAGTGGGTTCCACCACTGCAAAGGCACAGTGAGAAGCGAGAAGAGGGTGGAGCAAAGGGTCTTTCCTGGGCCTTTTCTCTCTCCACTCTCTCAGGTTAATTCACACTCTTGGTTCTAGCTCTTACCTCCTGGAAAGAATCTCTCATCTCTGATTTCTGCCCTTATTTCTTCCTTGAGCTTTCTTCATTCCCCACTAGT